>NC_000016.10:23638001-23941031 GCF_000001405.40 Homo sapiens
TAGAGTCAAGAACTGTTTTTAAATTGTTTGTACTATAACACCTTAATTTGAGAATACGATTCACTTACCTGAAGGCGGGCTAGTGTCTTGCTGTATTCCCTTTTCAAGAATGCTAATTTCTCCTTTAACTGGAAGAAGAAAAACACCAACAATACTGGGCAAGTGGAAAGGTGGAGTCAGAGGGAAGGGATGCAGTGCTTGGCGGGGTCCCTTGGCAAGAGGCAGGGAGTAGCACTGGTCCATAACAATCTACTTTTGGTTCTCAAAAAGCACCAAGCTCTGACCATTTCAGGATCTTTGCATAACCTGTTCCTATCATCTGGAACATGTCCTTCCTTTGCCAATTCCTACTGATTCCTCAAACCTTAGCTTAGATTTTTATTTCCCTGGGATAGACTTCTAGGTCCTTCTCCAAATCTAGGTTAGACACTCTACCAGTCCTCTGTACTTTCCTTACCACAGTATTCTCACACTATGTTCTCTGTTTCTCCCCATCATCCAGATCCTTGAAGGTAGCAGGAACTGCCATCCTCAGTCACTCAACAAATGAATCTTCTATTTATCCGTTAATGGTCCAGGTATCTCTAGTACCTGGAATAATAATTGATACCCACTATGTGTCAATTAGTGCTCCAGATGCTATTCTAGATGCAATTTACATACAGTGAGGGAGACAGATAATAAATAAGAAAACAAACAGAAATGATTTTACAAGGTAAAAAAATACACAGATAAACAGAGTGATATGAGAGAGTTACTGGCCTACTGACAGGGACTACTTTAGTTACAGTGGTCAGGGAGGCATTTTTGACTATCATTTGAGCCTAAGACTGAATGAGGAAGGAGCTAGTTTTGGGAAGATCAGAGGGAACGGTACCCCAGGCAGAGGGAACCACAAATATAAAAGCTCTGCAGTGGAATAGGTTACCTACGTTTGAGGAACACGCAGAAGGCCAGTGAGGTTGGAGCTATCATTGCTCAATCTCCAGCCAGGCACACAGTAGGCATTTAACAAATATTTATTAAATAAATAAATGAATTGGGCTGAATCAAATTACTGTTCTCTGAAAGCCTAGATTCCCTCGTCTCTCTGGCTTCTTTGCTTCAAAGGATTCTCTCAGCAGCAAAGCCAGCCTCGGTTTTTCTGCTTTTTAGCAACTTTTTAGCTGTACTCATCTTTCAACCAACAAAACATCAAGATTTCCATCCTCCATACATGCCTTTTTTAAAAAAAAGAAAAGACCTACTCAGCTGGGCGCAGTGGCTCACGCCTGTAATCCCAACACTTGGGGAAGCTGAGGTGGGTGGATCATTTGAGGTCAAGAGTTCGAGACCCGCCTGGCCAACATGGTGAAATCCTGCTTCTACTAAAGATACAAAAATGAGCCGGGTGTGGTGGTGGGTGCCTGTAGGAGGCTGAAGCAGGAGAATTGCTTGAACCCGGAGGCGGAGGTTGCAGTGGGCCTAGATCACGCCACTGCACTCCAGCCTGGGCAACAGAGCGAGACTCTGCTTGAAAAAAAAAAAAAAAAAAAAGGCCGGGTGCAGTGGCTCACACCTGTAATCCCAGCACTTTGGAAGGCCAAGGCGGGCAGATTACCTGAGGTCAGGAGTTCAAAACCAGCCTGGCCAACATGGAGAAACCCTGTCTCTACTAAAAATACAAAAATTAGCCCGGCGTGGTGTTGGGCGTCTGTAATCCCAACTACTCGGGAGGCTGAGGCAGGAGAATCGCTTGAACCTGAGAGGCGGAGGTTGCAGTGAGCCAAGATCGAGCCACTGCACTCCAGCCTGGGAGATAGAGCGGAGAGTCTGTCTCAAAAACAAACAAAACAAAACCTATGTGCAAAACATGCTACTAGACAAGTTGCCAACCGTAAGGAATTTTCTTTTTTTTTGAGAGACAGTCTCACTCTGTCGTCCAGCCTGGCGTGCAGTGGCGCGATCTCGGCAGCTCCCTGCAACCTCAGCGTCCCCTGGTTCAAGCGATTCTCGTGCATCAGCCTCTGAGGCCTGAGCCTCTGGGACTACAGGCTGGCGTCACCACACCCGGCTAATTTTTGTATTTTTAGTAGAGACGGGGTTTCACTACGTTGCCTAGGCTGGTCTCAAACTCTGAGCTCAAGCGATCTGCCCATCTCGGCCTCCCAAAGTGCGGGGATTACAGGCGTGAGCCAGGGAGACTGGCCTCCCACCAATCTTATCAATGTCTGGGGATTATCTTGTTTACTTATAAATGATCTTTCTCACCTCCACCAGAAGGTAAGCCAGGATAAGAATAACATCAGCACAAGCTGGAAACATCCTAAAAGTCTATCAGTAAAGTACAGTCTAAAGAAGCAAGGGCACTTCCAAGGCCAGGTGCAGTGGCGGGTTCGTGTAATCCCAGCTACTCGGGAGGCTGAGGCAGGAGAGTCGCTTGATCCCAGGAAGCGGAGGTTGCAGTGAGCCGAGATCGCGCCACTGCACCCCAGCATGGGTGGCAGAGTGAGACTCTGTCTCAAAAAAGAAGAAAAACAGAAAAGGAAGAAAAAAGAAACAAAACGAGGGCACTTCCAAACTACAACATACTGTCTAGAACTTAAAAAAGAAAGCAAGGTAGATAAACATGTCCTGACAGGAAAGCTAAACGGAACCTGCAGAACCATTCAGATCATACCATTTATGAACATTCCCTTCTCCAAAAAATATACATAGGATTCCTTTTTGGTGGTTAGGGATACGCCCCTCCTCCACCACCCACATTAACACACGAAAGGACCTGGAAGTACCAGACTTAAAAGATTTACTTGAGGCCGTCCGGGGGGAGAAGTAAAGATTGAGGGTGTGGGAGGGGGGAGGAGCAAGGGTGTCGATACAGCTTTATCTACAAACTGTTACACATTGTATTAATGCGCTGCTACTGTAATGAAATTTGTTCTTTAAACGCCACCACGTGAGCACCACGCTATTTCCACATTTTCATTTTCTGTGCCCCCTCAGCCCTAAGAGGAGGGGGTGGTCAGATGATACTGCTGCCCTCGGACTGCCGAGGACACAAAGCCAGGCCTAAAACCCTGGGAAAGCGGGGTCAGAGTCCTGCGTCCGCCCTTCCCGCACCCCCGGCACCTTTTCCTTCTCCTCACAGCTGAGGGGCTTCCCGGGAGGCTCGTCCATCGGGCAGGCGACAGAACGAAAAGAGCAGCCGTCGCCGACCCCAGGCCTGCCGACACCGGGACCCAGTTGGCCCTGGGCCGGGGAGGCGCCCCAGGAAGGAATGGGGAGCCCGGGATCGCACCCTCAGTGCGCGATCAGCTGACCCACGCGGGCCAAGCGCGCCCTAAACTCCGGCCAATTAAATCCACCATTCGGCCTGCGCACGCGCAGCCGTAGACGGCCGAGCAGTGGAGCGAGGCCGCCTAAAGGAGAGCCGCGCTGTCGATGAGTCCCAGTGGGCCACCTGGAGCGGAAGTGGAGGAGCGGCCGGAAGTAGCCGGAATCTCTGAAAGACTGACCGACTGACTCTGACAGGATCCGGGGCTGAGGGAAGGAGGCGGCGGCCATGGAGTTGGGCGAGCTGCTCTACAACAAGTCTGAGTACATCGAGACGGTGCGCGGGTCCAGATATGTATCCTCCTCTTTCCAACCCTGCGTCCCTTTGAGGCCTGGTCGGCGTTCCCAACCTGCCCCTACCCCACCAACCCCTGTCCCTTTGGCCATTAGTCCCGGATTATCTAGCGATGCCCCGTGTACCGTCTGGCTTTGCT
The DNA here is from genome assembly GCF_000001405.40 of Homo sapiens. NCBI lineage: Eukaryota > Metazoa > Chordata > Mammalia > Primates > Hominidae > Homo > Homo sapiens. The sequence goes on from NC_000016.10 coordinate 23,641,748, forward strand.
GTTTACTCCGCGCTTGGCCAGTTGAGGCCTTTTGTATTTATTCCTGATTTTCTCATAGGGGTAAAGTGCCTTCGGGAGGATAGGACAAGTCCCATCCTGTTCATACGAATTACAGCTCGGACTTCGGGCCCTTTTACACTGCCTTTTGTATCTGTTAACTTGCGCTAAAAACGATTCGGTTCTTTTTTTTTGAGGAAGGGGGTTGGGGGGCGGAGACTCTGTCGCCCAGTCCTGAGGGCCGCGGCGCGATCTCTGCTCACTGCAACCTCCGCCTCCCGGGTTCAAGCGATTCTCCTGCCTCAGCGTCTCGAGTAGCTGGGATTACAGGCGCCCGCCACCACGCCCGGCTAATTTTTGTATTTTTTGGTAGAGACGGGGTTTCACCGTGTTGGCCAGGCAGGTCCCTAACTCTTGACCTCAGGTGATCGACCCGCCTCGGCCTCCCAAAGTGCTGGCATTACAGGCGTGAGCCACCGCACCCTGCCGATTTGGTTCTTTATGATCAGTACATGATATGTTTGTAAAATCTTGGAAACAGGGCAAGTGGTCAATTAACGTTACTATCGTTATTTTGGTTTTCTTTGCTTTCTCACAACTCTGATACTCATAGTCATTATCCTCGTTTTAAGGCCGTAAAGCCCACGCGTGGAAGTGGGATTTGAATCCGCGTCTGTCTGATGCCACCAAGCTATAGACATTCAAATTATGAGTTTATTCCTTGAGTCCCTAGTTTCCTTTGTGTTTTTATTTTTTGAGACAGGTTCTCACTCTGTTGCCCAGGCTGGAGTGCAGTGGCACAATCACAGCTCATTGCAGCCTCGGCCTTCCAGGCTCAAGCGATCCTCTAGCCTCAGCCTTCTGAGGAGCTGGGACTACAGACACGCGCCACCATGCCCGGCTAATTAAAAAATTTTTTTTTTGTTGAGAAGGGGTCTCACTATGTTGCCTAGGCTGGTCTTGAGCTCCTGTCCTCAAGGGATCCGTCTGCCTCAGCCTCTCAAAGTGCTGAGATTACAGGCATGAGCCACCATACTCAGCCATAGTTTCCTAATCCATCATTGCTTTTTTGATATCCTGGACTCACTCCATTGTGGACAGCACCCCACTTTATGTTTTTTTCTCTCAAATGGGAGCTTTCTTGATGGAAACCTGTAGTCCAGAAACCTATTAAGTTTGCTTTCCCCGGTTTTCCGTTGTTTTCTTTTAGGCATCTGGGAACAAAGTCAGTCGCCAGTCAGTGTTGTGTGGAAGCCAGAACATCGTTCTCAATGGCAAGGTAAGGGACAAAGCCAGCTCCAGGCTGCAAACCTTAGCTTGCGTTCTGCTAATTGTCACCACAGCAGGGCAGATAAAATGTTGCCATATCTCCTATTTATTGTTTACATTTTTAATTCTCTTGTTTTTAAATTTTTTATTTTGTAAATTGGATCTCCTTTTTGTTTTTTTTTTGTTTCGGTTTTTTTTGAGACAGTCTCACTCTGTCGCCCAGGCTGGAGTGCAGTGGCCCCATCTCAGGTCGCTGCAACCTCCGTCTCCCAGGTTCAACCAGTTCTCCTGCCTCAGCCTCCCGAGTAGCTGGGATTACAGGCAGCTGCCACCAAGCCCGGCTAATATTTTGTATTTTTAGTAGAGACAGGGTTTCATCATGTTGGCCAGGCTGGTCTTGAACTCCTGCCCTCAAGTGATCCACCCACCTCGGCCTCCCAAAGTGCTGGGATTATAGGTGTGAGCCACTGCACCCAGCCTAAGTTGGATCTCTTGAATGCAAAAAGGTTCAATAAGAGGCAACAGAAAACCTTTTTTCTTTTATGCCAGGAACAAAATACAGTGGTACCTAGAACCAACATTATTTTATGATATAGTGTGCATTAAACTACTGGGCACAAAGTGTAACAGGTAATGAAATATTTGAAGGTAGAAACTAAAGTAATACTTATAAAATTATCTCTTTAGTAAAAATTAATAATTCACTATTAACTGAAACTCTTAAAACGAATGTGACAATTGGAAAAGATATTAAAGTATGAGACAAATATGCAAAGTGGAATCTGAAAGCCTGAGAATCTTGTAATCCAAATAAATTACAATAGCAAAGAGACGAGTATAAACTTGGAAGAGAAAATATCACAGGGTATATTTGAGCTTGACAAACAGTGAAGTTCACAGTTGTTTTCCTGCCATCTGGAACACTCAATTTTGAAATTAATTTTTCTTTAAATATTACATCTCTAACTTCCAGAAGGAAAATAGTCTCCTTATAACCAAGAGATCACAAATATTTTCAGTAGAAGATAATTAGTCTCCATTAAGCCTGTCATACCAAGGAATTAAGTGGAAAAGAAATATAATTCAGTAATTGCTGCTCAGACATACTGTTTCTTTTTTTTCCTTTTTTGTTGAGACAGAGTATTGCTCTGTCACCCAGGTCGGAGTACAGTGGCGCGATCTTGGCTCACTGCAACTTCCACCTCCTGGCATCAGGTGATTCTCCTGCCTCAGCCTCCAGAGTAGCTGGGATTACAGGCTCCCGCCATCATGCCCACCTAATTTTTTTTTTTTTTTTTTTTTTTTGAGATGGAGTCTCGCCCTGTTGCCCAGGTTGGAGTGCAGTGGTGCGATTTTGGCTCACTGTAAGCTCCGCCTCCCAGGCTCACGCCATTCTCCTGCCTCAGCCTCCTGAGTAGCTAGGACTACAGGCACCCACCACCATGCCCAGCTAATTTTTTGTATTTTTATCAGAGATGGGGTTTCACCGTGTTAGCCAGGATGGTCTCAATCTCCTGACCTCGTGATCCACCTGCCTTGTCCTCCGAAAGTGCTGGGATTACAGGCGTGAGCCACCGCGCCTGGCCTAATTTTTGTATTTTTAGTAGAGACAGGGTTTCACCATATTGGCCAGGCTGGTCTTGAACTCCTCACCTCAGATGATCCATCCACTTCAGCCTCCCAAAGTGCTGGGATTACAGGCATGAGCCACCACGCCCAGCCCAAGATTTTTTTTCTTATGGTGAACTATGTATAACAATTTGCCATTTTAACAATTTTTTAAAAATTTTTATTATTTGAGACAGTTGCCCAGGCTGGAGTGAAGCGGCGCCATCTCAGTCGCCACAACCTCCGCCTCTTGGCTTCAAGGATTCTCATGCCTCAGCCTCCTGTGTAGCTGGGACTACAGGTGCACGCCACTACACTGGGCTAATTTTTGTATTTTTAGTAGAGGCAGGGTTTTGCCACGTTGGCCAGGCTGGTCTCAAACTCTTGGCCTCAAGTGATCCACCTGCCTTGGCCTCTCAAAGTACTGGGATTACAAGTGTGAGCCACTGCACCCAGCCTAACTATATATATATATATATATATATATATATATATATATATATATATATATATATATTTTTTTTTTTTTTAATACGCAGTTTTGCTCTTGTTGCCCAGGCTGGAGTGCAATGGCACGATCTCGGCTCACCACAACCTCCGCCTCCCAGGTTCAAGTGATTCTCCTGCCTCAGACTCCCCAGTTACAGGCATGTGCCACCATGCCCAGCTAATTTTATATTTTTAATAGAGGCGGGGTTTCTCCATGTTGATCAGGCTGGTCTCGAACTCCCGACCTCAGGTGATCTGCCCTCCTTGGCCTTCCAAAGTGCTGGAATTACAGGCATGAGCCACTGCGCCCAGCCTTACCAATTTTTAAGTGTACAATTAGTTGCATTAATTACATTCACAATGTTGTGCAACCATCTCCACTATCCATTTCCAAAATTTTTTCATCACCCCAAATAAAAACTCTACACATTAAGGAATACACGCCCATTCCCTACTTCCTTCCATTGCTGATAGCCTGAATCTACTTTCTGTCTCTATGAATTTGCCTATTCTGGATATTTCATATAAGTGGAATCATACAATATTTGTCCTTTTTGTCTGGCTTATTTCACTTAGTGTAAGGTTTTCAAGGTTCATCCTTGTTAAAGCACATCAGAACTTCATTCCTTTCCATAGCAGAGTAATACTCCATTGTATGTATATGCCACATTTCGTATAGGCACTTGGATTGTTTCTACCCTTTGGCTATTGGGAATAATGCTGCAGTGAACACTGATGTGCAAGTATCTGTTTGTGTCCCTGTCTTCAGTTTTTTTGAGTATATACCTAGGAGTGTATATACTCAATACTTGATTTGGCAATGTTTGGTATATACAAAAGAGCGTGATTGCTGGGACAAATGGTGAGTCTATGTTTAACTTTTTGGGAAACTGACAAATTTTTTTCCAAAATGGCTGCACCATTTTACGTTTCCACCAGCATTGTGCAGGGTTCCAATTTCTCCACATCTTTACCAACACTAGTTATTTTCTGGTTTTTTTTGGATTATGGCCATCCAAGGGAGTATAAAATGGTATCTCATAGTGGTTTTGATTTGTATTTCCTTAATGACTAATGATATTGAACATCTTTGAATGTTGCTTGTTGGTCATCTGTACATCTTCTTTAGAGAAATGTCTGTTCAGTCCTTTGCCTATTTTTATATTGTGTTGTCTTTTTCTTATTGAGTTCTAGGAGTTCTTTATGCATTCTGGATATTAAACACTTATCAGATATATGATTTGCAAATGCTTTCTTCCTTTCTGTAGATTTTGTGCATCCCTTTGATGCACAAAAGTTTTTAATTTTGAAGTCTGGTTTATCTGTTTTTTCTTCTGTTGCTTGTGTTTTTGGTGTCATATTAAGAATCCAAACTTATGGCCATGAAGATTTACTGCCGTGTTTTCTTCTAAGAGCGTTAATGGTCTTAGTGCTGTGTTTAGGTCATTGATCCATTTTGAGTTAATTTTTTTTTTTGTTTTTTGAGACGGAGTTTCCCTCTTGTCATCCAGGCTGGAGTGCAGTGGTGCAATCTCGGCTCACTGCAACCTCCGCCTCCTGGGTTCAAGTGATTCTCCTCTCTCAGCCTCCCAAGTAGCTGGGATTACAGGCATGCGCCACCATGCCTGACTAATTTTGTATTTTTAGTAGAGACAGGGTTTCTCCATATTGGTCAGGCTGGTCTCAAACTCCCGACCTCAGGTGATCTGCCAGCCTCGGCGTCCCAAAGTGCCGGGATTACAGGCGTGAACCACTGTACCCAGCTTGAGTAATTTTTTTATATGGTTTGAGGTAGGGGTCTAACTTAGTTCTTTTGAATGTAGAAATACAGTTATCCTGGCACTGTTTGTTGAAAATACTATTCTTTCCCTGTTGAATGGTCTTGGCACTCTTCTAGAAAATCAATTGGTCATAGATGAATAGATTTATTTGTGAACTCTCAATTCTATTTGGTTGGTCTGTATGACTATCTTTATGGAACACTGCACTGTTTTGATTACCATAGCTTTGTAATAAGTTTTCTGGTTTTTTTTTTTTTTTGAGAAAGAGTCTCACTCTGTCACCCAGGCTGGAGTGCAGTGGCACGATCTCAGCTTACTGCAACTTCCTTCTCTCAGGTTCAAGTAATTCTCTTGCCTCAGCATCCTGAATAGCTGGGATTACAGGCATGCGCCACCATGCTAGAGACAGGGTTTTGCCATTTTGGTCAGGCTGGTCTCGAACTCCTGACCTCAGGTGATCCGCCCGCCTTGGCCTACCAAAGTAGTGGGATTACAGGTGTGAACCACTGTGCTCGGCCTACTATAATAAGTTTTTAATCATGAATTATGAGTCTTCCATGTTTGTTCTTTTATAAGATTGTTTTGCCTATTGAGGGCTGTTTGCTTTTTTTTTTTTAATTTTTTTTTGGGGGAGGGGGATGGAGTATTGCCCTGTTGCCCAGGCTGGATGCAATGGTGGAATCTTGGCTCACTGCAGCCTCCACTTCCCAGGTTCAAGCAATTGTCCTGCCTCAGCCTCCCCAGTACCTGGTATTACAGTTGCGTGCCTCCATGCCTGGCTAATTTTTGTATTTTTAGTAGAGACGGGGTTTTACCATGTTGGCCAGGCTGGTCTTGAACTCCTGACCTCAGGTGATCTGCCTGCCTCAGCCTCCCAAAGTGCTTGGATTACAGGCATGAGCCACCATGCCTGGCTACCTTTTGCTTTTTAAAGATGTTTAATTTGGCAATATTTTGGGTATACAAAAGAATATATGTGACATATATGTCATAAAGCATAAAATTAAATCAACACCAGTGAACCCTATACCCAACTGAAGAATTGGAACATAATCTGTATACAATAAGTACTATTTTTATGTTCCTCCCCTATTCCTATTTTTGCCACCCTCCAAGAGAAAACCGCTGTCCTGATTTTGTGTCTTATAAATTATTTATTATTTAAGCAAATTTTCCACATATCCCTAAATAATATATATTGTTTAACTTGGTTTCCTGTGATTTATTTTTATTTTAAAAATCTTTATTTATTTGTTTAATTTATTTGTTAGTTAATTTTTTTGAGACAGGGTCTCACTTTGTTGCCCAGGCTAGAGTGCAGTGGCACAATCATAGCTCACTGCAGCCTTGACCTTCCAGGCCAGGCTCAGGCGAACCTCCCACCTCAGCTTCCCAAGTAGCTTATGCTACGGGCATGCACCACCATTGCTGGCTAATTTTTTTTTCTTTTTTCTTTTTTTTTTTTTTTTTTTTTTAGAGACACAGTCTCGCTGTGTCGCCTGGGCTAAAGTGCAGTGGTGCGATATCAACTCACTGCAATCTCCACGTCCTTGGTTGAAGTGATTCTCATGCCTCAATCTCCTGAATAGCTGGGATTACAGGTGCACACCACCATGTCTGGCTAATTTTTGTATTTTTAATAGAGATGGGGTTTAACCATGTTGGCCAGGCTGGTCGTGAACTCCTGACCTCAAGTATTCCGCCTGCCTCGGCCTCCCAAAGTGCTGGGATTACAGGTGTGGGCCACCACACCTGGCCCTATTTGTAGTTTTTTTAAGGAACGTTCATACTGTTCTCCATAGTGGCTGTACTAGTTTACATCCCACCAACAGTGTATAAGAGTTTCCTTTTCTCCAAATCCTCACTAGTATTTGTTATTTTTTGTCTTTATGATAAGCATCCTAAACTGCGGTGAAGTGGTACCTCATTGTGGTCTTAATTTGCCCTTCCCTATGATTAGTGATTTTTTGTTTGTTTGTTTTTTGAGACAGAATCCCGCTCCATTGCCCATGCTGGAGTGCAGTGGCGTGATGTCAGCTCACTGCAACCTCTGCCTCCCGGGTTCAAGCAATTCTCCTGTCTCAGCCTCCTGAGTTGCTGGGACTACAGGCGCACACCACCATGCTGGCTAATTTTTTTTGTATTTTTAGTAGAGACGAGGTTTCACCATATTGCTCAGGCTGGTCTCGAACTCCTGACCTCAAGTGATCCACCTGCAGTTGGCCTCCCAAAATGCTGGGATTACAGGCATGAGCCACCGTGCCTGGCTGATTAGTGATGTTTAGTGAACATTTTAAAATATATATTTGTTGGCCATTAGTATGTCTTTTGAGAAATGTCGATTCAAATCATTTGCCCATTTAAAAAATTAGATTGAGTTTTTTTGCAGTTGAGATGTTTGAGTTCCTTGTATTAATATATTCTGTCTTTGAAGAATAGTTTGAAGATATGTTCTGCCATATTTTCATTCTGTTGATTGTTTCCTATGCTGTGCAGGATCATTTTAGTTTGATATAATCCCATTTGTTTATTTCCTTTTGTTGTCTCTGCTTTTGAAGTCTTACTCATCTTTTCCAAGACCAGTGTCTTTAAGCATTTCCCCTATGTTTTCTTCTAGTAGTTTATAGTCCCAGGCCTTCATTTAGGTCTTTAATTCATTTTAAGTTATAGACCAGGTGCAGTGGCTCACGCCTATAATCCCAGCTCTTCGAGAGGCCAAGGCGGGCGGATCACTTGAGGGCAGGAGTTCAAGACCAGCCTGGCCAACATGGTGAAACCCATCTTTACTAAAAATAGAAAAAATTAGCTGGGTGTGGCATGCTTGTAATCCCAGCTACTCAGGAGGCTGAGGCATGAGAATCACTTGAACCCAGGAGGCAGAGGTTGTAGTGAGTCGAGATGGTGCCACTGCACTCCAGCCTGGGCAACAGAGTGAGACTCTGTCTCAAAAAAAAAAAAAAAAAAAAAGATTTCATTTTGAGTTGATTTTTGTGTACAGTGACAGGTGTGGGGTCTACTTCTGCTTATGGATATGCTGTTTTCCCAGCACCATTTATTGAAGAGATTGTCCTTTTCCAGATGAATGTTCTCGTCACCTTTGTCAAAAATCAGCTGGCTATAGATATGTGGATTAATTTCTAGGTTCTATTCTGTTCCATTGGCCTATGTGTCTTTTTGTAATGCCAGTATTATGCTATTTTGATTACTGTAGCATTGCAGTATATTTTTAAGTCTGGCAGTGTGATGCCCCCTTCAGCTGTGTTCTTTCTGTTCAGGATTACTTTGGCTATTCAGAGTCTCTGCGAATTTTAGGATCTTTTTTCTATTTTTGTGAAGAATCTCATTGTTATCTTGTTAAGATTGCATTGAGTCTGTAGACTGCTTTGGGAGGTACTCAGCTTTTATTTCTAAGATTCATTGTGGTCTGTGCATTTTATTTTATTTTCTTTTAAGATGGAGTTTTGCTCTTATTGCCCAGGCTGGAGTGTAATGGTGCGATCTTGACTCACTGCAACCTCCAGGTTCAAGCGATTCTCCTGCCTCCCTCCCTCCCCACACACCACCTCTTCCTCCCACCACACCTGGCTAATTTTTTTTTTTTTTTTTGTATTTTTAGTAGAGACCGGGTTTCACCATGTTGGCCAGGATGGTCTTGAACTCCTGACCTCAGGTGATTGCCCACTTTGGCCTCCCAAAGTGCTGGGATTACAGGCATGAGCCACTGCACCCGGCTGGCCCGTCTGTGCATTTTCACTGCTGTGTACAATTCCACTTATCCACCCTCCTCTTGGTGGAAAGTTACTTTGTTTCTAGTTTTTTGCTGTTATGAACAATCCATTTATATTTCTATCCCTTCTCTTTCAGAACTTTGTCATTTCTGTTTTCCTGAGCCCATATATCAGATGTCACAGTGCCTGCAGGGATAGAAAGAGATCAGATGAGTCAGTAAGACTGAGTGTGAACAATAGAGAGTGGTGGGGCCTGGTGAATTGGAGAATGTGACCAATCTAAGCCCAAGCTGGTTGTTACTGTGTGGGAATACAGGCCCACGTGGCAACAATCAGCTTTCCAGAGCGTCTGATTCTTTTTCAAAAGCAACTGGAAATCTCACTTTTTAAAATGCAAGATGTTCCACTACTCAAATAGTAATGTTTAATTTTAAATGATTTGTTAAAATGCCACGTGTCCTTCCTGTAGGAGATAGCTAAAAAAAATTAAAAGAAATAAATAATAAAAATGCTGCATGAGCCAAACAATACAGGTTTGCAAGTATAGTCCTTCAACCTCCACTTTGCTATCTCTGCCTTGCCCATTGTTGAGTTCAGTGAACTCTTTGCTTTGCTTCTGTGAAGGGCAGCCACCTCCTTTCATTTGCTTCTCTGAAGGGCAGCCACCTTCTTTCTTTTTAACACCCCGTTACCTCTGTTTTGAATCTGACTTCTCTTCCTCAGCACTACTCCTTGTGAAATAGGAAACCAAGATTTGAGTCCATCTTCCTAAATTTCTCTGACCACCTGTGATACAATTTACTTCCTTTGCATGTGTTTGCTTCTTTAGTTAGTGTATAGTTTAGGCTGACAAACAGACTTATGTGGATGTTCTTTATTTCCAGATTAAGCTTGTTGTACTTATTTAAAACACAATAAAACAACCACCATCACCAAATACCCAGGACTTTTGGAATTCTGTTTTCCTCCAAAAGAAAAGGAAGCCATTTTCTCTGATTGTAGGTGGAAACATGAAACTGAAAACAATAATTGAAGTAAATTAAGACTCTTAGATGGAGGAAGTTCATGCTAGAAATAGATAATCTCTTTAAGCTTGAAGAGTACATCTTTTGAAAACCAAAGTGGCTGGGCACGGTGGCTCATGCCTATAATCCCAGCACTTTGCGAGACCAAGGCAGGCGGAGGCGGGCAGATTACCTGAGGTCAGGAGTTTGAGAGCAGCCTGGCCATCATGGTGAAACCCCATCTCTACTAAAAATACAAAAATTAGCCTAGTGTGATGGCATGCGCCTGTAATCCCAGCTACTCAGGAGGCTGAGGCAAGAGAATCACTTGAACCTGGGAGGCAGAGGTTGTAGTGAGTTGAGATCACACCACTGTGCCCCAGCCTGAGCAACAGAGTAAGACTCCATCTCAAAAACTAAAAATAAAAAAGAAAACCAAAAGAACTGTAATACTTCATAATCAGCAGCAGATGTGGAAGTTCTTTTTTATGAGTACAAGTTTTGTAGACTATACGTATGCAGTTGAGTAAGTTTTTCCAGGTATGAGTCTGTTTCTTTTTTGGTATTCTTCAGAGTCAGGTGTTCAGGCTAGCGATAAATCTAAATTCACCTATATATCAGGAGTTCCCCACCTACCTCCCTAGCCTGACCTTCTGTCCTTGACCTCAGACCTTTATTTACAACTGCCTATTGATCATCCCGTAGCTATCTCAAATTCAACATTTCAAAATTTAATTGGTAATCCTCATAATTGCTTACCCTATTGTAAATTCTCTTTGTCTTACCTCCCAACAGCCGAACAGTCACCAAGTCATATAGATTCTCTTCCTTCTTTTCTTTTTAAACATTTTATTATGGAACTAAAACCAATCATCTTTATTGAGGTATAATTTGCATACAATAAATGTATCCATTTTGAGTGTGCAGTTTGACAAGTTTTGACTGATGGGTACATCTATGCAACCACTACTACAATCAAGATATAGAATACATTTCTATTACTCTAGTTTCCTTGTGCCCCTTTGCAGTCAATCCTCTACCCTTGTACCCTTGCCTCAGGCAACCACCAATATAAAACTAATATAGATTAGTTTTGCATTTTCTGAAGTTTCATATAATTAGAATCACAAGCCCTTTTTAAAAATAATTTTTCATTGACATATAATAGATGTACATATTTTGGGGGCACATGATAATTTAATACATTTATAAAATTTATAAAGATAAGATTGGTTTTGGCTGGACGTGGTGGCCCACACCTGTAATCCCAGCACTTTCAGAGGCCAAGGTGGGAAGATCTCTTGAGCCCAGGATTTCAAAACCAGCCTGGGCAACATAGGGAGACCCCCATCTCTACAAATAAAAAAAATTAGCTGGGCTTGGTGGTGCACACCTGTGGTCCCAGCTGCTTGGGAAGCTGAGCAGGGAGGATCACTTGAGCCTGGGAGGTCGAGGCTGCAGTGAGCCGTGATGGCACCACTGCACTCCAGCCTGGGCGGCAGAGTGAGACCCTGTCCCCCAAAAAATGAAAAAATAAAAAATCAGTGTAATTGGGATACTCATCACCTTAAATATTTGTCTTTATGCTAGAAACAATCAAATTATTTCCTTCTAGAGTAGCCAAGGCAATCTTGAGCAAAAAGAACAAAGTTGTAGGTATCACGCTACCTGACTTCAAACTACTACAGGGCTACAGTAATCAAAACAGCGTGTTGCTGGTACAAGAACAGACACAGAACAATGGAACAGAATAGAAAACCCAGAAATAAGACCACACACCTACAACTATCTCATCTTCATCAAACCTTCTAAAAACAAGCAATGAGGAAAGGATTCTCTATTCAATAAATGGTGCTTGGATAACTGGCTAGCCATATGGAGAAAATTGAAACTGGACCCCTTCCTTATACCATATAGAAAAATCAACTCAAGATGGATTAAAGACTTAAATATAAAACCCAAAACTGTAAAAATCCTGGAAGACAACCTAACCAGTACCATTCAGGACATAGGTACAGGCAAAGATTTCATGATGAAGATGCCAAAAGCAATTGCAACAAAGCGAAAGTTGACAAATGAGATCTGATTAAACTAAAGCGCTTCTGCACAGCAAAAGAAACTATTAACAGGGTAAACAGACATCCTACAGAATGGGAGAAAATTTTTGCAAACTATGCATCTGACAAAGGTCTAATATCCAGCATCTAAAGGAATTAAACAAATTTACAAGTAGAAAACAACCCCATTTAAAAAGTGGGCAAAGGACATGAACAGACACTTTTCAAAAGAAGAAATACAATAATCATGACAAAAAGCTCAACATCACTGATCATTAGAGAAGTGCAAATCAAAACCACGAGATACCGTCTCACACCAGTCAGAATAGCTGTTATTAAAAAGTCAGAAAATAACAGATGCTGGTGAGGTTGTGAAGAAAAAGGAACACTTACATACTGTTAGTGGGAGTGTAACCATTGTGGAAGACAGTGTGGTGATTCCTCAGAGACCTAAAGACAGAAATACCATTTGACCCAGCAATCCCATTACTGGATATATACCCAAAAGAATATAAATCATTCTATTATAAAGACATGTGCACACATATATTCATTGCAACACTGTTCACAATAGCAAAGACATGGAATCAACCTAAATGCTTATCAGTGATAGACTGGATAAAGAAAATGTGGTACAGGTACACCATGAAATACAATGCAGCCATAAAAAAGAATGAGATCATATTTTTTGCAGGGACATGGATGGAGCTGGAGGCTAAATGATGAGAACACATGGACACATAGAGGGGAACAACACACACTGGGGCCTATGGGAGCGGGGAGTTGGGAGGGTGCAGGAGGGAAAGGATCGGGAAAAATAATGGGTACTAGGCTTAATACCTGGGTGATGAAATAATGTGTACAACAAACCTCCATGACACAAGTTTACCTATGTAACAAACCTGCATATGTACCCCTGAACTTAAAAGTTTAAAAAAAATTATTTCCTTCTAGCTGTTTTGAAATACATAATAGATTACTGTAAACTGTAGTCACCCTACTGACCTATCAAATTCTAGGTCTTATTTCTTCTATCAAGCTGTATATTTGTGCCCATTAATTAACCCCTCTTCCTTCCTCCTACCTTTCTTGGCCTTTGGTAACCAACAGTCTACTCTCTGTCTTGAAATCTGCTTTTTTAGTGCCCACATATGAGTGAGAACGTGTGATATATGTCTTTCTGTGCTTGGCTTATTTCATTTAATATAGTAACCTCCAGTTCCATCCATGTTGCTGCAAATGACAGGATTTCGTTCTTTTTTATGACTGAATAATATTCCATTATGTATATATACTACATTTTCTTCACTTGATCTTAGCCAAAAGGCCAAGAAGTGATATATACCACATTTTCTTTATCCTTTCGCCCATTCATGGATATCTGGGTTAGAATCATATACTCTTTTATGTCAAGCTTTTTTCACGCAGCATAATGTTTTTGAGATGTATCCATCTTGTTGCATATAGTAGCAGATTATTATTTTTTCCTTTTTATAGCTAAATATTATCATTATGGAACTTTTAAGACATGTACAAAAGTAGAGAGGATATATAAGGAATTCCCACAAACTCATTTACCAGCTTCCATAATTAGCAATATTCTGACATTTTTGCTTCATCTCTAAACTCACCTTGTAAACTCAAGTCCTAGTTTGACTAGGGTGGGGTAGGGAACGCTAGAGTTTTTTATTCTTACTTATTTATTTTTTCTTTTTCTGAGACAGAGTCTTACTCTGTTGCCCAGGCTGGAGTGCAGCAAGTGGCACTATCATAGCTCACTGTAGCCTTGATTCTTAGTGATCCTTCCGCCTCAGCCTCTGGTGTAGCTGGGACTATAGGCACGTGCCACCATGCCCTGCTTAATTTTTTTTTTTTTTTCTTGAGGCACAGTCTTGCTCTGTCACCCAGGTGGGAGTGCAGTGGTGTGATCTCAGCTTACCGCAGCCTCGACCTCCACATACTCAGACAATCCCCCCACCGCAGACTCCTGAGTAGCTGGGACTACAGGTGCACACCACCACATCTGGCTAATTTTTGTATTTTTTGCAAAGATAGGGTTTTGCCATGTTTCCCAGGCTGGTCTTGCCCTCCTGTGCTCAAGCAGTCCTCCTGCATCAGCCTCCCAAAGTACTAGAATTACAGGCATGAGCCACCATTCCCGGCTGGATGGTATTTTAAAACAAATTGCAAATGTCATATTATTTCACCCACAAATACTTCAGTGTGTCTTACTAATTCTTAAGGACTTAAAAATTCAGTAGAGGTGGGGCATGGTGGCTCACAATTGGAATCCTAGCACTTGGGAGGCTGAAGTAAGAGAATTACTTGAGGCCAGGCATTTGTGACCAGCCTGGGCAACATAGCAAGACCATGTCTCTACAAAAAATGAAAAGAAAAATTAGCCAGGTCTAGTGGCATGCACCTGTAGTCCCAGCTACCTGGAGGCTGAGGCAGAAGGATCTCTTGAGCCCAGGAGTTCAAGGTTACAGTGAGCCATGATCATGCCACTGCACTCCAGCCTGGGTGACAGAGCGAGACCCTGTCTCTATAAACAAACAAAAATGAGTAGAGTATCACTGTTATCATGTTAATATTGTAAAAACTCCAGTACTTCCTTAATACCATCTAACGCTCAGTCCATATTCAGTCTTCCCAGTATCTCAGGATATCTTTTTCCAGTTCATTTGTTCAAAGCAGAATCCAAACATGATGCTGCACACATTGTATTTGGTTGATATGTCTCTTAAGTCTCTTTTAATCTGTAACAGTTCTCTTTCCCCAACCCTTTTTTCTCTCCATGCCATTTATATATTGCAGAAACTGGGTCACTATCCAGTTGAATTCTCCAGCTGCTGAATTTGGCTGATTATGTCTATATGGAATTGCCTAATAGGGTCCTTATCTCCCTCCTTCCTTGAAATTGGTCATTAAATCTACAGACTTAATCAGATTAATTTACTTTTATTATTAATTTATATATTTTTACTATTTATTTTTTCTTTCTATATGTACAGTTATTGCTTTAGATAAGATCCATTATAGGCTGGGCTCAGTGGCTCATGCCTATAATCCCAGCACTTTGGGAGGATCACTTGAGGTCAGGAGTTCAAGACCAGCCTAGCCAACATGGTGAAACCCTATCTCTACTAAAAATACAAAAATGAGCCGGGCATGGTGGTGGGTGCCTGTCATCCCAGCTACTGGGGAGGCTGAGGCAGGAGAATTGCTTGAGCCTGGGAGGCGGGGTTGCAGTGAGCCAAGATCATGCCACTGCACTCCAGCCTGAGTGACAGAGCAAGACTCCATCTCAAAAAAAAAAAAAAATAAAGACTCATTATCTATTTTTACCTTGATCCATTGTAGTCATCTAAAGGGTCAGTTTTCCTCAGGTCTCTCACCTGTATCCTCCATGCAGATGCCAGGGTGCTTCCAGAGTAGTAGTAATAATACGGAAATTTATGTATGTTAATCCTTTGTTTAAAATACTGGGGCCAAGTGCAGTGTCTAATGCCTGCAATCGCAGCACTTTGGGAGGTCAAAGTTGGAGGATTGATTGCATGAGCCTAGGGGTTCAAGACCAGCGTGGGCAACATAGTGAGACTCCATCTCTACAAAACATTTAAAAATTAGTGGGATGTGGTGGCACACACCTGTAGTCCCAGCTGCACAGAAGGCTTAGGCGGGAGGATCCCTTGAGCCCAGGAGCTCAAGGTTGCAGTGAGCTATGATTGTGGCACTGCACTGCAGCCTGGGCAACAGAGTGAGACCCTGTGTCTTAAAGCAAAATCTCACTCTTTTCGTCCAGGCTGGAGTGCAATGGCGCGATCTCGGCTCACTGCAACCTCCGCCTCCCAGGTTCAAGCGATTCTCCTGCCTCAGCCTCCCGAGTAGCTGGGATTACTGCAGGTACTTGCCACCATGTCCGGCTAATTTTTGTATTTTTAGTAGAGATGGGGTTTCACCATGTTGGCCAGCCTGGTCTTGAACTCGACCTCAGGCAATCCACCTGCTTCGGCCTCCCAAAGTGTTGGGATTACAGGCGTAAGCTACCGCACCTGGCCAGAAAAAATTTTTTAATGAAATAAAATATTTTATTGACTCTATATCCTCTAGGAAAAATGTCTAAGTTTCTGTGCTTAGCATACATAATTCCTCATAATCTACTTGCATGTCCCTTGCTTACTTTTTCCAGTTACAACTCCAGCATATGCACTTTTTAACCCCATTCATTTATTCAGCAGACATTTTGAGGGTGCCTACTCTTTACCAAGTATAAGGCATTAATCCTCCCAGACTTATAGGGGAACAACTTCTGGGGAAGCCACGCCTTACACTTTGCAGTGTAGCACTTAGAATCTGAGTTCAGAGGTTGGGAGATGAACCAGAACTCCAGTGGGTCCACCTCTTGGAGCATGGAGTTGGAGGAGGTGTAGTGTTAAGAAAGAAGACAAAGGTAAAGCAGCCAGAACTCTTGGTAAGCGAGCAGCCAAGGCTTGGGGGGCATGAGGACTTACCTGAGCAAATCTAAAGAGACATATAAGCCAGATCTGCTATAGGTGTTCTCACTAAGTGCTCATTCAGTGAGTTCTATTCATGGGGGATTAAGGGCAAAGCTTGTGATGTACTAGGAACATCACTAACTGCAGTCACTGTCATGAGGGCAGTTCTCTTTTTACCTTACAATTTATTCCTTTTGGCGGAACATTTGAAACATTCTGTCAGAGTGGATTGTAACATAACTCAGAATCAGTATCTCGTTATCTACTCTTTTTTTGTTACGTCTTAGGCTATGTTGCTAATTTTTTAAAATTTGCTTCGTCTTACAGACCATTGTGATGAATGACTGTATTATCCGAGGGGATCTGGCAAATGTAAGAGTTGGACGTCATTGTGTTGTGAAAAGTCGTAGTGTCATAAGGCCACCATTCAAGAAGTTCAGCAAAGGGTATGTAATTTAATTACTTTGTTCAAGTCTTGGGCAAGAAGCTGCCACTGGTGGTGTGGTCCATGTGTTGAGTTGTGGTATAATGACTAGGTCTGTCCTGTTTGAAGCACTGAGTAAGAGTTCACCATAATGAACACAACTCTGCTGGTGGTTGTCTCAGTCTGGTTGATGATTGGTTGCTACAAACAGAATCCGCTTACACACTGGCAAAAGCAAAGGATTTCTGATCAAACAGACTGGCGTATATAATGGAACCTAAGAGGAGGAAAAGGAGCAAGCCAGGCCTCACAAGGGACCGGAACCTGGAATTGGACAGCTAGCCGGAATCAAGACTGTTTTGTCTACCTATCCCTCTCTGTATCTGAGACTGTATTTTTTCTTCTATACTGCCCTTCTCTCTGCATTTCTACTTGCCTTTTCTCTCTCACAGATACCTGCCCCATTTGTTCATGGAGCCTACCTTGCTGACTCAGCCTCTAATTTATATCATTTCTCCATTTAGGCTTCCAGCAGACACCAACTAGAGATCTTATGTGTTACTTCCAAACTCTTGAGAGAGAGAATCTGATTGACTCATCTTAAGTATCCCTGATCTGAACGACTTTGACCCAAAGGGCAGAGTCAAGTCAGGTCCACTGATCCTTCAGTGGGAATAAAGACTGTCCAAGAAAGGCCAGGGACAGAGCAGGCAAACTGACCACCATAGCTGATAATGGTGCTAAAGTATTCTCTTTGCCTCTTTGCTTCTCTCCTCCTTGACTAATTGCCCTCCTGGCACCCATCTGCATTTCATCCAATAAGTCAGCAAGCATTTATTGAGCACCTTCCTCATGCCTGCAGCTGGGTTGTAAGCTGAGAATATATAAAGATAGATAAAATAAAATTCCTGCCTCAAGGTTCCCAAAGTCTAGTTGTAGAAGCAATTAGCATAATCAGATAGCGACATATGACAGCTACTATATGATGTGATACACCTGTCACAGAGGTATGACCATGGTTAGGAAGGAACAGAGAAGGGAGCAATTAACTCAAACTAATGATAATACCCAGAAGTATATCATGCAGAAATAATCCCACATTTCCAATAATGATGTTGGATTCCAGGCTTTCCATGACATACAAGAACTGGATCGGAGAATCATTATAAAACATTCACATGATTAGCTTTGAAGGCTACTAGGGGAAAACCAGAAAACCTCCTGGTACCCTATTATGGTTTTATACAGTGTGACTGATACACTACTAGAAATGTTGATTAACAGCATTGTTGGGTTGGATATGGCACAGGAAAAGCACCAAGAGTGAACAAGGGGTTTATTGCTGAATGAAGGGATGTGTAAATAGGAATAGTACATGTGAGAAATGCTGAAAATATGAAAGTGTAAATAGCAAAACATGAATAGAAGCTAAATGTGGATTTTTTTCTACCTGCATGTCATACCAGAACCAGATAATACTATCGAACTTGGAATCTTAAATTTAAAATTAAAGAACTGTCAGTACTGCTACAGACTGTGATGAGATCAGGGAATGCATTGCTGCACAAGAGGTACAGACCAAAAATACTAGTGGTTAAGGAAGATTTAAACAAATTATAGGTTCGTAGAGGACAGGTATCATCTCTGAAAAAATATTCTGGACAGAATAGAACAGAATTGGAATTCTTCTATACTGCCCTTCTCTCTGCATTTCTACTTCCCTTTTCTCTAGTGAGCATCTAGCACTTTATATTCATTCCAGTCCAAATATTTTACATCCCAAGGTATAGAAATTACATATAAATGTGATCACAGAACCACTGTCAGTGACATTTGAGGAACCCTAGAGAACGGGATGGGAATGATGTCAGATATCTGGAGAAAGCCTGCTGACTCCTACTCAAAGTCAATTAAGTTTTTCCTAAATCCATGGACTAGGTAAGGTCTCCTTGTTATATATGCTCATAACTTGATATTGTGTTTCTGTAGCCCTTATCACAGTTGTCACTACTTACTATTTAATCTCATTTCTTCTCTTGATTGCAAGCTGCTCGTGGACAGTGTTCTCTCTCTTTTGTCATTATTATAGCCCTAATTTCTAGCATTGAGTCTGGCACATAGTAGTCACTCACTGAAGTCTGTGAATGAATAAATTTTTAGAATGCTGAATGTGGAAATTATAACTCATGAGCCTACTGTCAATCCCCTGGAACATTATAGGGCAGGTTACTAAAAATGTGATCTGTGAGCATTTTCAAAGGAAGTGGGAATGAACAAACGTTCATTGATTTTTATTTGGTACCTGCTCTTTTAGCTTTGAAGATCTTGCCCCTCCTGCCTTGGTTTTTCCTTTCATATTTCTTTGGTGTACTATTGCAATTTTGAACTAGTAATCATATTCATTTTCTTCAATATTGTATAATTTTTCTAGCCTGAGGTTTCTTTCCTTGCTGGGAACAGTCTTGCTAAGATGATAAAGTTCAAATTATGATCTGTAGTTCTATAAACCTTGACCCAAAGTACATCATCTTGACCTTTCTGTGTTCATCTTCTTTTCCTCTTCTAGTGTTGCATTCTTTCCTTTACATATTGGAGACCATGTCTTTATTGAGGAAGATTGTGTGGTCAACGCAGCACAGATTGGTTCCTATGTTCATGTTGGGAAGAACTGTGTGATTGTGAGTATGATGACTTGGCTGGCAAAGCAGCTTCACTTTCCCTTCAGCTCCCATCCCTCACTTCGGTGGGACCCTGTTTCTGTGACTAAGCAGGGTAGCAGTGGTTTCCAGTCTTCCCAGAGTTGGATTTTTCTTGACAGATATGGAATTTTTTCAGCTGGGTGCGGTGGCTCATGCCTGTAATCCCAGCTTTTTGGGAGGTTGAAGTGGGCAGATCACTTGAGGTCAGGAGTTTGAGACCAGTCTGGCCAACATGGCAAAACCCTGTCTCTACAAAAATACAAAAATTAGCTGGGCATGGTGGCGCATGCCTGTAGTCCCAGCTACTCGGGAGGCTGAGGCAGGAAAATCACTTGAACCCAGGAGGCGGAGGTTGCAATGAGCCAAGATTGCACCACTGCTTTCCAGTCTGGGCAACAAAACGAGACACTGTCTTATAAATAAATAAATAAATAAATAAATAAATAAATAAAAAGATTTGGAATATTTTCTAGACATTAATACGGGCAAGCGTTTATCAAGTCTCCTCTATATGATGTTAAACTCTTTCCTTTGATGATTTCATTTAATCCTTACAACCATTCAGATGTGTTAGGTGTTATCCCTATTTGCAGATGAGAAGACTGAGGACCTTAAATATTAAGGGATTTGGGGCCAGGTGTGGTGACTGTAGCCTATAATCCCAGCACTTTGCGAGGCCAAGGCAGGAGGATCCCTTGAGCCCAGGAGTTCAAGACCAGCCTGGGCAACAAAGCAAGACCCTTTCTCTTAAAAAAAAAAAAAACCCAAAAGTTAAGGGATTTGATAGGGCTAGAAAGCAGTAGACCTGGGATTTAAACCCAGGCAATATGATTATTAGCCATGCTGCTATATGGCCTACTTATTGCCTTACTTCACGGAGCTTACAGTCTAATGGGAGTAAGGAAATCTGAAGGGTGAGTTGAAACTGGGGGAAGACAGGCATTTCAGGAAAGAGATTCACATGCGTAAGGAAGGGTTCAAGTCATCAAAGGGCATTTACATGTAATTCAGGGTGCAAGCGGGCCCCTTGCTCAGCAGAATCTGTAGGACCCTGGTCCATTGGAGCCTAGGAATAGGTTGATTTAACCCAACCAAGGCTTAACAAGGTTGGATTTCCTGTGATTTCTTAGATGATGAGCTTGATTTCAGTTGGGATTTATGAGAACCATGTTTAGGGAAAGTGTTTTCTGCATTTTAGATTTGTACTCCAGACTAGATTCTAGGAAAAGCCAAGACTCTGTTTCTTTAATGACCATTCCCGTTAATATGGAGCCAGCTCTCTGCCCTGGATAAGACTCAGACCCTGAAATATCAAAAAACTTGCAGAAACCAAACAGTTCACATTCCAGGAGCTATGAGGGTACAGCAAAGGTGGACAGAAAGTCTTTGGGACAAGGGGAAAGTTAGTAAAGTTCATCTCTCCCCTCACCCTAATTGCTTGACAAAAGCTAGCCTTCCAGCTGGGGGTTTCTGATATTTTCCTTAGCAAAGTGAAGATATCACCCCAGTAGCCTAGTCATATAACCCTGTCGTTTATCCTCAGAGCGAAATGTCTGAAAGGTTGAATCCAAATTCTATTCCCAGTGCTTAGGAAATTCTAATCCTATTGTCAGGTGCTCTTGTTTTTATGCCACTTTTTAATACATCACTTCATGATATAGTCATTGTTCCATATTGGCGGTACTCGCTGAGCCTTGACAAATACTCGATCTCAGGAGAGATTCTTTTAGAATTCTAGAATCTCAGCACTGGAAGTAACTCTTTTAGTCCAGCCGTCCCCATGACACATAGCTCCTTCCTATAACATCCCATGTGATAGTCTTAATTTCCGTTTGGATATGTGAAGATGTAGGTGTTCATCAGAATTGCTCAGATGCCTGAAGGAAAAGCTTAACAAGCAATATTTATAGGCACTGTTACTGTACTATGAGTTTTACATTTATTCTCTCTATTCTTGACAACCTCCCTGCAGATTTGGTTTTCCATCCTGTTTCATAGATGAGGAAACCAAGGCTCCAAGATGCTAACTTACTTGCACAGGATATATAGGTAGCTGTAGTATTAGCAGCACGGCTGCAGTTGTTAACTCCTTGGAAAGCTCTCTAGGGAAGAATAAAGAAGTAGTTTCAGGCCAGGCGCAGTGGCTCATGCCTGTAATCCCAGCACTTTGGGAGGCCGAGGCAGGAGGATCACTTGAGGCCAGGAGTTTAAGACCAGCCTGGCCAACATGGTGAAACCCCGTCTCTACTAAAAATACAAAAAAATTAACTGGGCATGGTAGCACATGCCTGTAATCCCAGCTACTTGGGAGGCTGAAACAGGAGAATCGCTTGAACCCAGGAGGTGGAGGTTGCAGTGAGCCGAGATCGCGCCACTGCACTCCAGCCTGGGCAACAGAGTGAGACTCTGTCCCCCGCCACCAAAAAAAAAAGAAGTTTCAGCTTTTACCTCCTCAGCTATTACCAGTACATTCATGCCTAAGAAATACCTACATTTTAAATGTTTAATTTGATTGATCAGTCTACCCAGACAGCTTCTGAAACCCAGTTAAGTATTATTTCTCTAAGTGGGCAAAATGGCCAACCAGTGGACAGAGCAGGTGCCTTCAGGCTGCATGGTGGCTGGTATACACAGTGAAAATATCCCATCAGCTAGTCTTCTTTTCCAGGGCCCTTTGTCTGTGGATCCCTCCATGGGACTATATCATGCCTTATGTAGCACATTGGGTGTCCTTTTACTCAGTGCCTCATGAACTTAGTCTGAGTTAGTAGGAGCTTAGTCATGACAGGAATTCTTAGGGTTTATGTTAATTTGAGGTCACCAGGGAAGATAGTTGCCCTATTTTTGAAATTGCCACTAGCAGGTAACCCACGGAAGATAACTTTACAAGGAAGAACGAAGAACTATAGTCATAATGTGCTTTTGAGCTAAAGATGTTGCTGAGTATTCTCATAGCTGTTATCCACCTAGCTGGAGAGAGATCAGCCACTTGGGAAATTCAGAGCCACTTAGGAAATTCACATGCTTTCATAAGAAGTTCATTTAGCAATCTACCTTTTCCTAGAAAAACATATGATTTAAGTGTTTAATAATGGGGAAAAATTTAAACACAAGCAAATCAATCATGTTCTTTGCTAAAATCTGAGGTCTGGACTGGTTAGCATTGTCCTGGTATTTGTAAAGATTTCCACATTCTCAGTCAGGTATATTTTCTGATTGTCTAGCCAGGATACCAGTGAACTAACAGGCCCTGATGTAAATGCAGTCAGAATGATCAAAACTTTCATTTCCTCAGCAAGGAGTCTAAGATACAGCTGTAAACTGTACACAGAAGCCCCATGAAACAGATGAGTCTCTCAGACCTTATTTCTTGCTCTCTGAATGCCGTGGATCATGGCAGAATTGAAAAGTGGTGACAGTGGTTAAAGTCAGGGATGAGGTTCAAACATCTACATGACTATCACTCACCAGTGGGAGAACAAATGAACTAATAGCTTCATATCCAAATGAATTTTTCAGGGTTTTTCCAGTTTGAATTGACAAAAGAGCAAACCAACCAACCAACCTTAAGCTGGTGGATGTGGAGTGGAATGGGTGGTGAATATAAACCAAGAGTACAGGAGTAGATCTTAATGTCACGGCCAAATGGCTCCAGGCATTCAGCCCATGTTGTAAGAATTAGTCTCCATCTCTGTGCTGCTTTCCTCTGGGAGGTTCACTCCCAGGCAGGTTCTTCCTTCATGGAAATAAGATGCCTATTCCAGTCTTCCAGCCTATCCTCTGGAAACCCCAGTGGGAAGTGCTGCTTTCCCCAGTAGTCCCAGCAAAAGCCCTGAGGTTGGGGTCCATCAGACTAATTGGGGTCATATGCTGACCTGTTATTGTTTCCAGGCTTGGGGTTTGGTGTGTGGGCTGGGGGGTGAAGCACATGGATGAGATGGGGATGGGAGGGTTACCGAGGAAAATACAGGTTCTGTTACCAGAAGAAAGGGGAATGGATGCTGGACAAGCAAAAGCACAAATGTCCACTAAATCAAAGGGAAAATTCAACAGAGCTCATGGAAGACTGAAATTCAGTCTGTAATGTCTGAGACAGTTTGTCCTGCCTCTAGCATACAGCCTTCCCCCCGAAATGTACACAAACACACACTCTCACAACCTTGCTGCCTCCTTCTCGTCAGGTACCACCTGAAGCAGGAAGTTGCAACCAACCCTCTTGTCACCGTCCCTGGCTATTACATGGTATCATGAATGGGGAAAATAGAAAGGAGCCTTTCACACAGTAGACTGATCCATTTCCTATTAACAAGATTTTAATTTCAGGGGCGCCGATGTGTGTTGAAAGACTGCTGCAAAATTCTTGACAACACAGTATTACCTCCAGAAACTGTGGTTCCACCATTCACTGTCTTCTCAGGCTGCCCAGGTAACCTTGGCTGTTGATTAATTTTATTTTAACTTCCTAAAACTCAGTTGTATTTTCCATCGCAAAAGTAATGCTTACGATTCCTATCTCTGGCAATATGTTGATAGAGCTAACTTAGAAATTCACCTGTACAAAGTACCTAGAAATGCTACCTAACATATAACAAGCATCTGTTTAAATGCATAATTGGGTTCACCAGAAAATAAGGAAATTATGAAGGGCCAAACACAAAGAGGAAACTAAGCCCAAGCTGTGAGATTGCACGGGTTAATGCTGTCTTCATAATAGAGTGATTTGAGGGGTGATACTCATGTCGGGATGGAAATAAAGCCTTGGATCCACACATGGCAGAGAGATCCTCAAATACTCTTAAAGGATTCCCTCTCAAGGAAAAGTCGATGTAAAACAAATCTGCTGCCAACACAGGGAATGTACAAGAAAGCATTTCTTGCCTGGCCTGGACTCTGGGTAGAAAAAGTCTGTCTAGAGAATTTTAGTACTGGGCTTACCCTCACATTGGTCATGGGTTTAATTTGTACATTCCACATGGCCCAGGAATTCCCAGACTGAAAAGTTAGCATAAACCATGGTCTAAGACCAGCAATACCCTGGGGATACCTGAGAGGGGCAAATATTAATACATTATCTCTGGACCTTGGCTGATAGAATGCTCACAAGTAAAGCCCATCAGGAGCCCGGAGTTCCAAATTATAAAGCTTGAGGAAACAAAAGTGATACGTACTTCTCTCAGAAAACTTGGAAAACACTGAAAAGCAGAAGGAAGGAGAAAACCTCACATTCCCTTAGCCCTACCCCAAGACAGTATCTTCTTCTCCATGTTGTTTTACACAGCTGAAATCATGTAGCATATACAGAGGCACGTCATAAATTCACAGATGGAAAATAATATGAACAGAGAGATTTGACAGTATATGATACCTACCACTGAGTGGTTTAATTGTTTTTCCAATTAAAAAATAAATCTCATCTCTCAGATCATTGAATCTGAGTTTCTAAGATGAACAAAATCATCACTCAGATTCTTCGGGGAGGCATTTGGCCATTCTACCGTGTCATGCATCTCTGCTTTTGCAGAGGAGGAAGGAGAGACTTTTGTTTAGTAATTTCTCCATATTGGGGTCCTGCTGTGAAAAAGTTTAGCTGTTCTTAGCAAGCACTGGACCAGAACAGCCTCAGCGATTATTTAAGTGATTGTCAGACATGCATCTGATTGAGGTGAGAAGGATATTGCCAGAGAAATATCTTAACTTCTTGTAACTTCTTCAAGCTCCTTAGAGCTGGGTCTTTCTTTCCCCAGGACTCTTCTCAGGGGAGCTCCCGGAGTGCACTCAGGAGCTGATGATTGACGTCACCAAGAGCTACTACCAGAAGTTTTTGCCCCTGACGCAAGTCTAGCATCTCTGCCTCATGTCTTGAATCTGCTTGAGCTCTAAGATGAACCTGGGGACAAAGTGAGCCAGTCAGCACCTACAAAGAGCTTTTGTGTCTTTGACATCTACCACCCTCCTCCTTTTAAAAAATTTCTTTAGAATTTCTCAATCTTCAAGGCTCTAAGTGCTTAAGAATTCACTAACAGACAGACCATCTGGAGGAGCTGTCTTCAAATGCTGTGCTTACACCTTATCTATGAACAGTCACTTTGTACCATTATCTGTGGAACACAGAATCATCTGTTCCCAACACTCCAGCCCCTTGGTCCTGTGGATGGCTGGATCCCGCCTGAAACGGACCTGCAGAGCAGCAGCACCCTTCCGGTGTGGAGGCTATGTAGCTGGTGCGCTGCTCACGGCCATTCACTGCCCATGCTGAGCGCCTCTCACACAGGTAATGCCCAGCTTTTCTGCTGCTAACACATTTGGCCAGTTGTTGCAGTTGCTCATCATCTTGGGAAAGGTGTTTGTGACTTTTCAGAGCCCAGATTCCTGTTGTCTATTAAAACTTGAAGGGAGGGGTGAATAGTGTTTCTCTCTTCTTCCCAAAATGACCTTAGCTGTCCTAGGATAGTTAGTAAAAGACTTTTTAGCATTTTGACCTAGGGCCTTTGGCTTTCACTAAAAGTGGGGACCTCAGTATCCCAGATTGTAATTTTGCCAAGTGTTAGATTTGAGTCTCTCATGTGGATGCATTAGTCAGGTGGTTACTCCTTGCTTCAAGGTACTTACCTTATTTCATTGAAGACACCGCATTTGTGAACTCTTGCTTCCTGGCCTAGAACCATTCAGCCTACCCTGTATTTGCCATAAACTCCACAATTCACACCAAAATGTCTGTACTTAGAGCTAATTCGCATATATACAGGAAGGGCTCTTAGAATCAGTTTGTGGGCACAGAGCCTCAGGAGTAAATGAAGTTACTAGGGCTGTTCTTACCATCTCCTTCTGGCCAAATAGCACAACATTTCCTCGTTCTGCTCTGACCTCTTAGCTTAGAAGGAAGATTCAGAAGTGAGGGGCTAAGAAGGTTGTCCTTGCCTAATGCTCTGATCTGTAAGTGAATAGGGCAGAACAGTTCAGCCTTGAGGTTAGAATTTAGCAGGAGCTATCCTGACTTAATATCCAGTTGTGGGGTTTGCAAAACAAAACAGCTGTATGTAATCATTGCCACTAGTTCCATCTAGAACTCCTTTCTAGTTTGTTATTTTTAAAATGTTTATACATAAAACCACCAAAATACATAGCTTCGACAAGATGGAAGTTTATTTCTCTCTCCCATAACAGTGCAGTGATAGTCAGCTGGTCCAGGCCAGGCAAGGGGCTGGTCCATGATGTCATCAGGCACCCAGGTTCCTACTGTCTTGCCATGTGGCCACAGTTAGCAACAAAGGAGGCTGTAAATTTAGTTTCTACTTGGGCAGCCAAAACTCTGAGGAAGGAGATTCTGCTAGTAAAAAGGAGTGGGGGAAGAATGGCCATTGGGAGACAACAAGCAGACTCAACCAGGCCTCTTTGTTGGCTTCCTTTCCTCCTGCTGCACATGAGCCTTCGCCGTGCATTTGGAGCCATGACAGCTGATAGCTCCAGACCTGCATCCTCCTAGCTTGGGGGCTCTGAATGAAAGGTTTCTTCCCTTCCAGTTCGAATTTGGAAACTCCCAAAGTTCTCAATGGTTTGTTGTGAGTTCCATGTCCTCTTGGATCAGTCACTGTGGCCATGCATGTTTGGCCACATGATTAATCCAGTCTGGGTCATGACCTTTTCTTCATCCAAAACAAGGTGATGGGAAGACAAAAACAATAGCTACTACAAACAATAGGAGTTTATAATTATGTGCTGATGTATTCGAAGATGTGTTGACAGTCGTGAGTGTGTATCCTAGGAAAGGCGAGCTGGACTCTGTCTCCATGGTGGCTCTCACCCCAGGGACCTAGGAACAGCCTGTCACCACACAATTACTTTTATAACCCTGGAGATGAAAATCTCCTTGTCCTCAAAATACTTCCAGAAGAACAACCAGATGGGAAGGACCTTGGTTGGGACTCTTTCCAGTTCACTTGGGGCAGAGGGAATTTAATGGCTCACGTAGCTGAAAAGGATGGGCTAGATTGGGCTTCAGGCTGCATCCCAGGACTCCAAACAGGGATCTGTCTCTTTGGCTCTCAGCTCTGCTTTCATTTGAGTTGGCTTTATTCTTGGGCTTCACAGTGTGGCCCCACAGCACCAGTTATTGATAAAAAGAGCTCCCCTTTGCTGACAGAACTGCTGGATTTGGTTCTCATTGGTCCAGACGAGGAAGGTATCCAGCCTCAAGTCATCATTGTGGCCAGGAAGATGGAATACACCAAATGGACAGGCCTGGCATGTACCCACAGAGACTGAGAGTTGGTGCTGGTGGTTGTGGTGGCAGATGATATTACCTGAAGAAGGGACGAATGGGTGCTGGGCAGGACAAAGCATCAGCTGTCCAGTTCAGGCCTCTCCTCTTTCCCTGGTGTCTTCATTTTCCTCCGTCTCCCTGCTGTCCCTTACCCTCTGCCCAATCTCTCATTACTCCTGGTCTTGGGAGTTGCCTTCTGAGGATACTCCACTGGGGGTACCTGAGCCTGGATTAGAGGGCAGGGGGAGGATATTGCCTAGCCAAAGTGGGTGTTCAATAAAGAACCATTTGGAGATGGTCTTCTGTCTGGAACTGCTTCCTTTTTGTTTTATTATTTTTCCCCAGATGAGCTGACTGGGCCATGGAACTGCATCCTTATGGTTCCCATAGCACCTTACCGAGGCGCCCTTATCAATAGAGTTTTAGTTATGTACCTGTGTTCTTGTCTGAACCCCTACTAACTGTGAGCTCCTGAGGAGTCAGGCCTGAGTCTGTGGGTCATCTAGCACATCCTTAATAGAATGATTGCCTGGATGTGACCACCCTCACCCCCAACCCTCACACACCCTGCCAGCATGCCTCAGACCTTACCCCAGCTCAAGATAAGTCTCAGATTGCAGGATACCTGCTGCAGGGAACAAAGGTGAATGATTGTCTTGTGAGCCTCCTGTTGACTGATTCTGTTTTACATGGCTGCACAGAGCCCTTGTGGTTATTTGGGGTTGGGGTGGTGGCTTCTGTATTAGTCACTTCTGCATGAACCATTTCACTCAGGATCTGAGGCCACAGTTCCTTTCTTAGTCACTGATACATCTGGCAGACTTGAAATTAATCAGACAAACATTGTTCATAGTTAACATATCCTTGGAAGTTTCTCAGCTATAAGGAAGAGGTCTTGGTGGCTAGGGAGGCCTTTCTCTGTATCCTGTTCTATCCAGTGAGAGCCTAGAGGGTGCTGCCCAGCCATATTCTGGCTAGCCTCAGCGGTTCTCCTGAAAAAAAATTGGCATCTGACAACCTGGATGGTGACTATAGGTAGTCAAATCCAGCTGGCTGGTCTCCTGGGGGTTAGCTTCCATGGAGCTGCAAGTCCCCTGAAATGATACTGGCAGTGTTGGGACAGCGTGTCCGAAGGCCTGGTTTTTTCAGAACTGGTCTCAGCAAAATGTCTCGCCAACTTCTACAGTTCCCATAAGTACATGATAACTGAAACACTTCTAGAGCCCCCCAGCAATGGGCTTGTGCTTTTAGTAGAATATGTGCTTGCTTCCATTTAGGGGTAAGAAGGTGGGCCCCTCACCATATGCTGCACAGAGAAGAGAGACACCATCACTCATTTATTCATTTAACAAGTGCTTTCCAAGCCACTACTAGGTGCCAAGCACTTCCTAGGTCCTGGGGATACAGTGGAGACTAAGATGGAGCCAGTTCTTTCTCATAGGGATCTCACAGCTTAGTGAGTGAGAAAGCCAAAGAGTCAAAATACAGAGAGGGTCTGAGGGGCCCATTTTGAGAGCCATCATAGTGGTGAGGAGTGTGAGTGCTAGAGTCAGGCTGATCAAATCCCAGCCTGCCATTGGCTAGCCTTGTGACTTTGAGCAAGTTATCTTACTTCGTGGAACCTCAGGTTTCTCATCCATAAAATGGGGAAGTTGGATAGGGTATTATGATGATTGAAATGCATTTATACATGTAAAGCATAAGTACTGGCTCAGGGTGAGCACTCAATAAACGGCAGTTTATTAGGCACTTTTATTAGGAAGTGATACACCTTGAGCAAAACCCCTTAGAGTATAAGGCATAGCATTCTTACATATTTTTAAAATTTAAAATAAAATTTAAAACATCTTGCCCTTTATAATCAGTCCGCCACAAACAAGAGATGGAGAAATCACCCTTCCTTGTTTTGTATCTATGGGGTGCAAACATTTAATCCTCCCAACTGTCAAAAAAGTGAGAGTTTCACAGCCTGTTTTACAGCAGAGGAAACTGATATTCAGAGAGGTTAAGTAAATTTGCCCAATGCCACACATCTAATAAATGGCTGAGCTGGAATCAAGGCCAGCTCTTACTTGGCTGCAAAATCCATGTTTTATGCAGCTCCTCCACTATCTTGGCCTCCAAGGCAGCTGGCTTTGAACACTACCCTTGCAGCCCAGTCAGCCAATCCCTTGCTCTCCTGAAGCTTTTGCTGGTGGGCCAGCCCCACCTGCTTTCCTTGTGCACTCTGACTTGGACCCTGAAGTGAGAAGAGTTGGCACAGGACATCTTACTTCCCTGAAAACAGTACCTGGACTTTTCTGTATCTTCACATCCATTGGGCATTGGGCAAATGGGTCATGCAGATGAAAACCATCCAAGATAAGAGACATGGGAGTGAAATTCACACCCACTCTGGCTTTCATACCATGGGTCTGAACATTAGCCCATGGTGTTTCTTGGCCATACTGACCTGTGCCATTTCAGCTGCATTCATCTCAGTTGGTGTTGTCTGCTGGCTGCTCTTTCTGATTTCCCACAGGAGCAGTAAGAACCTGAGGAAGAGTAGGGTCAGAGGAGTCTGGGAGAATGAGGAAATATGAGAGCCCCAGGAACTGAAAAGGCCTGTGAGAGACTCTGAGCTTCCTGGGAACAGGTATAGGTTCTTTTTATTTCAATAATAACAGAAACAACTGTCAAAACCATGTGCCTGTACTATTTGGAGTGCTGTCCTTGCAGAATCTCATTATAAGAACCTTAGGAAATAGGCACATCATCTCCTGGATAGAATCCTAGGAAATGGGCACTATAATGGGCACTTTATCCCATTTTATAAACATGGAAATTGAGGCACAGAGAGATTAAGTACTTTCCCAAGGTCATACAGCTAGTGATGGAGGAGCTAGCATTTGAACCCGGAGTTTTTAGTCTATTGAGTTTAACCGACAGATCATACTGTGTTTTGGTAGGGAGGGAGGGAGGAAGCAAGCAAGTGAACAAATGAGTCTGGGATTTAGGACTTGCCAGACAAACAAGGCCCAAGAGGCAAGTGTGCAGGTGGGTGTAGTTGGGAGTCAGCAGAGTTGGGTTGGAATTCAAGCTTTGCCACCTGCTGGCTATAAACCTTGGTTGGGTAAGTAACCCAAGGTAAATGAGATCATCTCTGTAAAACTCTTAGCCTTGTGCCTGGCACATAGTAAATGCTTAATAAGGGTTCACTGTTAGTATTACTGTTACTGATAACATACAAATAGATTGTATTAATGGACCATAATTGCAACTGTATAAAACAAATTCCATGTTTGGCCAGGCGCAGTGGCTCAAGCCTGTAATCCCATCACTTCGGGAGGCCGAGGTGGGCAGATCACGAGGTCAGGAGATCAAGACCATCCTGGCTAACACAGTGAAACCCCATCTCTACTAAAAATACAAAAAAATTAGCCAGGCATGGTGGCGGGTGCCTGTATTCCCAGCTACTTGGGAGGCTGAGGCAGGAGAATGGCGCGAACCCAGGGGGCGGAGCTTGCAGTGAGCTGTAATTGTGCCACTGCACTCCAGCCTGGGCGACAGAGCGAGACTCCGTCTCAAAAAAAAAAAAAAAAACCACAACAACAACAACAAAAATTCCATGTTGACAAGGATGGGAATATGAGAACATGGAAACAGCTATGAAAAGACATAAGAGAATTAGGAGGATTTTCTTTAATATATCATTTTTTAAAAAAAAACTTGCTTGTATTTGTTTATTTTTTAAATAGAGACAGGGTTTTACCATGTTGCCCAGACTAGTCTTGAACTCCTGGGCTCAAGCGATCTTGGCCTCCCTAAGTGCTGGGATTACAGTCATGAGCCACTGTGCCCCGCCATTTTTTAATAAACCTTTCTAATGGAACAAGTAAAACACATGCAGTGGATGCTCAGCAGGCCTTGAGTGTGTGAATGAAAAATATTTGAACTTGTTTTTACTGGTTGATTTCATTGCTTAAAAAACATACCTTAGCTGGACGCAGTGGCGTGCGCCTGTAGTCCCAGCTACTCATCTCTTAAAAAAAAAGTTTTATGCTTGTTAATTTCATAAATGCTAGAGGGATCACCCTAATCAAATAAAGCTACTCAAAAATAAAATATGAAAGGTGTTAGTGGGATACAGCTTTCTAGTTTTTTGCCACTAGTGGATAGGTTGGAATTTAAATTCTTCGGATATTGGAACCAGAACAGGCTGTAACTGATTATTTTTGCTGTGATTCGTGCTTACTGGAGCCTCGGGAAAGAGGGAGACAACATGTAAAGAGAAGCAATCTGTTTGGAAAATGAAAATACAGTTAAATTGCTAATGAACCCTTGTCAAAATCAAATGTCTCCCCTTAGAGGCTGATGATTGTCTAGTCTAATATGCATTTTTTTTGAGTGGGTCAATTGGACTCTAAGACCAACAAGATAAAAAGGCAGCCTTGCATGTCACTTGGACCACAGCTGTCTGGCCATGCAGCATGCCTTCACTGCTGCTGAAGAAAAGCAGCTGCTTGTTGAGAATCTCAAATTCTCAGATCCTAATTGCCTGGCCCTGACTCTAAGCTGAAACCTGCTACTGTCTGCCTTGAGCTGTTTTAGCCTCAACACGAGCTATGCTGAACTGAAAGCAGGCACAGGCTCAATGACCAGGACTCAGACGTTGGGGCCGTTGGAGATTAAGGACCCCCTCCGTGGAGCGCTAAACTATGAAAACGTCCTGGAACCTGGCTGAAAAGGGCTTATTCTCTAATGGGACCATCTAAGATCAAGCTGCTGATAGGCTCTTTGTCTCTAATACAGAGGCTAATTGCATTCCTAACTTCTAATATTTGCCAAACGCTCCAAGCTGGGGAAGGGCACATCGCAAGGACTATGACCTCTCCTCCTGCTTTTGACAGACCAGACTCAAACCTTCTCTGGGGCTTCTCTCACTGCTGTTGACTTGTTGCATTCAGCTTTTGGGATTAGTTGCAGCTTGCAACAGTGGACTGACAGCCTGACTCTACTTCCCTCACTTTTCTCCCAGCACACACAGCTTAGTAAGGTAGGTGGATTATTAAAACGTAGCTGTCCCCAGAAAGGTATTAGGCTTTTCTAGTCTGCTCATTGAATAATCAGGACAAAAGGGGTAGAAGATTATGTAAACACATTTTGAAATTTTTAAAAATTCAGGGTTTCATCCTTTATTAGTTTGCTAAGGATACCATAACAAAGTACCACAAACTGAGTGACTTACACAATAGAAACTTATTTTCCTGCAGTTCTGGAGGCTGAAAGTCCAGGACAAGGTGTCGACAGCTTTAGATTCTTCTGAGGCCTCTCTGCTTGGCTTGCAGATGGCTGCCTTCTTACTGTGTCCTTGTATGGTCCCTCTGTCTGGGTGTCTGTGTCCTAATCTTCTCTTTTAATAAGGATACCACTCAGGTTGGATTAGGGCCCATCCTAACAATCCCATTTTAACTTAGTTACCTCTTCAGGGCCTATCTTCAAATATACTCACATTTTGAGGTACAGGTAGATGGTTAGGGCTTCAGCATGAATTTTTGTGGGGACATAATTCAACCCTCCACACATAATTACCAATTTCTGAATGTCTTTCTGGTTAAGTTGCATAAAAACGTTTATCTACTTGAACTCTAGGATGATAGTTAAAAAAAAAAATGTTGGCCAGGCGCAGTGATGGATGCATATGATCCCAGCACTTTGGGAGGCCGAGGTGGGCAGATTGCTTGAGTTCAGGAGTTCAAGACCAGCCTGGCAACATGGTGAAATCCTGTGTCTACAAAAAATGCAAAAATTAGCTGGACATGATGGCATGTGCCTTTGGTTCCAGCTACTTAGGAGGCTGAGGTAGGAGGATGGCTTGAGCCCAGGAGGCGGAGGTTGCAGTGAGCCAAAATCGTGCCACCGCACTCTAGCCTGGGCAACAGAGCCAGACCATATCTCAAAAAAAAAAAAAAAAAAGTTTATCTACAAAAATGCTTTTGTGCCTCTTACATACAACCCTTCCAGAGGAAAGGCCTAGCTGAGAGTAAGAGATGGTTGAAAAAATGCAATGTTATGATTGCTGAACAGGGCACGACTGTTTTTGTAATATTGGAGAAAATAATTAAAGCCTGGCACCTGGGGAGGCTTGATCCCTGGAAGCCTCCTCTTGCTGAAGGAAAATTCCCAGTGCTGCCTTTCCATGTGCTGTGAGTGCTTTGAGTTCAGACTGACAACAGAGTGGGTCTAGCTTCTATGCTTTCCATGAAGATCTCCCACAAATGTCATCCATGCTCATGAGATGGATCAACTTGTATCCTGAACAAGCAAAACTGTTTGGGACTCACTGCCTTCAGGCAGTCCCTTGGAAGCCAAGGACTCTGGGAACTTTTCAGATGGGACTGGAAACACTTGGGCAGGAGTTCCCCTGGTAGGAGGTCTGTTCACCTGTACAGCCTAATGGATGTCCTGCTTGAGGTGCCCTAATATTGCAAATTCTTTGTTTACAGGGGTACCACCTGTGCCCCTGGGACTGTGCTTCTGTACATGACCACAACTCTCATGATGTCCCCTCAGCCCTGGAAAGCATTTGGGTTAGCTTCCGCTTACTGGTCAGAGTTATACTGTGCCTGAATTGATGCCTCAGGTCAGGTTGAAAAAAAAAAAAAAGGTTCAGACAGCAATTAAGGGCTGGGCACGGTGGCTCATGCCTGTAATCCCGGCACTTTGGGAGGCTGAGGTGGGCAGATCACCTGAGGTCAGGAGTTTGAGACCAGCCTGACCGACATGGTGAAAAGTAAAAATACAAAAATAAAAAAATTAGCTGGGTGTGGTGGTGTGCACCTGTAGTCCCTACAAAAATAAAAAAATTAGCTGGGTGTGGTGGTGTGCACCTGTAGTCCCAGCTACTCGGGAGGCTGAGGCAGGAGAATCGCTTGAACCCAGGAGGTGGAGGCTGCAGTGAGCCAAGATCACGCCACTGCACTCCAGCCTGGGTGACAGAGCAAGACTCCATCTCAACAACAACAACAAAAAGGAATTAAGGAGGAAGCCACCTGGCTTCCTAAGATAGACTTTATGGTTAATGGGATTTATTTTAGCTGGTTAAGTCCAGGACCCCTACCAGGAAGAACTGAGGTCCATATTTGAGGTTGGTCTCACCCTTTTGCATGTGGTCCTACTAATAATAATTTTGCTGTAAAGAAGCCTCAATAAGGAGATGGACTGTGTGAAAAGAGATGAGAAAGCAGGCCTGTTTGCAAGGCTGGCCCTTGGCTGGCATCTGAAAGCTTGGATTTCAGGAGGGTTCTCATTACTCCCTAAATGATAAGAGTGGCTCACTGTGCCTAAACTGTTCGTACAAACAATGTGGGTTATGCCCAACATCTGCTTTCCTTCTGGGAGTCAGATTTTCATATGTGTTAGGCAGAGGATGAGGTGAGCAGCTCCCAATGAGAACCCTGAACACTGAGTCTGTAATGAGCTTCCCTTGTATACAACATTGCACATGGGTTGTCACAACTGATTGCTGGAGGAATTGTGTCCTATGTGACTCTGCTGGGAGAGGACTGTGGGAGGCTTACACCTGGTTTCCCTGGACTTTGTCCATGCGCTTTTTTCCTTTGCTGATTTTGCTTCCTAGCCTTTCGCTGTAGTAAAACATAGCCATGAGTATGACTACAGGCTGAGTCTGTGAATCTCCTAGTACATCATCAGACTAGGAGGTGGTGGTGTTGGCACCCCCCAGCACAGGGCACAAGGGAGACTTGCAGGGTGTTTGTCATGTTCCCTTTCTCAATCTGGGTGTGGTTTACAGATTTGTTCAGTTTGTGAAAATTCACTGAGCTCTATGAACAATTATAATATGTACATTTTTTTCTGTAAGTGTATTAAATTTCAATAAAAAGAATTCACACTATAGGGGTACAAAATAACTTAATTTTTCAAAGTCTTCCTTTTATTCAGCCAACATTTTAGTAAGTACCCTTTTTTTTTTACCAAGCACTGCTCTGGGAGCTTGGGACATGGGGTAGAAAGGACGGCATCATTGTCCTCATTGTCCTTCAGCTTAGCTGCAAGGCAGGTGAAGGATGCTTATAGTATGGTTGATTTTTGCTGGGCTCTATGAAGGATCAGAGGGTGCTAAGGAGGCACAGAGAAAGAGCTTTTAACGTGGGTATTTTACTGTTCCAGGGTTGCCACTCAAGTACCTACAGAACAAACGGGTGTAGCTGTAAACTGTGGCAAACTGAAAGCATGTAGGCACAGAGTAAGTAGCTAGAGCTGATTTTTTTCAGGAAAGGCCACAAATCCCAACTTTTATGAGCTCCTCTTTTAAATGCTGTAAATGTTTTACAATGGCGGGGCGCGGTGGCTCACGCCTGTAATCCCAGCATTTGGGAGGCCGAGGGGCAGATCACTTGAGGTCAGGAGTTCAAGACCAGCCTGGCCAACATGGTGAAACCTCTTCTCTACTAAAATTACAAAAATTAGCCGGGCATGGTGGTGCATGCTTGTAATTCCAGCTGCTAGGGAGGCCGAGGCGGGAGGATTGCTTGAACCCGGGAAGCAGAGGTTGCAGTGAGCTGAGATCGTGCCACTGCACTCCAGCCTGGGCGACAGAGCAAGATTCCGTCACACACACAAAAAAAAGGCGTGGGGGGAGGCCAAACAAAACCCCGCAAGACACATTTGGCTATGACCTGCCAGTTTGCTAGGCATTCTTCCAACCTTCCCTCCCTCTGACCAAGAAACTGAGTGTCCACTATTTTAGGCCCTGGGAAATTCAGTAGCGAGGAGGCCAGACAGCTTCGTTGCATCATGGGGGGCTCTGGTACTGTGCTTCTCCAACTTCAGGATGTGTAGGAATCACCTGAGCAGTCTTGTTGAGAGGCGGACACTGACTCGGGAGGTCTGGGGTAGGGCCTGAACGTTTGCCTTTGCGGTTCTAACAAGCTCTCAGGTGATGGCGATGCTACTGTTCCCTGGCCCCGAGGTAGAGGAAGATTTAAGTAAAAGCTTCCTGGAGGAGGCGCAAGTGAACCGCAGGAGCTTTCCCGGACGCCCGAGAAAGGGAGAAACCCCGAAGGAATTCCTCCTCTCTCGGGGCTGGGTCTCCGCATCCACGCCGGGTTTGGTTTCCCAGGCTATCCCACGTGTTCGGGCGTCCGTGTCAATCAGGTTTTCCCCGGCTGGGTCCGGGTTTAAAGGCTGCTGCTGCGCAGGGCGCTCCCATGGTGCCGCGCGGCGGGCGGGTTTGGATTTTAAATCCCCGCGGCCAATCAGTGGCGCGCAGGCTTTTGTAACGTTCCCAGCGCCGCGTTTGAATTCGGGGAGGAGCGGAGCGGTGCGGAGGCTCTGCTCGGATCGAGGTCTGCAGCGCAGCTTCGGGAGCATGAGTGCTGCAGTGACTGCAGGGAAGCTGGCACGGGCACCGGCCGACCCTGGGAAAGCCGGGGTCCCCGGAGTTGCAGCTCCCGGAGCTCCGGCGGCGGCTCCACCGGCGAAAGAGATCCCGGAGGTCCTAGTGGACCCACGCAGCCGGCGGCGCTATGTGCGGGGCCGCTTTTTGGGCAAGGGCGGCTTTGCCAAGTGCTTCGAGATCTCGGACGCGGACACCAAGGAGGTGTTCGCGGGCAAGATTGTGCCTAAGTCTCTGCTGCTCAAGCCGCACCAGAGGGAGAAGATGTCCATGGAAATATCCATTCACCGCAGCCTCGCCCACCAGCACGTCGTAGGATTCCACGGCTTTTTCGAGGACAACGACTTCGTGTTCGTGGTGTTGGAGCTCTGCCGCCGGAGGGTGAGTGTCGCTGCTGGGGAACTGGAACTGCCTGCGGGGCAGTTGGAGCGCCCAGACCTGGAGCTGCTGGAAAGAGTACCCAGCAAGGGAGAGCCTGGGACTTGGAGCTGCTAGAGAAGGGTGCTGGGAGCCTCCCGCTTACGTATGGAAAGTGTCTTTGGTAAGGGCTTCTTGGCTCTGGGAGCTGCTAGAGGAGGGGGTTCCAGTGAAGTGGAGTCTGAGTCATGTTGCTGATAGGGAAGTCAGCTTCTGGACGCGAGGTGCTGGGGGGAGGGGTGCTGGTAATGGACGCTAGGGCCCTGGAGTACCCAGGGAGGAGTCCCAGGTTAGTGATGCCGCGCCCTGGGAGCTTCTGGGGTGGAGCTGGGTCAGTGGGGGGGTAGTTGGAGCCAGACTTCGGGCCTTCCGGGGGAGATACGAGTCAGGAAAGGGATCTGGTGCTGGGGACTCGGAGCTTCCGGAGTGGGGCTGAGAGAGGACCCCCAGGTAAGGGGGGAAGCTAGTAGGAGAAGGGGTGCTGCGAATGGTTGTGGACAGTGTTAAGGCAGGGTCCAGATGCCGCTGTGCTGGAGAAGGAATGGGGTGGGGGCATAGGGAAGGAGAGAAACCCACCAAGACCCCTCTTTCATCCCTTGGGAGTCCAGAGTCCAGTCCTGTGCTTCCTTTGCCTGGTAACCCTCTCCCTTCCCCACCGGCCTCAATCCACCTCCCCATCCCTCCTGCCCTCTCCTTCCCACCCACAGTCTCTCCTGGAGCTGCACAAGAGGAGGAAAGCCCTGACTGAGCCTGAGGCCCGATACTACCTACGGCAAATTGTGCTTGGCTGCCAGTACCTGCACCGAAACCGAGTTATTCATCGAGACCTCAAGCTGGGCAACCTTTTCCTGAATGAAGATCTGGAGGTGAAAATAGGTGAGTTGCTGAGCCTGCAGGGGTGCTTGACATCACTACAAGAGGCTGGAATTTGGAGGAGGCTGGGAGAAAGGAAGGAGACAACCCACAAGTCAGTATCTTGCCTACAGATGCATTATTTTTTTGTGCCCCAATGCAATATTTTTTTTTTACAAAGAATTTGAATTTGTTTTTATTTTTTAAATTGGAAGGTTTGATTGAACAAAAAGTTTGATTCAGAACTCCTTTTAAACAGGTGAAAGCTTCAGTAATACGAGGACAGCATTTTCTTAGGGCAGCCCTTTGCTGGGCTGGAAAACAGCTGTCCCCTTCAGACTTCTTTGCCACAGTCTCTACTCCTCCCTATTCTTCACAGACTTGCCAAGTCTTGGAGGTTAACTTGCTTGATCCTTGAAGGCATTGGAGTTTTACTATCCCTGTCAGTTCCTGTTTCAAAGCATAGCCCCTTTCTAAAAGGAGGGGTGAGAAGTGTCACTGGAGGCACCTCCCTGGTGTCAGCATGGGAGGAAGATTCCTGGGCAAGCCTTGCTACATACAAGGAGCAGAGGCTTGTGGGATCAGATGGCCCTGGTTCTGGATGGTCAAACCTTAACTAGCCTTCTGCATTGACAGATGTCAGAGGCTGGCATCTAAGTACCAACTCTTCCTCCCTCTGTCCCAGGGGATTTTGGACTGGCAACCAAAGTCGAATATGACGGGGAGAGGAAGAAGACCCTGTGTGGGACTCCTAATTACATAGCTCCCGAGGTGCTGAGCAAGAAAGGGCACAGTTTCGAGGTGGATGTGTGGTCCATTGGGTGTATCATGTAAGTTGGGAGTTGTCTCTGGACCAACCTGGTCTCAGCAGGGGCAACTTTGGGACATCCTACCTGGCTGACCTTTTCTGTGGACCTTTCGGCCTGCTTTACAGAAAGCCTACTCCAAGGGACAAGTCATCCCCAAACAAAGCCTAATTGTCATATCTTTCCCTGTCACTGGTGTATCCTGTCGGATTTCTGCAGCCTAGGTCATGGGTACAGCGGAGGAGGAGGAGGGAGAGTCTCCACAACCTTACTGTAGTCCTTTGCTAGAGTTGTCCACAGGGCAGCATCACCATCATCTGGGAACTTGTATACACAATCTCAGGACCCAGACTACTTACTGGATCAGAATCTGGATTTTTAACAAGGTCCCTTGGTGATTCCCTTGCACAATAAGGTCTTAAACACCGATGAGCATTAGCATGGTGGGGGAAATTAGGCCAGGAGTTACAGATGGAAAGATGATGTGCCAGTGGTCTGTCTGGATTAAGACCATCAGCAGCGGTTGGTGGCAGGCAGAGGCTTGGGCCTTTTCAGGTGTTATCTTTCTTGTTTTGGGCCTAGGTACTGGAGAGTTAGAAATGAGTTGTAGCAATGGCTTTCATACGTCTTTGCAGTGGGGTTTTTTCAAATGAAAACTTGAAGACTTAAGTACAGAACTGCTAAAGGTGGAGCTGCTTCTGTAAGCGCAGGTAGCCCTTTGACCTGTTTTGCATGACAGGCAGCATCTGAGGCCCTTGCACAGAGTCCTAGATGACCACAGGCTATAGCTAAAAAATCACTGGCCCTTAAGAATCCTGGTCTCACCATGTGTATTCTGCTGAGGGCTTATTCTAGCCAATGTCATGGCTTCTGGGGCTGCTCAGTGGACTTAGGGATTGTCTTCAGGGGCCCCAGAGTTAGAGTGAGTGTCCAGAGGATGCCTGACCTTTGTTCTGACCCTGAGATGATTTCTCTCATGTCTGGGTTGTGGCTGGGAGACTGGTGCCAAATCCTACCTTGTGCTTACAGGTATACCTTGTTAGTGGGCAAACCACCTTTTGAGACTTCTTGCCTAAAAGAGACCTACCTCCGGATCAAGAAGAATGAATACAGTATTCCCAAGGTGACTAATGATGCTTTAAGTTTACATTTATTTTGTTTTCCCCAGAAGCTGTTTATGGAGCCCAGCAATATCCTAGGACCAGAAATAGGTCTATCCCACCTCTAAGGTAGCCACAGAGCTTGAGAGGGCCTGTGTCTGAAATTGCATACAGAACTTGACATGTATGTGCACATAAGCATTTTTTCTAGGGGGAGAGAGTTGGCAGATTCTCAAGAGATTGGGTAACCCAAAAGTTGTGTAAAAAGCAAAAAACAAAGGAGGTAGGAAGGAGTAGGAGGCAAAAGTGCTTAATCTTTAGAAATGGTTTATCTTAATTCAAATGGATTCTGCCACTTAGCGAGATCACATTGGGCAAATGGCCTGCATCTTTTTTTTTTTTTTTTTTATTTGAGGTGGAGTTTTGCTCTTGTTGCCCAGTGCAGTGGCATGATCTTGACTCACTGCAACCTCCACCTCCCAGGTTCAAGCGATTCTCCTGCCTCAGCCTCCCAAGTAGCTGGGATTACAGGCACCCACCACCTCGCCTGGCTTTTTTTTTTTTTTTTTGTATTTTTAGTAGAGACGGGGTTTCACCATGTTGGCCAGGCTGGTCTCGAACTCCTGACCTCAGGTGATCCACCCGCCTTGGCCTCCCAAAGTGCTGGGATTACAGGCGTGAGCCACCATACCCAGCCTGGCCTGCATCTTCTGAACCATAGTTTCCATATATAAAGTGGAGTTCCTGCCTTGGAGCACCTCACAGAGTGCCTTGCATGTGGTGAGTGCTCTCAGAATTATGAATCACTGTGAATCCCAGGGCTTCCTAATGGCATAGTTGTGTGCATTTTCTTTTTTTTTTTTTTTTTTTTTTTGAGATGGAGTCTCGCTCTGTCGCCCAGGCTGGAATGCAGTGGTACAATCTCGGCTCACTGCAAGCTCTGCCTCCCAGGTTCATGGCATTCTCCCGCCTCAGCCTCCTGAGTAGCTGGAACTACAGGCACCAGCCACCATGCCCGGCTTCTTTTTTCTGTATTTGTGGTAGAGACAGGGTTTGACCGTGTTAGCCAGGATGGTCTCGATCTCCTGACCTTGTGATCCACCTGCTTCGGACTCCCTAAGTGCTGAGATTACAGGCGTGAGCCACCGCGCCCGGCCATGGTGTGCATTTTCACAACCACCAACAGAAATACATTTAAAGGAATAGCTGGTTCCTGCAGAAGCCTAGCACACAGCCAGTTTGAAGTGTAGTGTCCTTGTGTGAAGCCAGGAGGCCTGTCACCATAAGGACAGACATAGTAAATCCATCACAAAGTGTCAGTTCACTGTCAGAGACAGCATGGAATCAAGCCAGCTAGACAAGGCCTTCACCCTCTCTGTGCCTCACTTTCCTCCTCTGTGAAAAAGGGATGATAATAGATCCCCACCCCTTAGATGAGTTGGTGAGGGCTAAGTGAGCTAAACACAGGAGTGCTTAGAATGCTTTCCTGGCACATAGTGAGTGCTAGGAAAGTGAGTTGGTGTTCGGCCACAGTCCATTGACCCTTCTGTCAATGGTGCTCAGTAAAGCTGACAGTGGAGAACTTGGCATTGAACCAAGTTGTGAACCACTGACCTGTGGTGTATTTGAGACTGGGGGCTGCATGTGGGCTGGGGACCTGCAGCTCCTTTGAGGCCGTACTGTACTCCAGGTCCCCTTCACATTCTGCTTATGGCTGTCCCTCTCTCTGCCCCAGCACATCAACCCCGTGGCCGCCTCCCTCATCCAGAAGATGCTTCAGACAGATCCCACTGCCCGCCCAACCATTAACGAGCTGCTTAATGACGAGTTCTTTACTTCTGGCTATATCCCTGCCCGTCTCCCCATCACCTGCCTGACCATTCCACCAAGGTTTTCGATTGCTCCCAGCAGCCTGGACCCCAGCAACCGGAAGCCCCTCACAGTCCTCAATAAAGGTACAACAAGGGTCTGGGTAAGAGAGCAGACCCCCCAGAGAAAGCCCAGGTTGTAGGGGTGTGTGCAGCTTAGTCCCTGGCCCTGAGAGCTCAGGTGTGGAGTAGGACAGGCCTCTGTCCTTCAATCCGTGGTTCCAATGCCCATCTGCTTCTCGGCCCTGCCAGGAAAGACTGACCTTACCATGGCTGGATAAACGTACCATGCCCAAGAAGAAGAAAATGGATTGAATGCCAAGCCTGAAAAATTCTTTCAAATCACTTTAATTAATTTAATTTTTTGGAGACAGGGTCTCTCCTCTATTTTCCAGGTTGGAGTGCAGAGGCACAATCACAGCTCACTGCAGCTTTCAACTCTAGGGCTCAATTGATCCTCCCATCTCAGCCTCCCAAGTAGCTGGGACTGTCAGGCATGCACCACCATGCCTGGCTGACTTTTCTAATTTTTGTAGAGACAGTGTTTTGCCATGTTGCCCAGGCTGGTCTTGGAACTCCTGGGCTCAAGCGATCCTTTCACCTCCACCAAAGTGTTGGGATGACAGGCATGAGCTGCTACATCTGGCCTTTAAAAAAATTTCTAACACTTTTTCATGATTCATTGAAAAACATAAAAATTTCCTTTTTTTTGTGGCGTGATCCCGGCTCACTGCAAGCTCTGCCTCCCGGGTTCACGCCGTTCTCCTGCCTCAGCCTCCTGAGTAGCTGGGACTACAGGCGCCCACCACCATGCCCGGCTGTTTTTTTGTATCTTTTAGTAGAGACGGGGTTTCACTGTGTTAGCCAGGATGGTCTCAATCTCCTGACCTCGTGATCCGCCTGCCTCGGCCTCCCAAAGGGCTGAGATTACAGGCGTGAACCACCAGGCCCGGCCTTTTTTTTTTTTTTTTTTTTTTTTTTTTTTTTTTTTTTTTTTGAGACAGGGTCTGGCTCTGTCTCCTAGGCTGGAGGGGAGTGGTATGATCTCGATTTCACTAAGGATACATAGTTTTAAAAAGTCACTTGAAATACTTTTTTTCTCTGTGGATATATCACCAATTTGATGTACAACTTCAGTTCATTTTTCAGTTTTCAATTTTTAGGTATTGGTTTTTCTTAAACTTCATTTTGGAATAATTTTAGGCTTATACAGAAAAGTTGCAACAACAACAAAAAACTCCCCAGAGTTCCTACATACCTTGCAGCAATTATTACAGTGGAATTTTTTTTGAGACAGGTCTCAGGACTTGCTGTCACCCAGGCTGGAATGCAGTGGCTCACTCATAGCTTACTGCAGCCCCAACATCCTGGGCTCAAACAGTCCCCCTGCCTTACCCTCCAGAGTAGCTAGGACTACAGGCATGTGCCACCATACCCAGCTAATTAAAAAATTTTTTTCTTTGGGAGGCCGAGGTGGGTGGATTGCCCGAGCTCAGGAGTTCGAGATCAGCCTGGGCAACATGGCGAAACGCTGTCTCTACTAAAAATACAAAAGACTAGCCGGGCGTGGTGGTGTGCACCTGTAATCTCAGCTACTCGGGACACTGAGGCACAAGAATCACTTGAACCTGGAAGGCGGAGGTTGCAGTGAGCCGAGGTCTCACCACTGCACTCCAGCCTGGGCAACAGAGCGAGACTCTGTCTCAAAAAAAAAAAAAAATTTTTTTTTTGTAAAGACAAGATCTCACTATGTCGACCAGGCTTATCTCAAACTCCTGCCCTCAAGTGATCCTCCTCGGCCTCCCAAAGTGTTAGGATTTACAGGTGTGAGCC
The DNA here is from genome assembly GCF_000001405.40 of Homo sapiens. NCBI lineage: Eukaryota > Metazoa > Chordata > Mammalia > Primates > Hominidae > Homo > Homo sapiens. The sequence goes on from NC_000016.10 coordinate 23,685,836, forward strand.
ACTGTGCCCTGCCTAGAATGATGTTCTAATGGTAATTTTTCTTTTCCTCACTTTTTTTGCATTTAATAATTGGAATTCTTCTGTAAGGAAGAGCTGTTCCTTCTCTCCGATTGATTTATTTATTTGGTTATGTCTGAAATAGACTCATGGATATTTTTATTCTTTGGGCTATATTTTAAAGGATTACTTATTTCTCTGCTTTTATTTATTTTTTTAAATTTGAGACAGGGTCTTGCTCTGTCTCCCGGGCTGGAGTGCAGTGGCACAGTCGTACCTCACAGTAGCTTTGATCTCCTGGGCTCAAGTGATCCTCCAGCCTCAGCCTCCCAAGTAGTTGAGACTTTAGGCATGTGCCACCGCGTCTGACCAATTTTTAAATTTTTGGTAGAGATGAGGTCTTGCCCACACTGGTCTCAAACTCCTGAGCTCAAGTGATCCTCCTGCCTCAGACTCCTACTTTTTTTCTTTCAGTTTTAATTTTTTATATAGCATTTTAAAAACTTAAGGAAATTTTCAGTTACCCGAAGGTGGAGAGAACTGTATGATGAGTCCCATGTTTCATCTATTTTTACTAGTTATCAACATTTGGACAGACTGTTTTATTTATTCCAGCCTCCTGCCTTTTTTGTTACCGGTGTTTTAAAAAATTATTATTTACTATTTATTATTATTTATTTGAGACATTCTTGCTTTGTTGCCCAGGCTGGAGTGCTGTGGCAAGATCATGGCTCACTGCAGCCTCCACCTCCTGCGTTCAAGTGACTCTCCCACCTCAGCCTCCCAAGTAGCTAGGACTACAGGTGTGCCACCATGTCCAGCTAGTTTCTGTATTTTTAGTAAAGACAGGGTTTTGCCATGTTGCTCAGGCTGGTCTCAAACTCCTGAGCTCAAACAATCTACCTGCCTCGGTCTCTCATAGTGTTGGGATTACAAGTGTGAGCCACTGGGCCTGGCCTTGCTGGAGTGTTTAAAGCAAATCCCTAATATCTTATTATTTCATACCCAAGTCCCTATCATGACATCGTTTTTTAATTGAAAACTTAAACATTTTATATTATACAAGGAGAATTAGCACATGGTGGTGGGGGAATAAATAAATAAGGAAAAAGACAATAAGAATAATCTGTGTTTCTACTGCCCAGATATAATCAGCGTTAAAATTTCATGTTATCTTTTCAAGCTTTTTTGGTTATAAATAAGCATATAAAGCAAATTTTGGGGTGGAAAAAAATTTCTTGTGTTTTTATTTAAATGCCTACTGAATCCATTCTGTGGATGAACTGAACTACTCAGCCCTTCCATCTGCCTGGATGCTGAAGATGCTTTCCATTCTTTGCTCAAAGCTGGGCAGCTCTGAGCTGCTGGTGCCTTCAAGCTGTTTGCCTGAGTGGCAGGTCATCCTGCAGGGCCACACCGTTGGGTCAGAGGCCACGGCTTCTGAAGATCTGTTGCCTCACAGTGAGCACTATGTGCCTGTCACCTGAGCATGGCAGCTGCTGCTCTAGTAACCAGGCACTGATTCAGTTTCCCCAAAGCAGTGGTAGCTAAGAGAATTTTTCTTTCGGAAGAGTTTCAGCTGTGGCAGGGGAGTCCCGTGCCCTTCCCAACGCCCCTGTTTTTGTCACCTTCCTAGGCTTGGAGAACCCCCTGCCTGAGCGTCCCCGGGAAAAAGAAGAACCAGTGGTTCGAGAGACAGGTGAGGTGGTCGACTGCCACCTCAGTGACATGCTGCAGCAGCTGCACAGTGTCAATGCCTCCAAGCCCTCGGAGCGTGGGCTGGTCAGGCAAGGTGGGTACTGCGGGGCCCTGGGCGGGGCAGGATTGCTTGGGGCATCTGGAAAAGGCAGGAGGAGGCTTGGCCAACAAAGCACTGGTGACTTGTTCAGGCCCTGTCTGCATAGGACCATTGGTTTCCCCATTTCCTGATATCCAAGGCCCTGCTTCCGTGGCTCCTGCCGCCTTTTCTGATCCGTCTTTTTTACTCTAGCACCTCGATGTGCCACCTTCATACGCTGTTTCTTTTGCTCAGTAAGTTCCTATTGTATCTTCAAGACCCTTGAAATAACAGACCCAGATGTACTGCAGCCTCAGGGCTTTCTCCCTGGTCCTGGCACGAAAGCACTTCTTCCAGACACCACATGGCTCACACTGTGGCCTCCTTCAAGTGTCTGCTCCAGTGTCAGCTCTGTGAGCATCTCCCTGGCCCCTCTGCTGGTGCTTCTCATCCTCTTGCCCACTGCATAGTTCTCCATAACACTTCTCACCCAACATAGTCCAACATGTCCTTCTTTGTTTATTGGATTTAAATTAAGGGGTTTGTTGCATGCACTGAACGTAACATTTTGATGTGTTTGCAACTGGCTTCTGTCTTCACAGTTTCTTAATTACTCCAAACTGGAAAACTAGATGCCTCTGACTCTTACCATGATAGAAGTCACTGATATTTTGCCCATACTTAAATTGATTAGTCTTTGCCCCTACAACCACAGTGTAAGCTCCGTGGAGGCTGGGGTTTTGTCTGTTGCTCACTGAACCTGCAACAGTGCCTGGCACGGTAGGCCTTCAGTAAATGGGTCAGTGGAATGAAGGAGTGAGTGGAACTTGGTGCGCTGTGCTGAGACTTTCTCTGCAGAGATATCTGTGCTGCTGCTTGTCTGAGCCTGCTGGCAGCAGAGGCCCTGCTTTGCTCTTCTCTGGGGCCCTAGGCCTCTCAACTGAGCCCAGGTGGGGTGCCCAGCAGGCTTCCCTGTTCCCTGGTGTGGGCCACATGTGTGGAGCAGAGGGGAAGAGGCTGGTCCTGACCAACTAACTGTCTGTCTGTTTCTGTCTCAGAGGAGGCTGAGGATCCTGCCTGCATCCCCATCTTCTGGGTCAGCAAGTGGGTGGACTATTCGGACAAGTACGGCCTTGGTAGGTTTCTTCCAGAACAGGTGGGTGACTCAGGCACAGCCAGGTGACCTTTTCAGTTGTTACAGACTCTGGCCTTTTTGAGCTCCCAGGTACTGTTCTCAGTGCCCTCCTCTCTCCATCCCAGGCCTCCCAGTTCCAGCTCCCAGTGCTCCCTGACTCCCCAGCTTTTTTTTTTTCCAGAGACAGGGTCCTGCTCTGTAGCCCAGGCTGGAGTGCAGTGGCACAATCATGGCTCACTGCAGCCTCAAACTCCCAGGCCCCTAAGTAGCTGTGACTACAGGCGTGCACCATTATGCTCAGCTAATTTTTAAAATATTTTGTAGAGATGGGGTCTCATTACGTTGCCCAGGCTGGTCTCAAACTCCTGGGCTCAAACAATCCTCCTCCCTCAGCCTCCCAAAGTGCTGGAATCACAGGCATGTGCCACCACGCCCGGTCCCACTCCCCACTTTCTATTCCCCCTTTCTGAGACCTCTCTCCACCGATCCCTAGGGTATCAGCTCTGTGATAACAGCGTGGGGGTGCTCTTCAATGACTCAACACGCCTCATCCTCTACAATGATGGTGACAGCCTGCAGTACATAGAGCGTGACGGCACTGAGTCCTACCTCACCGTGAGTTCCCATCCCAACTCCTTGATGAAGAAGGTGAGTGCCGTCCGGCCCATGGGGGGTGGTGTTGCAGAAGTGGGACCTGTGCTGGAGGATCAGACTCTAATTCTGGAACCCCTTACCTACTTTTCATCCAGATCACCCTCCTTAAATATTTCCGCAATTACATGAGCGAGCACTTGCTGAAGGCAGGTGCCAACATCACGCCGCGCGAAGGTGATGAGCTCGCCCGGCTGCCCTACCTACGGACCTGGTTCCGCACCCGCAGCGCCATCATCCTGCACCTCAGCAACGGCAGCGTGCAGATCAACTTCTTCCAGGTGAGCTGGAGGTCACCAGGCGCAGGAGAGAGCTGGGGTAGGCTCCGCATGCCTGGCAGTGGCCCATGTGGGTTGAATGTGGAGTGAGCGGCTCAGGTACCTATAACCTGTTGTGTCTTCCCTCTACTCCCTAACATACACTGGCCTCTGGGATCGCCAACCCCTGCTGCTCTTCTCTTGCAGGATCACACCAAGCTCATCTTGTGCCCACTGATGGCAGCCGTGACCTACATCGACGAGAAGCGGGACTTCCGCACATACCGCCTGAGTCTCCTGGAGGAGTACGGCTGCTGCAAGGAGCTGGCCAGCCGGCTCCGCTACGCCCGCACTATGGTGGACAAGCTGCTGAGCTCACGCTCGGCCAGCAACCGTCTCAAGGCCTCCTAATAGCTGCCCTCCCCTCCGGACTGGTGCCCTCCTCACTCCCACCTGCATCTGGGGCCCATACTGGTTGGCTCCCGCGGTGCCATGTCTGCAGTGTGCCCCCCAGCCCCGGTGGCTGGGCAGAGCTGCATCATCCTTGCAGGTGGGGGTTGCTGTATAAGTTATTTTTGTACATGTTCGGGTGTGGGTTCTACAGCCTTGTCCCCCTCCCCCTCAACCCCACCATATGAATTGTACAGAATATTTCTATTGAATTCGGAACTGTCCTTTCCTTGGCTTTATGCACATTAAACAGATGTGAATATTCTTTTTCTTGTATTTCCTGAGGGGTGCCAGGGCCTGGGATCCAGCGAACATCTCTGCTTCATCAGCCCCAGGCTGCCCAGCCTCTGCCAGTCTTGTGGGGGAAAGGGGGTGACAGTGTCTCTCTGTGGACCAGGCTGGAGTGCAGTGGCATGATCCTGGCTCACTGCAGCCTCGAACTCCTGGGCTCAAGTGATTCTCCCACCTCAGCCTCCCAAGCAGCTGGGACTACAGGCGTGCGCCACCATGCCTGGCTAATTTTACAAATTTTTTGTAGAAATGGGGTGTTGCCATGTTGGCCAGGCTGGTCTCGAACTCCTGAGCTCAAGTGATCCTCTCACTCAGCCTCCCAAAATGCTGGGATTACAGGTGTGAGCCACTGCACCCAGCCTGATTCTGAGGCCAGCCACAGGCTCAGCTCTTCAGTGAGCCAGCACGGAGACCATCTGTGTGGCATCCAGCCCACCTCACCTCCCTGTGGCCCCAGGGCATGGCCTCCTGGCCTCTGAGTCTGGCGGGTAGTAGGGCAGGAAGAGGCTCTCAGAGGCGCAGCTCCTCATGGCTCGGTGCGTGTGGAGGAGCAGCCGTGGGAAGCGGTTTGTGAAGTACTGGACGAAGCCATCAGGGACTTGGCCGAGTGCCTGTCGCACCTCAACTGGGAGCTCCCTGTAGTGGTGCTTCTGTGGGTAGGTAGAGCAGAGAACCCTGGCTCAGCTGCGGCCAGGCCTTCCCAAGACCCAGGCCCACCCAGGCCCCAACACATACCTTGTTCCTCACAGCACGGAGCAGGTCTCGCACTGATGTCCCCTTATAGGACCGGAACTTTCTCAGATCTGTGGACAGGGAATTCAGTGGCAAAACCGTCCCTGCTAGACTCCCCTCCACCGCCCAGGCCCACTCCCCTCCACCGCCCAGGCCCACCTGAGTATGGCCTCTACCTGTCTGCAGCGGCATGGAGATGTGCTCGTGCCAGTTGTCCCGGACCACTGCGCAGCCTCCCGCCTCCAGTGCCCTCACCAGGGGCTCCTGCTCGGACTCCTTCTCCAGCCAGTCACTGACGTCCTGGGGCCCAGAGAGCTCCTGAGCCTTGTGACCGGGGCCAGAGGCCACATAGCCAGGAGTGTGTTGTCTTACAGGAGTAGTTTAGGGTGACTGACAAGGATCATTGCCTCTGGGGGCGTGAAGCTTCTCTGTGCCACGCCTCTGTTATTTACCACCAACCTATGAGCTTGGTACTGCTGTCCCTATTCTACAGATTGAGCAAACTGCAGTTCAGAGGCATGAAGTCTCTTGCTCAAGTTCACTCAAGTGCAGTGGGCTACTGGCACAGCATGAATGATGACTCGGGTGGAAAGGAATGGGCTATATTCCCATACAAAGGGCAGCTGGGGCTGGCAAAGCTGGCAGTGAATGGACCAGAGAGTGCCAAGATGGCGGAGTTTAGGAGTCCAGGCTGGCTCCCAGTTTAGGGAAAGAGCCAGGCTCCCAGGACCAGGTAGCTCTTCCTGTTTTCCCTCAGCTAATCTAATATCCCATTTCTTATTGCCCAGGACCCAAACTTAGGACTTTTGGGGGCCATTCCCAAGCTTTCCTTCTGACCTGGAAGAACTGGAGTTGCTTGGCTCTGCTCCAAAAGAAGGGGTGGGCCAGCACCTGGGGGGCAGAGGGGCGTGGCTGCGGCAGTGGGCTCAACATGGCTCCAACCAGGTCCCGGGCAACCACCTTGTCTGGAGGATGGAAGAGGAGGAGGAGAGTCTGCTTCAGGCCTGCCTAGCGTCTTGCCCGTCCTCCCTTCTCTGCCCTGCCCAGGGCTCCCTCACCGTGGACCTCTTCCTCCAGGTGAGCCAGACAGGGAGCCCCTGTGAGGATGTTTGCCTGGCGATAAAGACTGTCTCCAAAGGGGTGGCTGCCACCAGAAAGCACGTAGTAGAACACGCAGCCTGCAGAGAAGATGTCCACAGCGCTGGTCTGGAGCCAGAGAGATGGGCATGAGAAGGAAATCTCTGCTTCCAGGAAGTCAGCCTGGCTAAATTCTCCCATGGGCTGATAGAGCTGCCAGGGGTTTGGCTCAGACTGGAACTCAAGATGCTTCCTGGGCAGCATCTCCTTGGCTCTAGATCCCTCCCCTCTACACTACTATAGGGGGCCCATGGTTTTCATCCAAAACCTTTGCCCTTACTGAGCTAGTTCAGGTTTCCAAGCTTCATTCCTGCAGGGTATAGGGTTACATAAGTGGGTGCCATACATGAGGCAATAAGGCAATCAGGAGGACTGTGGTGACCTGGCATGGGTTTTTTCTGCAGGGGCAGCTGGTCCTTAGCTTCAACCGGTTGTCACCAGGGGACTCTCCAGGGTGGCAGAGCTGATTTTGTTTTTTTTTTTGTTGGGGCTTTGCTCATGTTGCCCAGGCTAGAGTGCAGTGGCGCAACCACAGCTCACTGTAACCTCAAACTCCTGGGCTCAAGCAATCTACCTCGGCCTGAGTAGGTGGGACTACAGGCATGTGCCACCATGCCTGACCAATTTTTAAATTGTTTGTAGAGATGGGTCTTCTTATGTTACCCAGCCCGATCTTGAACTTTTGGCCTCAAGCGATTCTGATTTTTTTTTTTTTTAAAGAAAATCCAGAAATCCAAATTTTATGTGGAATTTCTCAAATGTTAAAATATTGGGCCAGGCATGTGGCTGACACCTTGTAATCCCAGCACTTTGGGAGGCCAGGAGTTCAAGACCAGCGTGGGCAACATGGTGAGACCCTGCCTCTACAAAAAAATACAAAAATTAGCTGGGTGCCATGTTGTGTGCCTGTAGTCCCAGCTACTTGGGAGGCTGAGGTGAGAGGATCCCTTGAGCCCAGGAGTTTAAGGCTGCAGTAAGCTGTGATGGTATGACTGCACTCCATGACAGAGCAAGACCCTGTCTCAAAAATATATATATATAGGGCCAAGCACAGTGGCTCATGCCTATAATCTCAGCACTTTGGGAGGCCGAGGTAGGTGAATCACCTGAGGGCTGGGAGTTCGAGACCAGCCTGGCCAACATGGCATAAACCCCATCTCTACTAAAAATACAAAAATTAACTGGGCATGGTGGCACCTGCCTATAGTCCCAGCTACTAGGGAGGCTGAGGCAGGAGAATCACTTGAACCCAGGAGGTGGAGGTTGCAGTGAGCTGAGATCATGTCACTGCACTCCAGCTTGGGCAACAAGAGCGAAACTCCATCTCAAAAAAAAAAAAATATATATATATATAGGCCACTAATTTAAATATAAACTGTATAGTCTCATGACATCATGCATTTAGTCCTTGAGCCCTGCTCACCACTTTGAGCTTTCTCTCAACTTTAGGAGTGGGGGCAGCCTTCCCTGGTGACTGTCCTTTTGTGTGATTGGCATCCATTTCTCTGGCTTCAACTTCCGCCCACACACTGTGACTCAAAATCCGTAATTCAGGGGTCCCAAACGCAAGTGTCTGTGTGGGTCAGACGCTGCTCTGTGTATCAACTAATTAGCTCATCTGATGCCCTCCAAAACCTTCGATACCAGTGGTTCTGGAACTTGGCTCCACATAAAAATGACCCAGGCAATTAGGTAAAAATCACGGGGTGTGGGGCCTGGGGTTTTGTTTGTTTGTTTGTTTTTTGTTTTTTGAGAGAAAGAGTCTCACTCTGTTGTCCAGGCTAGAGTGCAGTAGTGTGATCTTGACTCTGGAACTTCCACCTCCCAGGCTCAAGCGATCCTCCCACCTCAGCCTCCCAAGTAGCTGGGACCACAGATGCACACACCCACACCGGCTAAATTGTGTGTGCTTTTGGTAGAGACGAGGTCTCCCTAGGTTACCCAGGCTGGTCTCGAACTCCTGAGCTCAAGCAATCTGCCTGCCTCGGCCTCTCAAAGTGCTGGGATTACAGGCGTGAGCCACCGCACCCGGCAATGGGCATTCTTTTTTTAAGTTGCGCAGTGGTTGTGAAGCACAGTGAAGATTACAAACCATTTTCTAGCTCAGGGTTTCCCAACCTCAGCACAACTGGCATTTTGTTAGTTCTTTGTGTTGGGTGTTGTCCTGTCCTGTAAGACATTTAGCAGCATTTCCAGCAGATGCCAGTAGCCCCTCCCTCCCAAGTCATGGCAGTCAAAAATGTCTCCAGACATTGCCTAATGTCCCCTGGGTGGCAAAACAGTCCTGATACTGCTGTAGAAGGAGGGACAAATTATCCCTTCTTTAAGGGAAACAAGCTTGGAGGAGCAGCTCAAAGTCACACAGCAAGTGTCATGGAGTCTCCTCAGGAGGGGAACTGGGACAGGGACGGATTCCTGCAGCCTGGGGCAGCTGTGTGCCTGGAGGACTTGGTGGATAGACTCACAGGACTGTCTGGTGGCAGGAGCTGCAGAAGCTCGGGCGCCATCCAGCCTTCCGTGCCGGGGATGCCGGAGTGGAGGCTGAAGCTACAGCGGCCAGCAGGCAGCTTCTTGCAGAGGCCGAAGTCTGAGAGCACCACTCTGCCCAGGCCCTGGCTGTCAGGCCCGGTGATGAGAATATTTCCTGGCTTCAGGTCCCGGTGCACTGTGGGAGAGGGGCAGAAAGAAAGCTGGTTGCTGAGGGCGGAAGGCAGGGGCTAAGGACAGGGAGCGGGAGGCAGGGGAAGTGCGGGTACCTATGTGTAAAGAGTGCAGGTGGGCCAGGCCAGACATCAGCTGCTGCAGCACGACCTCGGGCTCCAGACCCCCGCGATCCAGGTCCGGGTTTTCTACGTACTGAGCAGCAGCAAGGGCCAAAGCATCACTCTCCAGCCCGGACCTTCCCACTCACCCTCCCTGAACCGCAATGCAACTCACCTCCTGCAAGGAGGCCCGGCAGAGCTCCAGGGCAATGTAGTGGAACTGGGGTCCCCGCTCGGTGCAGAAGTAGCGGAGCACGTTGGGGTGCCTGTCAGACTCCTGCAGCAGTTGAACTTCCCGCCGAACCAGGCCAAAGCACTCGCGGAGGAGCCGCTTGACAGCCACTGCCCGTCCCTCAAACTGTCCCCTGGAAAGTGGGTGATGGCGGGGGCAGGGGGGCATTCAGGGAAAGCAGATAAAGGGACAAACATGGTGGCTCACACCTGTAATCCTAGCACTTTGGGAGGCCAAGGCGGGCGGGTCACTTGAGGTCAGGAGTTCGAGACCAGCCTGGCCAACATGGTGAAACCCCCATCTCTACTAAAAAAAATATAAAAATTAGCCGGGCATGGTGATACACACCTGTAATCCCAGCTACTGGGAAGGCTGAGGCCCGGAATTGCTTGAACCTGGGAAGCGGAGGTTGCAGTGAGCTGAGATTGCACCACTGCCCTCCAGCCTGGGCAACAGAGCAAGACTCAAAAAAAAAAAAAAAAAAAAAAAAACAGATAAAGGAAAGAGCAGGACTGGCGAGTGAGGGATCAACCTGTACCCACCTCGGGGAGTCTTTGAAAGAATGTCTCTCCAGGGGACAGTGCCCACGAGGGCTGTGAGTGCCATGTCCCCAGCTTGGCTCCTGGCTGCCACTCACCGGAAAACGAAAGTCCCGCCTGCCCCGCGGCCCAGCACGTCCTTGGGATTGAAGGAAATCTTCCCCACTACGGTGAGTTGCTCAGCTGGGGGAGAGGAGGGTGGTGACTCAGGGAGCCTCTGCCCACCTTTGCCGGCCACTGGCCCAGTCCAGACTCACCTTGACATTTTCTGGGCCTCCACCCTCCCATGCTCAGCCTGGTGCAGTGGGTAAGAGCAAGGGCCCAAGTGCCAGACTGTCTGGATCCAATGCCTGGTGCTGCCACTGATTCTTTGTCTACTTAGGCAAATTCCTCACTTCTGTGCCCTCGGTATTCTCATCTGTAGAGTGGGGAGCTAAAGCTAAAGAGCCCACACAATATTATTGTGAGGATTAAATGGATATATGGAAAGAACGGGTGGAGGTGATGTTTGCTATATTATCCTCTTTTATTTCTCTCCCTCTTTCAGCATCTTCTGCACAGGTTTGTTTTGTTTTGCTTTGTTTTCCCTTTACATCCTCTGCCATTCTGCCCACCTCCACCAGTTGTAACTGAATCCTTTTAATTGACACTGAATCAGCTTCAACTTCAAGGTAAGGTGAGTTCTGGCAGTTGGAAGAGTGATGAGAGTGAGTATAGCCACAGAAAAAAGACTGGACCGGACAGAAGCAGTGGGCATTGGATGCTAACCTGCCCAGAGTTAGTTCCAGGGCAGCAGGGGTACCCCTAGAGGCCTCGGTTTCCCATTAGGATGGGTGGGGTCGGCTCAGGTGGGCAAAGATCTGTAGGTTGGGACAATTACTGCCCTTCCCTTTGGGCAGCCTGTGAGAGACGTCTCACTCTGACCCTGGCAAATCTGGGCAGGCTGTGTCCTGCTCAGCTCCAACGGGCACTATTCATATGGCAAAACATATATGGCACCCCTAGAGTTGTGCAGTGCGGTGGTCCTGAGAACACTCTACTTTATAAGAGTTTTTAGCTTCAGTTTTTACAATCAGCTCTGGGAAGAGTAAATGAAAATCAGCATTAGGGCTGGGCACCGTGGCTCACACCTGTAATCCCAGCACTTTGGGAGGCCGGGAAAGGTGGATCACTTGAGTTCAAGACCAGCCTGGGAACATGATGAAACCCCATCTTTACAAAAAAAACTAGCCAGGCATGGTGTTGTGTGCCTGTCATCCAGCTACTCAGTAGGCTGAGGTGGGAGGATTGGCTTGAGCCTGGGAAGCAGATGTTGCAGTGAGCTGAGATCACGCCACTACATTTCAGCCTGAGTGACACAGCAAGACCCTATCTCAATAATTAATAATAATAATAATAATAATAATAATAATAATAATAAAATCAGCATTAGGGATCAGTGAGAAAACACCAAGTTGCACCTTAGCATTCCTCTGGATTATTTGCTTAGAGTTCATACTCATCTGTCAGTAAGATGCAGGCAGTACCTTTGGTATACACTGGACTTTCTGGAGTAGATGGGCTCAGGCAGGGCCTTGCTGGAAGTACATCACCCACACATAGGAAAAACAGGCAGATCAGAGAGCAGGGACAGAGCTGCTTGAACAAACCCTGCTCATCTGACTGCAGGTGACAGTCACCCTTCTGGGCCCTCTTTGTGTCACTGGCTCTGCTGGACTCAGAGGCTCTTGTGTGTCTGCTCTCAGTACTCTCGGCATGGAGTAAACACTTGCTTAGAGTTTCCTGGATTAGATGTTCAGAAGCACCCTCGAAGAGACAGGCCAGACTTAAGGCCACAAAGGCCTTCAATGCAGATATATGAGCTGGGGAGGCTCAGTCTGCACACACAGATATTTGTTATCACTTTGCTTAGCCTTTTGCATAATTATAATGGAGAGGCAGCAAATGTGGGAGTTTTTGTCGTTGTTGTTGTTGTTTTAGAAACAGGGGCTCACTCTGTCACCCAGGCTAGAGTGCACTGGCGTGATCATAGCTCACTGTAACCTCGAACTCCTGGGCTCAAGCAATCCTCCTGCCTCAGCCCCCCAAGCAGCTGGATTACAGGCATGTGCCTCCATGCCTGGCTAATCTTTTTGTATTTTTAATTTTTGTAGAGATGGGGCTTCACTATGTTGCCCAGGCTGGGCTCAAGCAATCCTCCCACCTAAGCCTCCCAAGCTCAATTCTAAAGTAATCAAAAATCTCGTGTCAGGGAGAAAGGGCATACAGTCAGAATTACCTCTGGAAATCCTGCATACACATGATGGACTTTGCTGCTGCTTCTACACAGGTTGGGGAACACTTACAGTCAGTCACATTCTTTCACAGGTATTTGCCAGGTATTGTTCAAACAGGGGCACCATCCCACAGAAATTAGGGCACTTGCTGGAGCCAGCCACATGCATTTGGACCCCTGAGCTGCCACTTATTAGCTTTGTGAGCCGGGGGTAAGGATGGGAGTTGTCACTAGACCTTTCTGCCTTAGTTTCCTCTTCCATAAAAGGAGAATTCTATAATAACATTCACCTCACAGGAATGTTATCTCATGAGTTAATGCATTCAAAGGATTCAGAACACTGCCTGGTATAGCCTGGTATACAGTAAGCGCTATAGAAATGTTATCCCTGGTTCAGGCTGGATTGCATCCACTTGTTATTGAATACATGATGCAGCCAGAGGTCCTGAGGGAGGCCCAGCCAAGCACATGTAGATGAATTTGTGTAAGTTTTTGTTTTTGTTTTTTGTGGGTTTTTTGTTTTGTTTTGTTTTGAGGTGGAGTCTTGCTCTGTTGCCCAGGCTGGAGTGCAGTGGCGCAATCTTGGCTCATTGCAACCTCTGCCTCTTGGGTTTAAGCAATTCTTGTACCTCAGCCACCCCCCAGTAGCTGGAACTACAGGCACCCACCACCACACCAGACTCATTTTTGTATTTTTAGTAGAGATGTGGTTTCACCATGTTAGCCATGCTGGTCTCGAACCCCTGACCTCAAGTGATCCCCCTGCCTTGGCCTCCCAAAGTGCTGGGATTACAGGCATGAGCCACCGTGCCCAGCCAAATTTATTCAAGTTAAATGAAAGTTGGCTGTGACTCCACTGTAATTTTGTGAACCATAAAATAGTCCATGAGGACTTTGACAAGAATGATCCTGGGGAAAGATGGAGTCCTGGTTGTCCAGGTAAAGATGAGCCAGACTCAACTCGAGTCCGAAGGTCCAGGGAGATGGGCGTTTTGGGGTACAGTGGGGTGAGTATTACTTGGACCCACCCAGGGCCAGTAAAATGACAAAAACTACAACAGCTCAGGGCTCAGGAAATCCTGCTGCAGGGCCCTCTAAAAGAGCTGACCCCTGAGGAAGGGGAGCTGTTTTCCTCTGGGCTAAGGCACAATGACCACAGAGGCGGACATTGCGAACAGCACTGGAGTATCAAGCCAAGTGTGGCATAGACTTCCGCCTGAGAAGGTGACGGCAGGGTGGGGCCAAGGTATGAGGAAGTGGCTTGAGCAGTGACTAGAAGGTGCCAGCACAAGTTCACAAAGACAACCAAAACCATGAGCCAGCCCAGAGCCAATCAAGCAGAAGTAGCCTGGGCTGATTGGTAAAGGCATGCAAGAAGCCCCTGGAACATTCCAGATGCCAGAGGAACCTTGAAAGATTCACAGCTCACTGCAGCCTCGACCTTCTGGACTCAAGCGATCCTCCTGCCTTAGCCTTCTGAGTAGCTGGGACTGCAGGTGCACACCACCACGCCCGGCGAATTGTTTGTATTATTTGTAGAGACAAGGTCTCCCTATGTTGCCCAGGCTGGTCTCGAACTCCTGGCCTTAAGCAATCCCCACCTTGGCCTCTGAAAGTTCTGGGATTACAGGTGTAAGCCACCATGCCCAACCTAAAAGGGCTTTAGTCTTTAGAAGACTAAATTGAGAAAAGATAAGTGTTTAAAAAATAAAAGGTACTAAATTGTACAAAGGTCGTTTACTATTATTGTTTCCAAATATAACATCATTTTAACATGAATATTAATATTACCTAAGTATTATTTAATAATAATGATTGTGACTTCTCATGATGAGATGATGTAATGAACTGGATGTTATTATTCCCATTTGACAAATGAAAAAACTGAGCTCAAAAGAGGTAAACAGAGAGCAGCCTTAGATCTATACCCAGTTTTATCTACACCCAGGTTCCTTGAAAATAATAATACAATAATGAGCTGGGCATGGTGACTCATGCCTGTAATCCCAGCACTTTGGGAGGCTAAGGTGGGAGGATCACTAGAGGACATCAGTTCAAGACCAGCCTGGGTAACATAGCGAGACCCAATCTCTGCAAAACAAAACAAAACTTTAAAACTAGCTGGGCATGGTGGTTTATGCCTGTAGTCACAGCTACTTGAGAGGCTGAGGAGGGAGGATTTCTTGAGCCCAGGAGCTTGAGGCTGCAGTGAGCTATGATTGTGCCACTGTACTCCAGCCTGGGCAACAGAGCAAGATCCTGTCTCCAAAAAAATAATGATGAAAAAATGACAGCAGACACTCCTAGAGTGCTCAATTACGTAGCAGGCTCTACTCAAAACACTCTTCTTAATTCATGTAGACCTAACCACCCCACTATAGTGGCTTTTAATAAACCAGCTTTGCAGCTAAATCTGCCCCTGGCTTTTCTCTGTTCCTGACTGCCCTGTCTTGTTCACACAGGCTCACCTTCAGGGTCGTCGAGTGGCTGGGCTTGCTTTGAGGGACTCTGAAGCCTCTTCTGGCTCCTCCGGCTGGCCCCCGAGTGCAGGGACTGGGCATCCTGGGAGATGTGAGCAAAGTCTGCAGGTGCCAGGGGGGTCTCCTGCTGCTTCTCCACCACCTGCGGCTGTTGCTGTAACATGAGAGCCTAAGAGAGCTTTGTCCTGGCCACGCCCTGCCCCGTGATGGGCCCAGTATCTGTGACTGAGATGGCCTCACCAGACTGCATGAACTTACAGAGCAAGATCGCAGGGGCCTGGGGAGCTGCTGGGAGGGAGGCAGGGGGCAAAATCAGAGCTGGGTAGAGGGAGAGAGTTGCTGAGTGGTCTCAGAGAGGAGAAGCAGCGTTCTCCCCAGATAGACCTGAGGTCAGGGCGGTGGGCCTACCTGCCTCATCACAAAGAGAATCCACCCTCCCAGGAGGACAGCAGTGAGGCTAGCTGCCAGCAGGTCTTGGGGTCCCAGCCCCAAGTAAGAGTCTGGAGTTTTTTCTTCTGGATGCAGCTCGGAGTCCCAAAGTTTCTCTCGGCTCAGGCTCAATAGCTGGGGATAAAGGGCCCTTCACTTTTAGCACCCCCTTCCACCAGGGAACCCCTAACTTTTCTTCATCACCCAGCACAGAGCTGGGCTTAGCTGAAGGGGCAGTGAGTGGTCTGTGTATGGTGGGAAACGTGGCACTCTCCACAGTGCTGAAACATCATGTTGCCCAGAAGAACGGTTTTCTAAACCTACCCAATGACCAGCATTTCATGGGATGTCACTAAAAAATACAGGTACTCTTGGAATGTCACTAAAAATATAGATGTCCACCTCCAGAGATCCTAAACGCGTTAGCGCTGGAGTGGGCTCCCAGGTGATTCTGATGAGCAACCGGATTTGAGAATTATTGCTCTAGGCCATGGCTGTTCCTTCTAACCTTGAGCTACTTACTAGTGATTTTGGTCCAAACCTCTCCCAGGAGCACATGCTTTTATAGTTTTTGTTTTCAATGAATATTTTACAATTTTTACGCTGAAGAAGAATAAAGAAAATGTGACCTATGTTTCATGATTTAAATAGTCAATGTCTTTTTTTTTTTTTTTTGAGACAGGGTCTCACTGTGTTATACAGTGCAGTGGTGTGACCATAGCTCACTGCAGCCTCAAACTCTTGGGCTCGAGCAATCCTCCCACGTCAGCCTCCTGAGTAGCTGGGACTACAGATGCACACAACCATTCCCCACTAATTTTTTATTTTTATTTTTTTGTAGAGATGGGGTCTTGTTATATTACCCAGGCTGGTCTCAAACTCCTGACCTCAAGCCATCCATCCTCCCACATTGACCTCCCAAAGTGCTGAGAATATAAGCATGAATCACCTGCCCAGCCACTTTTTAACACTTCTAACGTGTTTCTGGCAGTAACAACAACAACAACAACAACAAGTTGTGTTGTTCCCAACAAAAAGTCTGGGAAATTGTGTGAGGTCAATTGACCCACCCCCGAGTGTTATTCTTAGCAGCCCGAGGAAAAGATCCAAGGGCTATTCCCCCCATCTGCTGGGGCCTCCCTACCCCCACTCTCTCCCCTCCCAGCACTGACCTCCAAGAAGAAGGCTGGGGCCTGGGTATTCTCTGGAGGTCTTGTCTCTGCAGTTCCACTCCCCAGGGTGGGATGGACCCTCAGCATGGTGGTGTGCAGGACTGGGGGTAGCTCGTGGTGTCCTAAGGTGGGGGGCAAAAGTCATCAGGCTGAAGGGGACCTTAGCTTTCCAGCTCAGAAGCTGGGCTCACAGGTTCTTTATCTTCATCTACTCCCAATTTGAGCCAGAGGATCTCACCAATGAGCAGCCACTGGCTTGGGAGGGCCACACTGCCTGAGGGGTATCTAACAGCAGTGCTGGGTGAGCCCTCTCGCTCTCCTGAGACTTGGAGTGTCACCTCATCTGTGGTGGGGCCATCTGCGGGGGCCAGGGTCAGTCCACGAGGCTATGGCAGAAGATGGAGAGCCATGAGTGAGGGAGGTTCTTCTCCCGTTCATCCTCTTTCCAGCCCACTCAGAGACCACTTCTTACCACCAGGGCCACTCCTGTGTGGACCAGTGCTTTAGAGACATAGAAGCCAGTTTCATCCTTCCCCACATACAGCGTCATTCTAGTGGGAGAGAAGAAAAAGAAGAGAAGAATGAATGCTGGTGATGGGTAGTTTCAGTTATCAAGGTACTCATGCCCTTGTATATTTCCCTCTCACATTGACTCAGCTTAGCCATGAGACTTGCTTTAATCAATTAGACAACAGCAAATGTGACATAAGTAGAGGCTTGAAAAGTGCTTGTGCCTTCAGGCTTCCTTATGCATTTTTCTTTAGACCCTGAGACCACCGTGGGAGAAAACCCAGGCTAGCCTGCTGGGGTGTGAGAGATCTCTTTAATCCCCCATAGGTCAAACAGTCCATCAACTATGAGATAGGTAAGTGAGGCCATCCTAGATTCTCCAGACTCAACCAAGCCATGAGCAGACTGCAGAAAAACAACCCACCCCAGCTGACCCACAGAATCTTGAAAAATAATAAACTGTTGTTTTTTAAGTTCTCTGTTTTGGGGCAATTTGTTATGCAGCTAAAGCTAGCTGATACATGTTCCATAGTCATGATTTCAAATCTATGTCTAACCCAGACCTCTTTCAAGAGCTCAATTTTCTAAATATAAACTCATTACATCGTCCTTTACTTCTTCCTCCTTCTTCTCCCCCACCTCCTCTAGTGTTCCCTGCCTCTGAAAATGACAGTACCCACGTGCTTCTAGAAACCTGAGCATGATCTTTGACTCCTTGCTCACAATCGTCAAACTCCCTAATCACCAAATTTTTACTAGTTCTTCCTTCTAATATATCTTACACTCCACCTATTTTCCTCTCTCTAGTTTCTGCTCTAGTATAAAGTATCTTCATTTCTTGCCTGAACAAATCAATATTCCATGAATGGTCCACTTCTTTCCATATACCATTCTAAGATATTCTTTCTAAAATGAAAATATGATTAAATCACTTCCTTCCTTAAAACTCTCCAGTGACTTTTTAACTTTAGGAGAAAATGTCCAAGCCCTTTAAATGATCCTACAAGATCTCTTCTTAGCTTATAATCTCAGGCTCTACTCCTTTCTCAGGTCTGTATTTCAGTCTTATTTAATTTTTTCCTGTTACCTGAATTCTATGCTCTCTCATCTCTCTCATTTCCTATTCATTTTTTAGGTTTCAGTTTAGATGTTCCTTCCTCTAGGAAGCTTTCCATGACTGCCTCCTGTCCCCAGTCTTGATGTGGGTACTCTTCCTATACATTCCCATGGCATCTTATACTACTTTCATCTCATCCTTTATCATATCAGGTTGCAATAGTCTCTTCACATATCTGTCTCTCCCATTAGACTCGGGTTCCTGAGGCAGGAACAATGGCTGGGTTATTTGCTATTGTACTCCCAGACTCTAGTGAGACTGGCACACAGTAAGTGCTCAATTAATATTTGCAGAATGAATTGAATGAATAGATGATCCCTGATTTTCCCAAGCTGTCTACTGGTTTATCAAGATGGGGACACTAAGGTATTAGATGCAATAATACCTTAAATAAGTTGTTAAATAAGGTAAGTTAAATAAGGTTGTTATTTAAAGTATTTAACAATCCATAAGGCACAGCACCTACCAACCAGAACAGGTTAAGACCTGGAGTCCCCCTCTGATATGGTTTGGCTGTGTCCCCACCAAAATCTCATCTTGAATTTCCATGGGTTGTGGTAGGGACCCGGTGGGAGGTAATTGAATCATGAGGTCTTTCCCATGCTGTTCTTGTGATAGTGAATAAGTCTCACAAGATCTGATGGTTTTATAAGGGGGAGTTTCCCTGCACAAGCTTCTCTCTTTGCCTGCCGCCATCCACGTAAGATGTGACTTGTTCCTGCTTGCTTTCTGCCATGATTGTGAGGCTTCCCCAGCCACGTGGAACTGAAAGTCCAATTAAACCTCTTTCTTTTGTAAATTGCCGAGTCTTGGGTATGTCTTTATCAGCAGCATGAAACAGACTAATACACCCTCCTAGGCCAGATCTTACCGTATGAGTTGCTGAACAGTGGGGGCTACCCAGGGGGTCCCGGGGACACTTGGAGGGCAGCAGAGGACACTGGTTATTTACCAACCAGTTGGGTAAGTAACCAATTTGAAATGTTTTGACCCCTGGTTCAGCGGTACTGGTGTGTCACAGCTGAACATCTCGCCTGGCCATCAGACCCAGGTTGCGACACTCCCAGATGGCTCCCTCCCTGGGCCCCAGGCACGAACACCTACAGCAGCTGGGTGTCCAAGGTAGAGAAGAGGGTGGCTGTGTCCCGGGGGCCTGAGGCAGGCAGTCGGATGTGGCCCCAGCGGAGGGCGAGGAAATGCAGAGTGTCTCGAGCCAGCGTGAGATGCGGCAGCTGGCGCAGGCCGTCCTGGTGCCAGGTGTAGACGCCCATCACAGGCACGCCCAGGTCCTGTGTCCACAGCACCGTCCCGCTTCCTGGGTCCACAGTGAGCAGCAGGCCCATCCCGCAGGACGCCAGGTGGCTCATGTCTGCCGAGAAAGGTGGCTGGGGAGATGTGGTTGGAAGCTCTCCTAAGAGGGTCCAAGGGTGTGCCCTCTGGGTGAGGGGTCAGTCTGGTGTGTGGAGATCACATGGAGGGTTATCTGGACATGAGAATGTTTGTTGGAGTTCATGGAGTCACTTTGAAAACGAGGCCATCAGTCAGGGTCATTCAAAGGTGACTCAGATGTGTGGGAGTCAGTTTGGGTCACTTAGGATGGTGGGGTATTGCTCATGGTCAACATATGGTCACCTGGGATGGATCAATCAGGGTGGCCTGGAGGCATTTGGGTCACTTGGGAGTCACTTACAGTGTGAGAGGGGTCAGTTGGGGCGAGTAGGTGACCTCACCTCTGCTGAGGTGACCTGTGTAGGGTCTCATGCAGAATGATGGAATCAGGGCTTGAGGGGGCCTTGGGGCACCTGTAAGGTCACTCAGGCAGTTGGGTATCAGTCATAATATCAAGGGGGTGGGCCAGGTGTGGTGGCTTATGCTCGTAATCCCAGCACTTTGGGAAGCCAAGACAGGAGGATTACTTAAGCCCAGGAGTTTGAGACCAGCCTGGGCAACATAGCAAGACCCCATCTCTACACAAAAATTAAAAGATGAGCCAGGCTTGGTGGTACACATCTGCAGTCCCAGCTATTCAGGAGGCTGAGGATAGGGGATCACTTCAGCCCAGGAGTTGGAGGCTACGGTAAGCTGTGATCACAGTACTGCACTCCAGCCTGGGTGACAGAGTGAGACCCCATCTCACAAAAAATGGTGGGGAGTGGTCGGGGTCACCTGGGGAGTCGGTCTATGGAAGAGGCTACTTAGGGTTAGCTTTCAGGGGTTATATATAGGGGTCAGTTAGGACACACAGAGATTGCTTAGGGGCTGTTTGGGGTCACTCTGGATGTGGGAAGTCATCCAGGGTTACCCGGTTGGGGCCACTTGGAGTATAGAAGAGTTAGGAGGTTGAGGGATTGGCCAGGGTTCAGGAGGGTCAGTCTGGGTGTTGAGGGAGTCACTTGGGGTCAGCCATCAGGGGTGTGCCATTTAGTATATGGGGTCCCTGGGGAGGTCAAGTGGGTCGAAATGTGGCTGGGAATTGGTCATGGATGCTGTTCAGGGTTCCCTGGGTTGGGGACCTTGCTCCAAGATGGGACCAGAGAAAGGTGGAACTCACATTTCCCAGGTGAGCCATCCATGGGGGGCGCTGAGTAGCGGCGGTAGGTGGTGTTCCAGCGCAGGGCTGGGGCTCTTGGGTCATGCATGGTGACCGTATACTCTGGGGATCCCAGAAGCAAGATTACCAGGAACGTCCATTTGATGCTCCCTCCAACCCCAGGGGCCATTTATCTTGCAGGAGTGGGGGTTTCCTGAGCACACAGCCTAGAGACCTGGAAGCCTGTGAACATCACAGTGGCAGAGACTGGAGCTGTCTTGTTTACAGCTCTATTCCTGGCTCCTAGTTCAGTGCTCTGTAGAATGTTTGTTGATGACTAACAGACTGACTGTCCTGAATTCAACTTGGTTAGCCACAGCTAGATCTCAGCAGAGCAAAAGGGGAGGCTGCCCAGAGCTTGAGGAACAGCTGGGGCCCAACTCACGTGTTCGGCCAATGTAGAGGCGGGGGGTGGAGGGACCCTCTGTGGTCAGTGTCATCTGGGTCTCCCCTGACTCAGGGTCCACCACAAACCAGGCATCCTGCTTCCGGCCTGTGGAGGTGGAAAGTGTGTTAGCTCTCAAGTTGGCATGGGAAGAGGTGTGGCCCCGCCACTCTTGTGCCTAATTAGCCGTCACGACTTAGATCCCTGCCTCTGCTGGCTGAACCTGGACCCCACAGGCTGAAGAGATGCTCACCTGTGTAGAAGACCCCATCAGAGCTGCGGCAGGGAGAGGCATGAACCAGCTCAGGGATGGTGAATGGCAGTTTCTAGGAGACGGAAAATTTACAGGAAGGAGTAAGAGCAGCAACACACAGTGCTCACTGTGCCAGGTGAGCCCATTTCCATAGCAACCAATTAACAGGTATTACTATCATTTCCACTTTTCAGGTAAGGAAACTGGGGCTTGGAGAGGCCATGTAACTTGGCTAATGTCACACAGCTACTAAATGGCAGAGCCTGGCCTTGAACCCAGGCAGTCAGGCTCCAGAGCCAGCACACTGAATCATTTTGCTACACAGCCTCTTGAGGAAATGCAGAAATTCCCACACCCAGTGTCAAGGTATCATGTGAGCCACTTGCTCTCGGCCTGACCTGACCACCTCCTCGAAAACTTGCACTGGGGCAGGCATGGTGGCTCATGCCTATACTCCCAGCACATTGGGAGGCTGAAGCAGAGGATCGCTTGGGCCCAGGAATTCAAGACCAGCGTGGGCAACACGGTGAGACCTCGTCTCTACAGAAAAAAAAAAAAATTTGCTGAATATGGTGGCATGTGCCTGTAGTCCCAGCTACTTGTGAGTCTGAGGCAGGAGGATCGCTTAAGTCCAGGAGTTCAAGGCTGCAGAGCTATGATTGTGCCACTGCACTCCAGCCGAGGCAATAGAGTGAGACTCTGTCTCTAAACAAAATAAAATGAAACAAACAAACAAAAAAAAGCCGCACACACATCAAGTGGGGAGTTTAATTCCAAAAATCCAAAACAACTCACATGAATATTTCAAAACTGTCAACAGCCATGAGAGACTCACAGAAGTGAAGGAGTTGTTCTAGAATAAAGGAGACCATGGCCTGATGCTGGCTAGGAGTGGAGCTCCATCCTCCACCCTTCTCTACTCTGCTTTCTCCCCAAAGCTGGACTTGTCTGGGTTATGTCTGTGGGCACCATGTGCTCTAGCTTCCTGCTGGGTTTGGATAATGGGGACAGGGTGAGATCAGAGTATGCCCTGCTGTCCTTGTCACAAAGTCCTCACGGGCTGGCTGTGTTCCTCTACCGAAGCCCTGAGGTCCCATCGGGTGGTGCTCTCGGGACAGCTCTCTCCAGCTCCAGGCTGTGGTAGCTGCTCCCTCCCCAGCCTCCAGAATTAGGGCTGATAATGTCACCCCACTGTCACAAACCAAAGGATACTGCATGATATGTTTTGGATTTGTGTCCCCACACAAATCACTTGTTGAATTGCAATCCCCAATGTTAGAGGTAGGGCCTGGTGGGAGGTGATTGGATCGTGGGGCCAGATCTTTCCATTTGGTGCTATTCTTTTTTTTTTTTTTTTTTTTTTTTTTGGAGACATGGTATCACTCTGTTGTCCAGGCTGGAGTGCAGTGGTGCGGTCTTGGCTCGCTGCAACCTCTGCCTCCCGGGTACAAACGATTCTTCTGCCTCAGCCTCCCAAGCAGTTGGGACTGCAGGCACGTGCCACCACACCTGGCTAATTTTTGTATTTTTTGGTAGAGACGGGGTTTCACCATGTTGGCCAGACTGGTTTCAAACTCCTAACCTCAGGTGATCTGCCTACCTCAGCCTCCCAAAGTGCTGGGATTACAGGCATAAGCCACCGTGCCCAGCCAGTGCTGTTCTTGTAATAGAGTTCTCACGAGATCTGGTTGTTTAAAAGTGGGTGGCACCTCCTCCCTTTCTCTCTCTTGCTCCTGCTCTGGGCATGTAAGACGTGCCTGCTTCCCCTTCATGCCTTCTGCCGTGATTGTAAGTTTCCTGAGGTCTCTCCAGAAGCAGAAGCTACTACATTTCTTGTACAGCCTGTAGAACCATGAGTCAATGAAACCTCCTTTCTTATAAATTACCCAGTCTGAGGTATTTTTTTATTATAACAATGCAAGAATGAACTAATATACTGCACTATCCCTTGTGGTTTCCTATACTCTGCTCACACTTTTAACAAAATGTCCTCAAACTATTCTATTTGAGTATGCCATGTGTTTGCAGCTGAGACCTTGCCTGATTGACACACTAAAATTTCTTATCACTTCACCTTCCTAAATCATATACTTAAGACTTTTCTAGCAGGCTTCCCCTGACATGGTTAGAATTCTGACAAAGAACTGGGTGTGGTGGTGTGTACCTGTAGTTCCAGCTACTCAGGATACTGAGGTGCGAGGATTGCTTGAGGCCAGGAGTTCGAGGCTGCAGTGAGCCTTGTGATCGTACCACTGCACTCCAGCCTGGACACATAATGAGATGCTGTCTTTAAAAAATTTGTTTAAATTAAAAAAAAGGAATTCCGACAAAGCACATTCCACCCCATTCAGAGTCCTGATGTGGAAGATTGCAAAAAATGGCCACAGATTGCTTTTCATCTTGTATTCATGTCTGTGTCTGTGTCCCTTCACACGGTGAGTTTTCAGCTCCTTCCATAAAGAGATGGAATCTGTTTTTTCACCACTGGATTCTCAGCTTGGCCATGTGACCTGCTTTGGCTGATGAGCCATTAGCAAATGTGACACAAACAGAAGCTTGAAAAGTGCTTATGTATTGCTGCTTTGGGGTCCCTTGTTGATATCATGTGAACAAGCCTAGGCTTGCCTGCTAGGGATAAGAGACATATGGCCCAGCCACCTCTGCCAAAAGCCAACCAACTACCAACCAACTTTCAGAAACACAGCCATCCAGTTGACTAGCAGCTGACCACACATGCATGAACAAGTTCAGTCAAGACCAGCAGAAGAACCACTGTGCTGAGCCCAACCTAAATTGTCATCTCACCAAATTCTGAGTTGAATAAATTTAAGTGATGTTTTAGTTTTAAGCTCTTGAGTTTTGGGTTGATTTTTATTTAGCAAAAGCTAACTGGTATATACATTTCTCTTTAAAGCCCTCAGAGTCCTGGAGAAGGCCCTGGGATACCTCCAGCTTGATAGTCAGATTGCCCTGCAGACACAGCCAGACCTCCCCTTACCACCCTTTCAACAGGTCCCTCAGACAGCCTTCTCACAATGTGCTGAGTCCTGACTTATATCCTCTGCAGAACAGGAGATACTGACCATACTGCCTCTCCACCTCTCAGTGCTCCAGCTGACGAAAGCCCTGGCTCTCACCCATTCCCGAACACCATGGGATACAAACCATTAATCCCTGTTGTTTTTGGGTCCCCAAGATGTACAGGCTGCCATCTGCTGGGTCAGAGAGAAAGGCCATTCTGTGGAGCAGAGAGAAACAAGGAGACCAATGGGTTCTTGCCCCCTGGTTTCATGAAGGCCCCAAATTCCTTCCAATTTCTCAGCTACTAGGAGCCTGTTCTTGTAGGAAACATCATGGGGCTCCAAGACCCTCCCCTATATCACATCCAGAGCCAATTCTCTTCCCTTACTTCCAACATGTCCCTGCCCCACATACAAACTCTCTCCAGACAACTATGAGTCCCCCATCTCCCAGAAGCCTCCTCCTTAAAAGGCCCCAGGTTCACTTACTCTGTGACGTACATTGGTCCTTCGATGACGGGATCTGCAGGGACAGGGACACAGAACATAAGCAGTTTCCTCCAGACCCCACTGAAAAGCACAGCTCATATTCACTGAGCTATGGCATGACTGTGATGTCAAGCACTTGGTGTGAATGTAATGCCATCTTCCCAAAAACTCTGTCAGATAGGGTCATATCCTTTGCCCCATTTTATAGATGAGGATGTTGAGGATCAGAGAGGTAAGGTGGGTTTCTCAAGGCCACACAGCTGGTAAGCAGTGAAGCTGCCTGTAGATACCAGCTTATTGGATTCTAGAGCCCATGTTCTTATTCTCTATGCCACAGTGACTATCCCTTCACCAATCTATGGGCCCAAGGAGGGAGGAGGGACCACCTCTTGCTCACCATCCCTCAGAGTCCACTTCAGGTCCCCTGTCTGCTTGCTTAGTGCGTGGAGACTTCCATCCAAGGTGGACACCAGCAGGAGGTTCTCTGGCCTGAGAGTATGAACCTGCAAGGGGGTAGAGACAAAGTCAGCTCTCTGAGGGGTCTGGGACCACCCTTTGCTCCTGTCCCAAGCAGGGCTGGCCATGACTCCCCTTCCCCCAGATGGGGATGCAGCAGGGGAGGAAGGGTGATTGGGGAACGTGCTGGTGTCACTCATCATCTCTTTGACCCTAGAGAAGGGTTATAGTGGAAGCTGGGGGGTTCTGAGGGGAGGTTTTGGCTCCCAATGTATCTAAATTCCCAATTACTTACCTCCTTCCTCAATTCATTCTGGTTTTCCAAAGAAGACTAAAGGCCTTTACAAAATGACTTCATTGTTTGTTTTGTTTCTTTTTGTTATTGTTCTTGTTGTTTTAATATAAGACAGGGTCTTGCTCTATTGCCCAGGCTGGAATGAAGTGGCATAGTCATAGCTCACTGTGGCCTCAAACCCCTGGGCTCAGCTGATCCTCACACCTCAGCCTCCCAAGTAGTTGGGACTACGGGTGTCTGTCATCACACCTGGCTAATTTTTGTATTTTTTTGTAGAGATGGGGTCTTGCTATGTTGTCTAGGCTGGTCTGGAACTCCTGGCCTCAAGCGATCCTCCTGCCTCAGCCTCCCAAAGTATTGGGATTACAAGCATGAGCCACTGCACCCATTCTAAGACTGGTATTATTAGTTTTCCCATTCTACAGAGGAGGGAGACTGAGGCTCAGGAAAGTTAGGTCATTGGTTAGGTCATTGGCATAAAGCCACAGAGATAATAAGTGGCAAAACTAAGGACTTGAGTTGCCATCCCTCTGATTCCTATGCCTGGCCTCTTTTTCCTCTGCCACAATGTCTACCTCTTTTGGGATGCCCCTTTCTGCCTCCCCAAACCAGCCCAGCTGGTTTTGGTGCCAGGCTCCAGTGGGTCCCTTGACCCAAGGCTGGGGGGTGCCCTTGGGAGGGGGGCTGGAGCCACCCGTACTTACATCTGGCGATCCTGGGCTCACTCACCTGCTCCAGTCCCTCCTTGAGCAAACAGGGTGAGGCTGAGCTCCCAGCAGGAGGCCTAACATCCGGGTGGCCCAGCCGCACCCCTACAAAGGCCACATCCTGCTTCAGGACCCTCAGGTTTGGGGCTGGGCCACTGGTGTTGAGTGGAGGGTCAGGAAATTATCTGCTAGCCCCTCTTTCTTTCTGGGCTTCAATTTTGTCATCTGCAGCATGGCAGGAGGGAGAACGGTTTGGAGAAGAGGCTGCAGATTGGTTGCCCAGAAATGAATTTTGTTTGACCATCTAGTGCTTAAAAATTTTTCAATTAGCTGCCAATTTTTTTAAAAATTGGATGATTTCTACAAAAAAACCAAGATTTCAAATCTTTCTCATTTCTAATTTTTCCAGAGACATCCGATCTGGCCACACTGGGCTTGCATTCTTAGCTGGCAACCATGAGGTGGACCCATGAGGTGGAAGCCGGGAATGAGAGGTGCCTAACTCTACCTGATCGCTTTTGCCCCATGGGGGTTCTAGGCGGGACACCTGGATTCTTAGGCCAGGCGACTTTTGCCTCCTGGCTGCATTTCTGTAAGACTCTGCTATTCCTGGCACCGTGGGAGCAGATACTGACACTCCCAGCTCATTTATCCCATAGGTTCTGAACCTGGGGTGCAGCCATGGGTAAGGGGACCGTATTGTAAAGCCTCTGAAATTGCAAAACTGGGCGTGCAGGCTCATTTCTCAGCAGAGGGCCCTGAAGTCAATCATATTTTCAAAGGAAGCCAGGATTCCCAGAAGTTTTAAGAGGCCTGGCTTTCGTGCCCAGGTGCCCCCCTACCCCAGACTACACCTCTCCCTGCTGAAGAGGCGGGGTGCTCTGTCTACTCTTGCCTTTCCACGCTGGCAGATCTCCCCAGCTAGGTATTTGTTGGGGGCAACTGGCGGCTCCCCAAACCCAGGAGGCTTTTACTCCGTTGGGGCCGAGTTGGGACCACCCAGGCGTGAGGGAGGGAGAGGTGCCCCCGTGGCCCCGCCGCGCCCTCGCCCCAAGTGCGACGCCGCCCCCTGCGCCCCGCGACCAGACTTTGGGGACTTGGCGTCGGTCCCTGGCTCTCACCTGTGGACTCAGCGTCCCGAGCAGCAGCGCCGCGAACTGGAGCTGGAGCCCCAGCCGGGGCCACGGCCTCGACCCCCTGACCGCACTCGCCATAGCGCCTGGGCAGCTGCACGGCTGGCCAGGTCCCTGGGTGCCTCCAAGGGAGCGCTCTGTCCCCGCCCGACCCGGAGAAGGCTCCGCCCCTGGCTGGGCCTGCAACCCCAGCCTGGAGTCCTCGCCGATCCCCGCCCTTCTCATCACACTCCCAGCCGCATCCTCGCGTCCCAGTCACCCCACCAAACACGGTGGGGCGCTTTCCCGGGAGAGGGATTTTACTGAGCCCACTTATGGAGAACTTGCCACGTGCCGAGGACCGTGCCGGTTCATCATCAGTTCCTGGAGTCCTCACTGCACAGCAGGTACAAGCGGAGGCTGAGAGCCGCAGTCCCAATACAGATCCGCCTGATCTCAAAGCCTGCGCTCTTTATCATTGCACCAGCGGATCCCGGTGGGCTATCAGGAAATAGCGATTAATTGGTGAATTCAGTCGTTCGTTCAATAAATATTTATTATGGGTCAGGTAAGTGGCTCACCTCTGTAATCCCAGCACTTTGGGAGGCCTAGGAGGGAGGATCACTTGAAACCAGGAGTTGGAGACCAGCAACATAGTGAGACCCCATCTCTACAAAAAAAAATGGCCAGGTGTGGTGATGTCCACCTGTAGTTCCAGCTACTCGCGAGGCTGAGGTGGGAGGATTGCTTGAGCCAGGAAGTCAAGGCTGCAGTGAGCTATAACTGTGCCATTGCACTCCAGCCTGGGCGACAGAGAGAGACACACTCTCCAAAAATAAAATAAATAAATAAATATGCATGTATTTATTTTTTGAGACAGAGTCGATCTTGTCACCCAGGCTGGAGTGCAATGGCACTATCTTGGCTAACTGCAACCTTTGCATCCTGGGTCCAAGCAATCCTCCTCCCGAGTAGCTGGGATTAAAAATGTGGGCCAACATGCCCAGCTAATTTCTGTATTTTTAGTAGAGATGGGGCTTCACCACTTTGGCCAGGCTGGTCTCAAACTCCTGACCTCAGTTGATCCGCTCACCTCGTCCTCCCAAAGTGCTGGGATTACAGGCATAAGCCACCGCGCCCAGCCAATAAATATGCATTTATTATAAGCTATGACATGCCTGCCTGATGAACAAGATGATGAGGTCCCTGTCTTCGTAGAGCTTAGAGATTCCTATGCCTTAGATGTAAGACAACTCCGCATGGAAGGGCACCTTCTAATGGCCGTGACCACCCTTGCTCCTGGTAGATGTCTCCAGTTTTGTTCAGAGAGGGTCTGCCAGGGTCCTTGAAGGTAAGGTCCACCCTGTTTGCAAGTTTCAACTCATTCATGTCTCCTTCATCCTTGTGTAAAAATAAAAAAAAAAAAATCCCTGCTGATTTGAGGGTCATGCAGCCCAGCTCTGCCACCTTCTCCCCGTCCTCTTTGTCATCCTTGGCCCTCCTGGTCATCCCCTCACAGTTACTGAAAACTTGGTAGCTTGGCCCCTAGCCTTCATCTCCATCACAAATCCTGCCACTCTCCTTGGTGTCTTCAATGTCCAAGGTACAGCTTAGCCAGCATTGCAGCCTCTCAGTGGGTGTACCTCTTTGGAGACCTTATCCCCCACGCCACAACTGCACTGGGCCCTTGTCACACTCAGAACCACTTTAGTTCCAATGTCCCTTTCTCTGATTGCAGCCTCCTCTCCATGCAACGGTTTCACCCTTTCATTCTCCTTATCCCTGTGCCCTGACCTACACGGTACCTTCATCCCTCAGTCTCTCTTCCACTCTGTCAGCCCCTTCCTTGTCCTTATCCTGCTTGGACCTCCTAGCTGACCATCTGAAGGAACTACACCACTGTCTTAGGCTGGGTTGAAACAGGTTGGGATTTTTGTGAAAGTTATTTCACACTAAGCCATACCAGGTTCAGAAGTTCAAGAGCAGCCTGGGCAACATAGCAAGACCTCAGTCTCTACAAAAAATAAAAAATAAGCCAGGCACGCTGGTGTGCACTAGTAGCCCCAGCTACTTGGGAGGCTGAGGTAGGAGGATCCCTTGATTCCAGGAGATCCAGGCTGCAGGTAGCACCACTGCTCTCCAGCCTGGGCAACAGAGTGAGACCCTGTCTCTAAAAAACAAAACAGGCTGGGCGCGGTGGCTCATGCATGTAATCTCAGCACTTTGGGAGGTCGAGGTGGGTGGATCACCTGAGGTCAGCAGTTTGAGACCAGCCTGGCCAACATGGTGAAACCCTGTCTCTACTAAAAATACCAAAATTAGCCGGGCGTGATGGCGCATGCCTGTAATTCCAGCTACTTGGGAGACTGAGGCAGGAGAATTGCTTGAACCCAGGAGGTGGAGGCTGCCGTGAGCCATGATCGTGCCATTGCACTCCAGCCTGGGCAACAGAGTGAGACTTTGTCTCAAAATAAATAAATAAATAAAAAACAAGACAAAACAAAACAAAAACAAAGAAATATGTACATTATGAAGTCTTTAGTTTACTTGGTTGCTCTTTCATGCTTAGCTGTTCCAACACCCCTAAATTGGCCCAGTACTCCTAACTTTATAACAAAAGTGATTGTTTGCCATTGTAGAACCTAACCCAAGCTATTGAGTGTGTGAATGAACCCTCCTTTCTGCTCTATATTTTGTACACTCTGCATTGTTTTGAAATGTACATTGTGTTTACTATGCTTGGATTCAGGCATTTCTCATGCAAAAAATTTGACTTGCATAAAATACAAACTGCAAATGAACTGGAATAAATTGTGTGTGTGTGTGTGTGTGTGTGTAATGATAAAAGCAATATACATTCTAGAAACTTTGTAAAATTCAGAAAAATTTAAATAAGAAAATATCTGGACAGGTGTGGTGGCTCACACCTGTAGTCCCAGCTACTCAGGAGGCTGAGGTGGGAGGATCACTTGAGCCTAGGAGCTGGAGGCTGCAGTTAGCTGTGACTGCACCACTGCACTCCAGCCTGGGCTAAAGAGCAAGACACTATCTCAAAAATATTAATAATAATCAGCTGGGTGCAGGGGCTCATCCTGTAATCTCAGCACTTTGGGAGGCTGAGGTGGGTGAATCACTTGAGGTCAGGAGTTCAAGACCAGCCTGGCCAACATGGTGAAACCCTGTCTCTACTAAAAATACAAACATTAGCAGGGCGTAGTGGCACATGCCTGTAATCCCAGCTACACAGGAGGCTGAGGCAGGAGAATTGCTTGAACTCGGGAGGCAGAGGTTGCAGTGAGCCAAGATCACGCCATTGCACTCCAGCCTGGGAGACAGATCAACACTCCAACTCAAAAATAAAAATAAAAAAAATAAAAAATAAATAAATAAAATTTTTTTAAAAAGTTCATTCATGGGTCCACCGTTTGAAAACAGCACCCCGTTAACATTCTGTCCTACTTCCGCCAATGGTTTCTTCTCCCTGTGCCTGTATGTATGATGGGATCCTATGTTCAAATATTTACATGTTTTTTCCACTCCAGAGTTTCCTTTTCCCCAACAGTCCTTCTCCCATTCAAGCAAGTCAGCCCTAAATTTTGTTACCTCAGCAAATGGATGAGAAAGCAGAAAGAGAAAATGAAAATTCTTCTAGTTTTTGAGTTTTCAGAAAACTCAGGTTAGGACCCTAGATTTGAGACAATAACCAGCCTGGCCAACATGGTGAAGCCTTGTCTCTACTAAAAATACAAAAGTTAGCCGGGTGTGGTAGTGCGTGCCTGTAATCCCAGCTACTTGGGAGGCTGAGGCAGAAGAATCACTTGAACCCCATAGGTGGAGGTTGCAGTGAGCTGCACTCCAGCCTGGGCAACAGAGTGATACTCTGTCTCAAAAAAAAAAAAAGATTTCAGACACTAAACGAGACTGGAAAAGATTTTCCCGACTTTGAGAGGAAGGAGAACAAGAAGGGACAGGGAGAAGCTGTTCCAGGTCCCCAAGGAAGGGAGACCCAGGCCTGCAGCCCCTCCCCTCATCCAAGGAGGGGACCCCATGTGGGTTTGTGGGGTCCAAGAGCAGAGGGGTTCTGCGTTTTGCTTCCTGGGGAGAGCCTGGGAAAGCAGGAAGACTCCAGAAGAGAAGCTGCATTCTGTATTGGGGCAGAGGGGCCCGTTAGAGGGGTCCCCACTGTCCACTGTGACATGGAGACGGGTGGGGATGTTTACCACATGCCTGAGTGCCTGAGAGTGGCTTGGAGGATGGAGTGAGAGAGAGAGAGAGAGAAAGATGATTAGTAGAGATAAAGAGAAAACATGCATGTTCACATAGAGATGGAGAATATGCGTGTTGAAATCAGAAAGAGAGAGAGAGAACATGTGTGCTCAAAATAGAGATGGAGATAGAGACAGAGAACATGCATGCTGAAAATAGACACACACACACACAGAGAACACGTGTGCCCAAAAATATATATAGAGAGAGAGATGGAAAGAACATGTGTGCTCAAAATAGAGAGAGAGATAGCGGCTGGGCAGGGTGGCTCACTCCTGTAAACCCAGAACTTTGGGAGGCTGAGGCAGGTGGATCACTTGAGGTCAGGAGTTCCAGACCAGCCTGGCCAACATGGTGAAACCCCATCTCTACTAAAAATACAAAAAAAATTAGCCA
The DNA here is from genome assembly GCF_000001405.40 of Homo sapiens. Taxonomy (NCBI): domain Eukaryota; kingdom Metazoa; phylum Chordata; class Mammalia; order Primates; family Hominidae; genus Homo; species Homo sapiens. Next base: position 23,717,748 of record NC_000016.10, read on the forward strand.
GGTGTGGTGGCCGATGCCTGTAATCCCTGTAATCCCAGCTACTAGGGAGGCTGAGGCAGGAGAATCGCTTGAACCTGGGAGGTGAAGGTTGCAGTAAGACAATATCGCACCACTGCACTCCAGCCTGGGTGACAGAGCGACACTCCATCTCAAAAAAAAAAAAAAAAAAAAAAAGTGGAACATGCATGCTCAAAATAGAGACAGAGAGAGAAAGAAAACACGTGTGCTCAAAAAATACATGTGTATGAAGAGAGAGAGAGAGGTAAAGAGAAAGAACATGTGTGCTCAAAATAGAGACAGAGAGAGCATGCATGCTCAAAAGAAAGAAAGAGAGAGAGAGAGAACAAAGAGAGACAGAGGTAAAGAGAGAGAACATGCGTGCTCAGAAAAGAGAGAGAGAGAACATGCGTGCTCAAAACAGAAAGGCAGAGAGAGGCCGGGCGAGGTGGCTCACGCCTGTAATCCCAGCACTTTGGGAGGCCAAGAAGGGTGGATCACCTGAGGTCAGGAGTTTGAGACCAGCCTGGCCAATATGGTGAAACTCCATTTCTACAAAAATACAAAAATTAGCCAACATGATGGCGGGTGCCAGTAATCCCAGCTACTTGGGAGGCTGAGGCGGGAGAATTGCTTGAACCTGGGAGGCGGAGGTTGCAGTGAGCCAAGATCGCGCCACTGCCTTCCAGCCTGGGTGACAGAGTGAGAGTCCATCATAAAATAAAATAAAATAAAATAAAATAAAATAAAATAAAATAAAATGGCAGAGAGAGAACACGTGCTCAAATATAAATGTGTATATATATACATACATACATACATACATACATATATGCATGTATGTATGTGTGTGTATATATACATATATAGGGAGAGAGAGAGAGAGAGAGCGGGGGAGGGAGGGAGGAGGGAGACTTCAGAGGGGAAGGACAGGCGATGCAGCAGAGGCCATTGGCATCTCAGGGGCCACCCGCTGGTGCAGATGGTGACCAGACCCCCATGCCCTCTTGCCTGCTGGTGCTGTGTAGCCTCCACGGAACTTAAACCCACCCTGAAAAAGGCTAGGAGGAGCCAGATGGATTGAATTTCTTCCACCTGGCACAAAGGGAGCTTAAAATAAAAGTTACATTTTATAAAGTCTATGAAGTTCTATAAGATTTTACAAAGTTGATAAATTTTCTAAAGTTATAAAGAAATAAAATTCTGTTTCTTCCCTGCACCTCAATTTGTGCTCAAGGGCTCTGAAATCTCTAGATCTATACACACATCAATAGCTTTTCTCATATTCTAGCAACAGAGTAGAGAAAACAGGAAGAGAAAACAAAAAATATTCCAATCATAATACCACCGAAAGGAAAATGCCTAGGAATAAATTTAAGTAGAAAGGCACAGGACCTACAGAAAGAAAACCTTAAAATCTTATGAAAGACATAAAACAAAATGTGAACAAATGTAAAGGGATGTTCCTGCGTGGGAAGATCTTATATAGGGGTTAATATGTTAATTCTCCCTGAATTAAGTTGGGCGTGTGGTAGCTCATATCTGTAATTCCAACACTTTGGGGGGCCAAGGCAGGAGGATTGCTTGAGGCCAGGAGTTTGAGACCAGCCTGGGCAACATAGCGAGACTCTGTTTCCACAAAAAAATTTAAAAATAGCTGGGTGTGGTGGCAGTGGGAGGATCACTTGAGCCCAGGAGTTTGAGGCTGCAGTAAGCAATAATTACACCACTGCACTCCAACATGGGTAACACAGTGAGACCCTGTCTCTAAAAACAAAAACAAAACAAAACAAAACAAAACAAAATCTAAAAAGCAAACAAAAAATTTTCCCCAACAAAACAAAAAACTCCCAAAAAAACAACAAAAAAATTCTCCCCAAATTAAAATATAAGTATAATATAATTCTTTTGATCCAAGGTTTTAAAAATTGGCTAAAATAAAGATTATATGCAAGAATAAATGCTTGATGTGCTTATTTCACATTGCATGCCTGTATCAAAACATCTCAGGTACCCCATACATATATACACCTACTATGTACCCATAAAAATTAAAGATAAAAAATTTGAAATAAAATAAATGCTTGAGATCAGTCAAGAAAAGTGTGAGAATAAAGAAACATGGGAAAGGGACTTCTTTTTTTTTTTTTTTGAGATGGAGTCTCTCTGTGTTGCCCAGGCTGGAGTGCAGTGGCGCGATCTCGGCTTATTGCAACCTCTGCCTCCCGGGTTCATGCCATTCTCCTGCCTCAGCCTCCCGAGTAGCTGGGACTACAGGTGTCTGCCACCACGTCCAGCTAATTTTTTTTGCATTTTTAGTAGAGACGGGGCTTCACCATGTTGGCTAGGATGGTCTTGATCTCCTGACCTCGTGATCCACCCACCTTGGCCTCCCAAAGTGCTGGGATTACAGGTGTGAGCCACCGTGCCCAGCCAGAAAGGGGCTTATTTTTACTAGATATCAGAACATACTGCAAAACTACAGCATCAATATAATTTTAGCACAGGAATTGACAAATAAATAAATATACAAGTTGGATTAAACAGAGAATCCAGAAATAAATATCAATATATATGATAATTTAATAAATGTCAAAGATGATATTTTTATTATTTATTTATTTATTTAGAGATAGGGTCTTGCTCTGTCACCCAGGCTGGAGTGCAGTGACATGATCATAGCTTGCTGCAGCCTCAAATTTGGGCTCACACAATCCTCCCACATCAGCTTCTCAAGTAGCTGGGACTACTGGTGCTCGCCACCACACTCAGCTAAAGATGATAGTTTAATTCATTGGACTATTTGATGAATCCTTGGCATAATTTTCTATCTATCAGGAAGAAATAAAATTTATTTCTTATATCACACATGCATTAGTTTTATATGGCTGCATAGCAAAGTACCCCCAAAATTGCTGGCTTTAAACAACAGCAGTTCTTCTTCGGCAGGTTCTGTGGGTCAAGAATGTGGGCGTGGCTTAGCAGGGCCCAGCGCTGCAAGTCTAGTGAGGCTGCAATCAGGGTGTCTGTCTGGGCTGTACTCATCTTAAGGGTTGACTGGGGAAGGATTCACTTCCAGGCTCACTCTGTGGTTGATGGCAGGATTCATTTCTTTGTGGGCTGTTGGACTAAGGGCCTCAGTTCCTTAAGAGGTGTTGGTCCACCCTTGTTTGGTTCCTTGTCATGTGGGTCTGTCCAAAGGGCAGTGTATAACATTGCAAGTTAATTCATCAGAGAGAGAGAGAGAGAGAGAGAGATGAGAGAGAAAGCAGAGATGCTGGCAAGGTGGAAGTCACAGTCTTTTGTAACCTAATCTCAGAAATGATACCCTGTTAACATATTCTAAGCCCCCCTGCCCTTTTTTTTTTGAGACAGAGTCTGGCTCTGTTGCCCAGGCTGGAGTGCAGTGGTGTGATCTCAGCTCACTGCAACCCCTGCCTCCCAGGTTCAAGCGATTCTCATGCCTCAGTCTCCCAAGTAGCTGGGATTACAGGTGCACACCACCACACCTGGCTAACTTTTTGTATTTTTTTTTTTTTTTAGTAGACATGGAGTTTCACCCTGTTAGCCAGGCTGGTCTCAAACCCACCTCAAGTGATCCTCCTGCCTTGGCTTCCCAAAGTACTGGGATTACAGGCATGAGCTACTGCACCTGGCCTAACTTTGCTATATTCTATTTGTCAGAAGCCAGTTCCAGCCTCCACTCCAGGGAGGAGATGATACAAGGTCATGAATACCAGCAGGTGACAATCACTGGGGCCATCTTAGAAGCCTGCCTACCACAATACATAAAATACATTCTAATGGATTAAAGGTAAATATGAAAAATAAGACAATAAAGTTCTCTGAGGATGGTTTACAATATTACATGAACTATCTAGGAGCTAGGAGACGGGAAAATTTATTTTGTATTTTATAGTAAACTTTTTGTTGAAGTATAGCATACCTACAGAAGGTACAAAAATCACAGGTCCTATAGTGAACACATCTGTTTGACTGTGATTGTTTGTGTTCTGTTTTTTGTGCACAGATCAACAAACAGAACTTGAGCAACTCCCCCAGAAAGTTCCTTGTGCCCTGTTTCAAGAGTAACCTCTACCTGGACTTCTTACACCACAGATTATTTTTGTCTGTTTTTGATCTTTATATAAATGGAATCATACAGCATGTGCTCTTCAATGTCTGGCTTCCTTTTTAGTATTATTTTTGTGAGATGTGTAGCTGTAGTTCATTCTCATTGCAGTATAGCATTACTTTGTATGAATATGCCACAATTTATTTATTCATTCTAATTTTTTTTTAACTTTTATCCTAAGTTCAGGTGTACAAGTGCAGGTTTGTTCCATAAGTAAATTTGTGTCATGGGGGTTTGCTGTACAGATTATTTCATCACCCAGGTATTAAGCCTAGTACCTATTAGTTATTTTTCCTAAACCTTTGCCTCCTCCCACCCTCCACTGTTTCAGGAAGTCAGGGACCCCGAACGAAGGGACCAGCTGGAGCCGTGGCACAGGAACATAAATTGTGAAGATTTCATTTCAATAGGGACATATATCAGTTCCCCAAATTATACTGTTATAATTTATTATGCCTGTCTTTACTGCAATCTCTTAACATAAATTGTGAAGATTTCATTTTAATATGGACATTTATCAGTTCCCAAAATTAATACTTTTATAATTTCTTATGCCTCTCTTACTTCAATCTCTTAATCCTGTTATCTTCGTAAGCTGAGGATGTACGTCACCTCAGGACCACTATTGTGTTAACTGTACAAATGTATTGTAAAACATGTGTGTTTGAACAATATGAAATCAGTGCACCTTGAAAAAGAACAGAATAACAGTTGATTTTCAGGGAACAAGAGAAGACAACCATAGGGTCTGACTGCTTGTGGGGTTGGGCAGAATACAGCCATATTTTTCTTCTTGCAGAGAGGCTATAAATGGATGTGCAAGTAGGGAAGATATCGCTAAATTCTTTTCCCAGTAAGGAATATTAATAATTAATACCCTGGGGAAGGAATACATTCCTGGGGGGAGGTCTATAAAGGACCTCTCTGGGAGTGTCTGTCTTACGTGGTTGAGAGAAGGACTGAAATACGCCCTGGTCTCCTGCAGTACCCTCAGGCTTATTAGGGTGGGGAAAAACCCCATCCTGGTGATTTTGGGGTCAGACCGCTTCTCTGCTCTCGAACCCTGTTTTCTGTTAAGATGTTTATCAAGACAATATGTGCACAGCTGAACATAGACCCTTATCAGGAGTTTCTGATTTTGTCCTTGTCTTGTTTCCTCAGAAGCATGTGATCTTTGTTCTCCTTTTTGCCCTTTGAAGCATGTGATCTTTGTGACCTACTCTCTGTTTGTACACCCCCTCCCCTTTTGAAATTCTTAATAAAAACCTGCTGGTTTTGCGGCTCAGGTGGGCATCACGGTCCTACCGACACATAATGTCACCCCCGGAGGCCCAGCTGTAAAATTCCTCTCTTTCTACTCTTTCTCTTTATTTCTCAGCCAGCTGACACTTACGGAAAATAGAAAGAACCTACGTTGAAATGTTGGGGGCAGATTCCCCTGATACTCCACCCTCCAAAAGGCCCCAGTGTGTGTCATTCCCCTCTATCTGTTCTCACTTATAAGTGAGAACATGCAGTATTTGGTTTTCTGTTGCCGTGTTAGTTTGCTAAGGATAATGGCCTCCAGCTCCATCCATGTCCCTGCAAAGGACATGATCTTGTTCTTTTTTATGGCTGCACCATTGTAGTGTTGATGGGCATTAGTTTTTTTCCCCACCAGTTTTTGGCTTTTATGACTAGTTCTATGAATATTCTTGTACTATTTTATTTTATATTTTATTTTTAGAGATAAAGTCTCATTCTGTCACCCAGGCTGAAGTGCGGCAGGTCGATCATAGCTCACTGCAGCCTCCAACTCCTGGGCTCAAGTGATCCTCCTGCCTCAGCTTCCCAAACAGCTGGGACTACAGGTGCGTGCCACCACCATGCCTGGCTAATTATTTTATTGTTTTGTAGAGACAGAGGTCTCGCTATGTTGCCCAGGCTGGTCTCAAACTCCTGGCCTCAAGTGATCTTTCTGCTTCAGCCTCCTAAAGTGCTGGGATTACAGGCAGGAGCCACTGTGCCCGGCTGTACATGTCTGTACATGAACATATCTATGCATTTCTGTTGGGTATATACTTAGCAGCAAAATTTTTGGGTCATGGGAAATGTGTATGTTCTGCTTCAGAACATTTTGCCAAACAATTTTCTAAACTACCAGATTGCACTTGGTGGTGGTGGTGGGGAATTTCTTATGCAATATAGAAAATATAGAAGCTTTAAGAAAAAATGATACACATGATATATATAAAAATTTAAAACTTTAGAATAGACACCATAGACAAACATCAGATTAGAAAAAATATTGGCAACATGGAAGATAAGTAAAGGATTAACATCTATTATATACAAACTGTTCCTATAAATCGACAAGAAAAAGACAAACAACCAAAAAATATGCAAAGTCTATGAATAGGCTCTTACATAATATCAATTCCACACATGTGAAAATGTGCTCAAAATCACTAGCAGTCAGAGAAATGTAAAAACAAGATTAAAAAAGTAACAGCAAGTATATCACTTTATGCCCATAAATTTGCAAAAATTAAAAAGAAGTCTGCGGGAATAAAAGAATATTGAAAATTGCTGAAGCTGAGCCATGCGTTTTTGGAGGTTCATCATACTATTCTGTTTGCATTCAAAATGTTTGAAAATGTCCATAAGATAAAGAAAAGAAGAAAAAAATTAGCCGAGCTTGGTGGCGTGTGCCTGTAGTCCCAGCTACACAGGAGGCTGAAGCAGGAGGATCACTTGAATCCAGGAGTTTAAGGTTGCAGTGAGCTATGATTGCGTCACTACACTCCAGCCCGGACGACAGAGCAAGATATTGTCTAAAAAAAAATAAACAAATTAGTAAAAAGAACAAGAACAAGAAAAGGAAACCCAAACAAACAAAAAAGAAGGCTAAACCTATTGCAGTCAGAGAAGAGCACAGTCACACGTGGTACTAGTGGAAATGTAAATTGTTACAGACTTATTTGGTTATTTTGTTTTTGTTTTTTAAAAAATGTTTTGTAGAGATGGGGATCTTGCTATATTGTCCAGGCAAGAAACTCGAACTCCTGGCCTCAAGCAATACTCCTGCCTCAGCCAATACATAACTCCTTTGACCTGGAAACCCCACTCTCGGGGATAAAAATAAAAGCACCAGGTTTATAATGGTAGAAATATCAATGTGCTTACTGTAGCATTGTTCTTAGTGACAAACAAGTGGAAACAATGAAAGTATCCTTCAGTTGAGAAATAGCTGACTAAAGGCCATTGTGGATGGATCACTTGAGGCCAGGAGTTCGAGACCAGCCTGGCCAACATGCTGAAACCCTGTCGCTACTAAAACAAAAATCAAAACAAAATTAGCCAGGTGTGGTAGCGCACACCTGTAGTCTCAGCTATTTGGGAGGCTGAGGCAAGAATCACTTGAACCCGGAAGGCAGAAGTTGCAGTGAGCCGAGATTGCACTACTGCACTCCAGCCTGGGCAACAGAGTGAGATTCTGTCTCTAAATAAATAAATAAATAAGAAATAGTTGACTGAACTATATAACATCTGCAATTTGGAGTATTATGCAGCTATTAAAAATAATATATTAGAGGCCAGGCTCAGTGGCTCATGCCTGTAATCCCAGCACTTTGGGAGGCCAAGGTGGGCGGATCACCTGAGGTCAGGACTTCGAGACCAGCCTGGCCAATATGGTGAAACCCCGTCTCCACTAAAAATACAAAATTAGCCAGGTATGGTGGCTGGTGGCTGTAATCCCAGCTACTTGGGAGGCTGAGGCAGGAGAATTGCTTGAACCTGGGAGGCAGAAGTTGCAGTGAGCTGAGATCGTGCCACTGCAGTCCAGCCTGGGCAACAGAGTGAGATTCTGTCTCAAAAAGAATATATATATATATATATATATATATATATATATATATATATATACACACACACACACACACACACACACACACACACACACACACACACATATATATGAGGCTGGGCGTGGTGGCTCATGCCTATAATCCCAACACTTTGGGAGGCTGGGGAGAGAGGATTACTTGTGCCCAGGAGTTTGAGACCAGCCTAGGCAACACAGTGATACCCTGTCTCTACAAAAAATTTAAAAAATTAGCCAGGTGTGGTGGCATGCATCTGTGGTCCCAGTTACGTGGGAGGCTGAGGCAGGAGGATTGCTTGAGCCCAGGAGGTCAAGGCTGCAGTGAGCTGTGTTTGTGTTACTGCACTCCAGCCTGAGTGACAGAGCGAGTCCCTGTCTCAAAAAAAAAAAAAAAAATAGAGTTACAGTCATTGACTTGGAAGAATTTCTTTGAGTCACATTGAGAATTGCAAGATGAGAAAACAACCTTATAGGAACTTATTTTTGTAAAACTTTGCAATATGTTTGTAAGTTATTTTATATGAGCATGGAGAAAAATACAGAATGTAATATACTGGTTTGTTAACAGGGGTTTTGTGGTAGGCTGGAGGGAGTGTTATACTAATGAAGGAATAAAACCAGCAAAAAAGAAAGAAAAAAGCTACTAAAAAATAGAAAATACTCTCATTATGTATCCCATTTATATAAAGTTGGATGTATCTATGTGATATGCATGTATGCACTGATTTGCATATATGTCCTTGACCAAATGAAAGAGCTGTTTATATTATTATGCAGAAATGTTTTTTAAAAAACAACTTTGGGGACAGTGTCTCTCTCTGTCTCCCAGGCTCAAGTGTGCCCAGGCCGGTCTCGAGCTCCCAGCCTCAAGAAATCAGCAATCCTCCTGCCTCAGCCTCCCAAAGTGTTGGGATTACAGGCGTGAGCCACCACTCCTGGCCTGGAGCAGTTTTAATTCCCATGTTCACATACCCTGCCAGTTCTGCACATCATAAATTCAGTGGATTGGAATGTCTTTGGAAACAAAATGAGGGTCTTCCTTTTATCCTCCTCAAAAGAGTCACTGTTGCTGCACATATGTGATTTACTTAATTGCTAAGTAATTTTCAAGGAAGGTTTTCTTGTCTCCATTTCACAGATGAGCAAACTAAGTTTCATAGAGGTTAAGTAATTTGTCCAAGTTTACAAAGCTAGTAAGTGATGCGGCTGTGATTCAAACTTAGGTCTGTTGGACTCCTGAGTCTGCGAGCTTAATCTCTATGTTCTATTTCCTTCCTCCTATTTTCCCCTTGATGTTTTCCCATGGTTTGCTTCTTCTAGATCATGGTGGTGTGAACTAATGAGCCGATTAAGGTTTAGGCTTCAAATAAAGGAGCCATTGGTAAGCGGTCCTGTTGCCTGGGCAGAAACACTCCTTGGTGCTCATTTGGGCTATGCTAATGCACTGGCACGACACACTGGGTTTTTTGTTTTTTGTTTTTTTTTTTTTGAGACGGAGTTTCGCTCTTTTTGCCCAGACAGGAGTAGTGCAATGGCGCGATCTCGGCTCACTGCAACCTCCGCCTCCCGGGTTCAAGCGATTCTCCTGCCTCAGCCTCCCAAGTAGCTGGGATTACAGGAGCCCGCCACCACGCTCGGCCAATTTTTTTTGTATTTTTAGTAGAGACGGGGTTTTACCTTGTTGGCCGGGCTGGTCTTGAACCTCCTGACCTCATGATCCGCCCGCCTCGGCCTCCCAAAGTGCTGGGATTACAGGCGTGAGCCACTGCGCCTGGCCTGTTGTTTTTTTGAGACGGAGTTTCACTCTTGTTGCCCAGGCTGCAGTGCAATGGCGCGATCTCGGCTCACTGCAACCTCCGCCTCCCAAGTTCAAGCGATTCTTCTGCCTCAGCCTCCCGATACAGATGGCCGCCACCACGCCCGACTAATTTTTCTTTTTTTGTATTTTTAGTAGAGACGGGGTTTCACCATGTTAGCCAGGCTGGTCTTGAACTCCTGACCTCAGGTGATCCGCCCGCCTCGGCCTCCCAAAGTGCTGGGATTACAGGCATGAGCCACCGCTCCCGGCCCACACTGGGGTTTAAGGCCAAAGCTGGTCCCTTTATCTCCCCCAGGGAACCTCGTGGCCTCATATCTCCTCCAAGAGCTCACCCACGCACAGAGCTCAGTCATTTCACTTTCTCCTCCCAGCCCCGGGCATGAGTAACCATCTCCTTAACGTCGGAAGAAGGCCAGAAGTCCTGCGGGACTGGGTTTCAGAGGCGGAGTCCTGCAGATTTCTGTTTTGCCTCACGAGAGGCCTCTAATGGTAACATTTCAAACTGCAGGCTCATGATTCCATTGGAATGACAAAAGCAAGCCAAGGGTTCCAAGCTGTTGCAAGTATTGGTTACCCACGGAGAAGGGAGAGTGGGGAAGAAACAGGGTAGTAACTCGGCGGAGGCTTGAGGGAGGCTCCTGGGGGATCTAACTGCATTATGTTTCTTGATACAGATGCAGGGGGCATGAACACTTTATTGACTGATTGATTTAAAGACAGTTGCATTCTGCCGTCCAGACTGGAGTGCAGTGGCGCGATCTTGTCTTACTGCAACCTTCACCTCCCCGGTTCAAACGATCCTCCCATCTCAGCCTCCCAAGTCCAGTAGCTGGGACTACAGGCGCATGCCACCCTGTCCAGACATCATTAACAATTAACGTATACACACTTACAATTAAATACATTATATTAAAGACAAAAGTAATAAATACTCAAAATATATTTTCTAATTCTTTTACTGTTGCTTCTGAGCACACTTGGGATTCTTTCTATCTATGGTATCTGTATGGTGGAAATACTATTACTATGTAATGGTGGGTTACACAGAATCATATCCCAACTCCATTCCAGTGACATCACATTACCATTTTGGAATCAGTTATGGTGCAAGTATTTCTGCCGTGGAAGTCAGCAGATGCTACAAGTTGGGGCTTGATTTATATTTTGTTGACCCCCTAAACTTTTTTTTTTTTTTTTTTTTTGAGACAGGGTCTCACTCTGTCTCCCAGGCTGGAGTGCAGTGGCGCTATCTTGGCTCACTACAACCTCCGCCTCCTGGGTTCAAGCGATTCTCCTGCCTCAGCCTCCTGAGTAGCTGGAATTACAGGCATGCACCATTACGCCTGGCTAATTTTTGTATTTTCAGTAGAGACGGGGTTTCACCATGTTGGCCAGGCTGGTCTTGAATTCTTGACCTCAGGTGATCCTCCCGCCTCGGCCTCCCAAAGTGCTGGGATTACAGGCATGAGCCACCGCACCCGGCCGAAAATATTTTTTAGAAGTGTTGTGTCTGTTAATGACAAAAAATCAAGGAAATATTCTCCTTGTGTTTGAAATCTATTATCTGATTCAACAAAGAATTTCCTTTTGTCATTGAAAAATGAGTAAAGTTCCAAAAAAATCTTCTTTTCATTTTTCTCTTCCTAGTTGTTTATGTAAACAAAAATATCAACAAATATGCATGTCAGAGCTACACTTGCAGAGCCAGTTGTTAAAAGTCTACTAGTACATCATAAGTGATACTCAAATAAAAGGTTAAAAACCAATGAAGAAGCGGATACATGGATTTATGCCCTTATGGTAAAAATATGAGGGATTTCATACACAATGCTTTTGTTTAATTTTCTTAATAAAATATACAAACATTGAAAAGAAAACCTGGCTGGGTGTAGTGGATCATGCCTGTAATCCCAGCACTTTGGGAGGCTGAGGCAGGTGGACTGCTTGAGCCCAGGCATTCGAGACCAGCCTGGGCAACACAGTGAGACCTCCACTCTACAAAAAATCAAACCATGGTTCTACATGTCTGTGGTCTCACCTACTCGGGAGGCTAAGGCGGGAGGATTGCTTGAGCCCAGGCAGTCGAGGCTGCAGTGAGCTGTGATCACACCACTGCACACCAACTTGGGTGACAGAGATCTTGCCGCAAAAGAAAAGAAAAAGAAAACCTAATTACTAAAACAAGCAAAACCTTGCATCTCAGCCTCAAGCTTGCTGAGCAACCACCCCATTGAGCAGAATCTCTGCAGAGTCAAATAAGTTGCCTTGCGTAGTAGACACAGTGGGATCCCACCCCCATTTCCCAGCTGCAGTGAGTGTTGGCTGTTTACAGCCCATAGCCGTCTCCCTTCCTCAGAACATTGCCCTGGGATGATGCAAGCTGCCTCTCCTGGAAGCTACCCAATCCTGTGGTCCTCAGAAAAGCCCCGCCCCTGTTCTCCAGGAAGAACCTTTCTGCACTATAGCCTATGCCCTACAAACCCTCACTGATCAGACCAAGGCTAGACTTTTCCTGAGACCACATCTTTGCTCCATCTCTCTCCCTGCCTCACCCTGTTTCCCTTTTCTCCCTTATATTTGTTTCCAGAAGAAATAAATGAATAAACCCTATGCATCGGAAGCCCTATCTCAGGCTTTGCTTCCAGAGGAATCAAGCTAAAATACCCTGGTTTGGCGGGATGTGGTGCCTCATGCCTGTAATCCCAGCACTTTGGGAGGCCAAGGTGGATGGATCACTTGAGGTCAGGAGTTTGAGACTAGCCTGGCCAACATGGCGAAACCCCATCTCTATTAAAAATACAAAAATTAGGCTGGGTGCAGTGACTCATGCCTGTAATCCCAGCACTTTGAGAGGCCGAGGCGGGTGGATCACGAGGTCAGAGGTTCGACACCAGCCTGGGCAACATGGAGAAACCCCGTCTCTACTAAAAATACAGAAATTAGCTGGGTGTGGTGGCGTGTGCCTGTAATCCCAGTTACTCAGGAGGCTGAGGTAGGAGAATTGCTTGAACTCAGGAGGCAGAGGTTGCAGTGAGCCAAATCGTGCCATTGCACTCCAGCCTGGGCGACAAGAGCAAGATTCTGTCTCAAAAAAAAAAAAAAATTAGCTTGGCATGGTGGCGGGCACCTGTAATCCCAGCTACTCAGGAGGCTGAGGCGGGACAATTGCTTGAACCCAGGAGGTGGAGATTGCAGTGAGCTGAGATCGCACCACTGTGCTTGAGCCTGGGCAACAGAGCGAGACTCCATCTCAAAAAATAAAAGTAAAGATAAAATAAAATAAAATAAAAAAAATGTCCTGGATGCCCAGGCTTTGAGAAGAAAACCTAGGAGCATCAAACAACTTCCTGAGCTTGAGCTTGTACTTGAGAATAAGCTTTTATCTCAAGTGGGCTAAATTTCTGCAAATCATTTCTCTTCTGGCTAATGAGGGCTGGGAGTTGTTTCTGGTGCACAGCCTGGGAACTTATTACAAATTCCTGGTCCCACCCCAGATCTATTGAGTCAGGAACCAGCCATTTGTGCCTTAGCAAATCCTCCAGGCCATTCTGATGCATCCTAGAGTTGGAGAACTACCAGTCTAAGTGTGATAAAATATTATTCTCTGAGTGGGGAGATGCAACACCCAGGGAACAGACTTATCCCTCCACCTCTCCCCTAGAACAAGGGGGTTAACTTCTTGATGGAGGATTTCTCCCAGTTCACAGGTGGGGAAATGAGGACAATTGGCATCTTGGAAAAACCAAAAGCAAGAAAGCTTTCCCTCTTTTCTTTTTTTAAAAATAATATTTATTACCCTACATGGTTTCTCCTCTCTCTCTCTCTCTTTTTTTTTTTTTTTTTTTGAGACAGTCTCACTCTGTCACCCAGGCTGGAGTGCAGTGGTATGTATCTTGGCTCACTGCAACCTCTGCCTCTTGGGTTCAAGTGATTCTCCCACCTCAGCCTCCCCGGTAGCTGGGATTACAGGTACAAACCACCACATCCAGTTAATTTTTGTATTTTTAGTAGAGACAGGGTTTCACTATGTTGGCCAGGTTGGTCTTTAACTCCTGACCTCAAGTGATCTGCCCGCCTCCACCTCCCAAAGTGCTGGGATTACAGGCATGAGCCACTATGCCTGGCTTTTTTTTTTTTTCCTTCTATCTCTCCATCTATACACTTTTCCTTAGCTGACAATAGCAACATTATTTTAGACTTTGAGATCTTGAATCTTGCTCTTGGGTTGGGAAATGCTACTTTAAGAAAGAATCAGTGCTTTGATTTTAACTAGCTGCAATGGTCATCTTTGGTTCTGATATTTGCTTGTATTTTCTAAATTTGGGGGTGTGTAACTGGTCCTGAGATATCCTTGTGAGTTCTGTTGACTTCTAGAATTTTGGAAAGGTGAGACATGCTGAACTGAATAACCCAATTCTACAGGCCTCGAAGGACTCACATGATCCACCGACCTATCTGAATGAGCTCTTTCAGTCTATCAAGATGGGCCAGGTGCAGTGTCTCATGTCTGTAATCCCAGCACTTTGGGAAGTCAAGGTGGGAGGATCGCTTGAGCCCAGGAGTTCAAGACCAGCCTGGGCAACAAAGCAAGATCTCATCTCTGCTAAAAAAAAAAAAAAAAGACTGAGCATGGAGGTACACACCTGTGGTCCCAGCTACTCAGGAGGTTGAGGTGGGAGGATTGCTTGAGCTGGGGAGGTTAAGACTGAAGTGAGGACTATGATCACCACTGCACTCCAGCCTGGGCAACAGAGTGAGACCCTGTTTCAAAAAAAAAAAAAAAATGAGATGGCGAAGAATGACAGAGGGTAGAGAAGAATAATATAACAGGCGAAGTGTGGTGGCTCATGCCTGTAATCCCAGCACTTTGGGAGGCCGAGGGGGTGGATCACCTGAGGTCAGGAGGTTGAGACCAGCCTGGCCAATATGGCAAAACCCTGTCGCTACTAAAAATACAAAAATTAGCCGGGTATGGTGGTGCATGCCTGTAATCCCAGGTACTTGAGAGGCTGAGGTGGGAGAATCGTTTGAACCCAGGAGATGGAGGCTGCAGTGAGCTGAAATTGTGCCACTGCACTCCAGCCTAGATGACAAAGTGAGACACCGTCTCAAAAAAAAGAAAAATGCCCCAAAACCCAAAACAAAAACAATAACAGTAACAATAATAACAGTAAAGATACAGGGCGTTTCCTATGGGCCAGGCACTGTACAAAGAGCCTTGCATACATAGTGTCATATATTTCTCACAACAATCCTACAAGGTAACTACTACTATTATCCCCATTTCATCTATGACCAAATTGAGTCACAGAAAAGGTTCGGAGAAGTTTAGAGTTAACTTTCCCTAGACACACAACTTGTAAGCTAAATTATAGAAACAGGTGCAGGGTGCGGTGGCTTATGCCTGTAATCCCAGCACTTGGGAGGCTGAGGCAGGCAGATCACGAGGTCAGGAGATCAAAACCATCCTGGCCAACACGGTGAAACCCCGTCTCTACTAAAAATACTAAAATTAGCTGGGTGTGGTGTCGTGCGCCTGTAATCCCAGCTACTTGGGAGGCTGAGGCAGGAGAATCACTTGAACCTGGGAGGCGGAGATTGAAGTGAGCCAAGATAGGGCATCTGCACTCCAGCCTGGTGACAGGGCCAAGACTCCATCTCAAACAAACAAACAAACAAGCAAACAAACAAAAAAATAAATTATAGAACCAGGCAGGCCAGTCTCAAAAACAACAACAACAACAACAACAACAACAACAACAACAACAACAACAAAACCAGGGCCAGGCATGGTAGCTCACACCTGTAATCCCAGCACTTTGGGAGCCCGAGGGGGAGGATTGCCTGAGCCCAGTAGTTCAAGACCAGCCTAGGCGACATGGTGAGACCCTGTGTCTAAGAAGAAAAATAAATAAATAAATAAAATAAAGAGCCAGACTTTGAACCTTGGTGATCTGACTTCAAATCTGAAGTTCTTAACCTCTGTGCTATATTGCATTTCAGAGAAAATCCTTTGGACATGTTTTTGTTTTGTTTTGTTTTCTTTTCTTTTCATTTCCTTAGGATGGAATGATTTGGCTGTGAGTTTTAGATTTCGGTGGAAGCACGAAACTGATGATAATAGTGGTAACATTTGCAGGGTGGTGGCTTATTTCGGATCATGGAACTGTCTACTTAGGCTCTGGGATTATCCTGGGTGCATTGCCTAATCCTGCAGACTAGATCCCAGGTGTGGGTGGATCCCCTCATAGAACATTATTTGAAATGGGAACTGGATTGGAGGTGAGTTCTTGGCTGTGTGTCATAGTGTGGCTGAAACTGAAGCAATGAGCTCACTCACTTTAGAAGTCTTTGGAAGCAACAATAAAGATGGCCGGGCACAGTAGCTCACACCTGTAATCCCAGCACTTTGGGAGGCCGAGGCAGGCAGATCACCTGAGGTCAGGAGTTCAAGACCAGCCTGGCCAACATGGGGAAACCCCGTCACTACCAAAAATACAAAAATTAGCCCGGCGTGGTGGTGGGCACCTGTAATCCCAGCTACTTGGGAGTCTGAGTTAGGAGACTGGCGTGAACCTGGGAGGCGGAGGTTGCATTGAGCCAAGATTGTGCCACTGCACTTCAGCCTGGCCGACAGAGTGAGACTCCATCTGAAAACGAAACAAAACAAAACAAAACAAAAAAACCCAGTAAAGAGACACTCGTAAGGTCCTCAAGGGTCTGCCCGTGGGTTTTGTCAGAACTCACAGTAGCTCTCCAGACTACAGTCAGAATAGTTCTATTCTGGCAATTCTCCCTTGCAACTCTGGCTCTCTGGCTCTCTGGCTGACAAGAGGTTTGGCTTTTGTTTTGTTTGTTTTGAGACAGGGTCTTGTTCTGTCGCCCAGGCTGGAGCGCAGTGGCGCTGTCTTGGCTCACTGCAATCTCTGCCTCCTGGATTCAGGCGATTCTCTTGCCTCATCCCCCCACATAGCTGAGATTACAGGCCCATGCCATCCCGCCTTGCTAATTTTTGTATTTTTAGTGGAGACGGGGTTTCGCCATGTTGGCTAGGCTGGTCTTGAACCCCTGACCTCAAGTGATCCACCTGCCTTGGCCTCCCAAAGTGCTGAGATTACAGGCGTGAGCCACCGTGCTCAGCCTTGCTTTGTTTTTTTGAGACAGGGTCTCGCTTTGTCCCACAGGCTGGAGTGCAGTGGGATGATCACACCTCACTCCAGCCTAGACCTCCTGGGCTCAAACCATACTCCCGCCTCAGCCTCCCGAGTAGCTGAGACTATAGGTGCACACCACCACGGCCGGCTAATTTTCGTATGTTTTTTTAGTAGAGACAGGTCTTGCTATGTTGCCCAGGCTGATCTTGAACTCCTGGGCTCAAGCAATCCTCCCACCTCGGCCTCCCAAAGTGCTGGGATTACAGGCATCAGCCACCATGCCTGGCTAGAGGCTTAGTGTTAAGTCTTTTATTTACCTGGAGAAAGTGTGAAGAGGAATGTTGGCCTCTAGGGAAGACCCCTTTCCATCCGTGGCCTCCTGAGGGGCCATTCAAGGTGTTAGGGAAAGTTTGGACTCTGGCTTGATGGTTTCGTTTTTGTTTTTTCTCTTTCACAGCTTTGAATGGTTCCTCTCTTCTCTCTCGAGGCTGGTGTGGCAGAAAGATCTGGGGCTGTTTCCTGCTATGTGTGTGTGTGTGTGCGTGTGTGTGTGTGTGTGGTTCAGAAGGGTTTGGTTCTAAGTAGATCTTTGGAAAATCTTTCCTCATTAAATTGGTGACATTAACCCAGAGGAGCCAATTAAAGGCCTAATGCAAAACCTACTTCCAGCGGGGGGCAGTAGAGTGTAGCAGTTAAACATGTGGGCTTCGCTTCTGTATTTGGGTTTGAAACTGGCTTCAACCAGTAGTTGCCACGCATTTGTGATTACACGCCTCTTTCAGTGAGAAATTTTTGAACCTGCACCCTCAAATATATATATATATATATATATATATATATATATATATATATATATATATATATATATATAATTATTTATAAGTTGTACGCATAATTCTGGTCCTATTTGTTATATCATAAAACATAATAAAATTGAAATTAAGAATGAAAAAATAAAATGAACTCTTAAAATGCTTTATCGAGGCATAATTGACAATGAATTGCACATATAAAAGAGCATGATTTGAGAAGTTTTGATATATATATACACATACACACACACACCTATGAAACCATGACACAATCAAGATAGTGAACACACCCATCAGACCCAAAGGTTTTCTTTGCCTCTCTGTAACTACTCCTCACCTGTTTCTGCTCTTCTATCCCTGAGTAACCACCAATCCGCTTTCTGTCACTATAAATTAGTTTGCATTTTGTAGAGTTTTGTATAAATGGCATTGTACACTATGGATTATTTTCTTGTCTGGCTTCTTTCACTCGGCATAATTATTTTGAGTTTCAAGCTAATTATGGATGAAATTAAGGATGAAATAATGATGGAGTTAATTATTAAAAATACTGTTTTATTTTGTTTGTTTGTTAATGGTAGAAAATATTTGTGCTTTCAAATTGTAGATTTTTTTTTTTTTTCAATTTGAGATACAGTCTTGCCCTGTTGCCCAGGCTGGTGTGATCATGGCTCACTGCAGCCTCGACCTCCCAGGCTCAAGTGAATCCTCCCACCTCAGCCTCCCAAGTAGCTGGGACAACAGGCAAGTTCCACCAAGCTCCGCTAATTTTTAAAGTTTTTTTTTTTTTTTTTTATACAGATGGAGGTCTTGCTATGTTGCCCACACTGGTCTCAAACTCCTGGACCCAAGTGATCCTTCCACCTCAGCCTCCCAAAGTCCTGGGATTACAGACATGAGCCACCACACCCAGCATATAGAGATTTGTCTTTATGTCCTGGATACTAGTTTTTTTCTTTTACATTAGATTGAATTTTTTTAATTTAATTTTTTTTTGATGGAGTCTTGTTCTGTTGCCAGGCTGGAGTGCAGTGGCACAATCTCAGCTCATTGCAACCTCTGCCTCCCAGGTTCAAGTGATTCTCCTGCCTCAGCCTCCCGAGTAGCTGGGATTACAGGCACCCACCACCACACCCAGTTAATTTTTGTATTTTTAGTAGAGACGGGGTTTCACCATGTTGGCCAGGCTGGTCTCGATCTCCTGACCTTGTGATTCACCCGCCTCTACCTCCTAAAGTGCTGGGATTACAGGCGTGAGCCACCGCGCCTGGCCTAATTTAATTTCTGAGTAAGTAATACATTCACATGGTTTCAAACCTAACCATATAAAAACATACAAAGTGTGAACTCTCTCTAACTGTTGCTCCCTATTCATCTAAATGCACCATGCCCTCCCACATTCCTAAATAAGTTTCTTAGGCATCTTCTGGATTTATTTATGCAAATATATACACATATGTATGTATATATAGATATGTACTTTCTTGGTATTCTCTGGTTTTTTTGTTTTTTATTTTTTTGAGATGGAGTCTCACTGTGTCACCCAGGCTGCAGTGCAGTGGTGCGATCTCGGGTAACTGTAGCCTTTGCCTCCCATGCTCAAGTGATTCTCCTGCCTCAGCCTCCCGAGTAGCTGGGATTACAAGTGTGCACCACCACACCCAGCTAATTTTTGTATTTTTAGTAGAGACAGGGTTTCACCATGTTGTCCAGGCTGGTCGTGAACTCCTGACCTCAAGTGATCCACCTGCCCTGGCCTCCCAAAGTGCTGGGAATACAGGCATGAGCCACTGCTCCTGGCCACATTCTGTTGTATTTTTAACAGAAAAGATAGCATATTATTCACAATCATGCATATTGTTCTACAACTAGCTTTTTCATGTGACATATCTTGGAGATCTTCCTATATGAGTTTGTAGAAAGGTTTCTCCCTTCCTTCTTTCTTGCCTTCCTCTCCTTCCTTCCTTCCTTTCTTCCTTCCATCCTTCCTTCCCTCCTTCCATCCTTCCTTCCTTCCTTCCCTCCTTCCTTCCCTCCTTCCTTCCTTCCTTCCTTCCTTCCTTCCTTCCTTCCTTCCTTCCTTCCTTCCTTCCTTCCTTCCCTCCTTCCCTCCCTCCCTCTCTCCCTCCCTCCCTCCATCCCTCCCTCCCTCCCTCCCTCCCTCCCTTCCTTCCTTCCTTCTTTCCTTCTTCTCTCTCCTTCCCTCTTTCTTACAGCTTCATTTTATTTCATGGTACTGTACTTTATTTAACCTGATGGACACTTGGATGGTTTCTGTTTCCTTTTTTTTCTTTTTTTTGGCTAGGTAAAAAACCAATTTTGCATCAGATAACCTTGTGCACATATCATTTTACAAACATGCGAGTGTTTCTGTAGGGTTAATTCTTAGAAGTTGGATTGCTGAGTCTAGGAGTCCATATAATATATTTGGGATTTTAATGGATAGTATCCACATGACCTCTGCAGGAGTTATACCAATGAACACAACCCTCTACAGGGAGAAACTGAAATGAGAGTGCCTAGGTCCTGAGAGCCTCACCACCAGTATATTTTTCCAACTTCAGAATTCTTTTTTCTATTCTCAGAAATTAAAAATGGTATCTCCGTGTAATTTTAATTTGTGTTTCTCTTAAGGCTGAAGTCAAATTAGATGCTTAGTTTTATGTATGTATGTATGTATGTATGTATGTATGTATATATGTATGTATGTATGTATGAATTTGTTTACTTATTTATTTTTGAGACAGTCTTGCTCTATCACCCAGGCTGGAGTGCGTTAGTGCAATCTCGGCTCACTGCTTCTGGTTTCAAGTGATTCTCGTGCCTCAGCCTCCTGAGTAGTTGGGATTATAGGCGTGTGCCACCACATCCAGCTAATTTTTTGTATTTTTAGTAGAGACAGGGTTTTTCTATGTTGGCCAGGCTGGTCTTGAACTCCTGGACTCCGCTGATTGGACCAGGCGTGGACACTTGATCCCAGCTAAGCCAAGTAGATCTATTCTCTTTAAAATCTGAATTGATGGCGAGCGGGTTTGGGAACCCTGGAGTGGTAAGATACTGTAGGATCTGGGTCAGAGTTGATGCTGTGGAACCCAAAGTCAAGGGCAACTCTGTTTTTTTTTAGGAGATGGGATCTCACTGTTGCCCAGTCTGTTCTCAAACTCCTAGCCTTGAGGGATTCTCCTGCCTCGGCTTCCCAAAGTACTGGGCTCACAGGCATGAACCACTGCACCCAGGCACTAAGTCAAGGGCAAGTCCAAGTTACGGAGGAGACGGACTGTGGGAGCCTTTTAGAGGACACTGACTTACAGAGAAAAAAGAGAAATACCCAGAAAGAGAGAAGCAGAGAGGGAGATGATCTGCACCCAAAGACAGACAGACAGAGAGAGAGAGAACAAGAGAGAGCCAGAGTGCCAGGTAGCTGGTTAGCTGAACTTCTTGCTCTAGGTTTCCATGAAATTCCTCTGATCCTTATACTAAAATACGTTCTTTATAATGTATTTCATTTCCTTCAACAAATCCCCAGCATTTGGATGAGAAATATATAGAATGCATGCATATACATTGCTGGTGGAAGTGTAAAATCATATAAATACTTTGGAAAACAGTTGGGCATTATCTCTTCAAGTTGAATATAGCCACCCTCCATATCTGTGGGTTCTGTATCTGTGGTTTCAACCAACCTTGGATTGAAAATATTCGGGAGAAAAACTCATAAAAAATAACAATACAACAATAAAAAATAATACCAAGAGGGCAGGCGTGGTGGCTCATACCTGTAATCCCAGCACTTTGGGAGGCCAAGGTGGGTGGATCACTTGAGGTCAGGAGTTCGAAACGAGCCTGGCCAACATGGTGAAACCCCGTCTCTACTAAAAATACAAAAATTATCTGGGCATGGTGGCTAATGCTTGTAATTCCAGTTACTTGAGAGGCTGAGGCTGGAGAATCGCTTGAACCTGGGAGGGGAGGCCTCAGTAAGCCAAGATCATGCCACTACACTCAAGTGACAGAGCGAGACTCTGTCTTTAAAAAACAAACAAACAAGCAGTCAACATAAGAATGTGCTTTTTTTTTTTTTTTTTTTTTTTTGACAGTCACCCTGTGACACTCACTCTGTCACCCAGGCTGGAGTGCAGTGATGTGAACATAGCTCACTGTAACCTTGAACTCCTGGGCTCAAGGACTCAAGCAATCCTTTCAGCTCAGCCTCCCTAGTCACTGGAACTACAGGTACACCACCATGCCTGGTCATTTTTAGATTTTTTTGTATAGATGGGGTCTCACTATGTTGCCTGGGCTGTTCTTGAACTCCTTGAACTTAAGGGATCTTCCTGCTTTGGCCTCCCAAAGTGCTGGGATTACAAGTGTGAGCCACCATGCTTGGTCTAAAATATGCACTTCTAAGGAATACATATAAAATGAACTAAACATAAATAGGAAAGCAAGAGAATGATGAATATGGGATTCAGAACGATGGCTCCCTACTTGGGGAAACCATGTGGTTAGAGGTTGGCTACTGCTAAGTTCCTAGCTTTTGTTTTTAGTGAGTGGTTTTGCGGATGCTGAATACCTTATTAAAAACTGCTAACTAACAACATAAAGGCAGGCCATACACGAAACACTGATAAGAGTATGCCTTGAGCCAAGGGTATTCATTATCATGAATAATCCAATTCTACGAACCTGATGTTCAAACAGAAAAAGAAATATAAAGGAGAGTGACTTTTAACAATCTTTAATAAATTTTATTACTGGTTAAAGGTACAAAAATGTTGACATGTGTTAACTCTTATATCCTCTTCTCCAATTTTATATTTTATGATGGTTACTACTAAAAAGCAATGCAGGCTGAGAGAAGTGGCTCACCCCTGTAATCCCAGCGCTTTGGGAGGCTAAGGTGGGCGGATCACTTAAGGTCAAGAGTTAGAGACCAGCCTGGCCAACATGGTGAAACCCCATCTCTACTGAAAATACAAAAACTAGTGGGGCATGGTGGTGCACCTGTAGTCCTGGCTACTCAGGAGGCTGAGGCAGGAGAATTGTTTGAACCCAGGAGATGGAGGTTGCAGTGAGTTGAGATCATGCCATTGCACTCCAGCCTGGGCAACAGAGCAAGACTCTGTCTCACAAAAAAAAAAAAAAAAAAAAAAAAAGAAAAAAAAACCCAACGCAGAGTGGTATCAAACAATAGCCATAGTAACAGCTTTCGTTTTTTAGTGCATGCTGTGTACCAGATGCTGTGATAAGCCAATCACAGGCATTTATGTCATTTACTCCTGAACACATTCTTAGGTACCAGCTACTATTTTTCCCCTCCATTTACAATACCGTTAAGGAAACTAAAGTTCAGAGAGATTTAGTGAATTGCCTTAGGCTACATGACATATGGGCCAACACCCCATTAATTACACTTTTTTTTTTTTGAGACAATCTTGCTCTGTTGCCCAGGTTGGGGTGTAGTGGCATGATCTTGGCTCACTGCAACCTCTGCCTCCTGGGTTTAAGCGAATCTCGTGCTTCAGCCTCCCAGATAGCTGGGATTACAGGTGCACACCACCACGCCCAGCTAATTTTTGTATTTTTAGTAGAGACGAGGTTTCACCATGTTGGCCAGGCTGGTCTTGAACTCCTGATCTCAAGTGATCCGCCTGCCTCAGCTTCCCAAAGTGTTGGGATTACAGGCGTGAGCCACCACTCCCAGCCAATTACAGACAATTAATATAACAATTATGTGCAACATGCAAACGTCTTTTTTTTCTTTCTTTCTTTCTTTTGTTTTTGTGAGATGGAGTCTTGCTCTCTTGCCAGGCTGGAGTGCAGTGGTAGGAATCTCCACTTGCTGCAACCTCCACCTCCCAGGTTCAAGTGATTCTCCTGCCTCAGCCTCCCCAGTACTGGTATTACAGGCGTGTGCCACCATCCCGGCAGCATTGTGTTTTTCATACAGATGGGGTTTCACCATGTTGGCCAGGCTGGTCTCGAACTCCTGACCTCAGGTGATCCATCCACCTTGACCTCCCAAAATGCTGGGATTACAGGTGTGAGCCACCACGCTTGGCTGGAAACATCTTTTTTATCCTCAAATACCATTTAGAATCAATACAACTCAATTTGTAATCCTATTCTGCCCTCCCCCACCAAAAAAAAAAAAGATAAATTCCATCCCTATCTCTGTAGAACAAAAATGTACCTGTCGTACCTGGGGTGATCCCTTATTGATATCAAAGGTTTTTAGGTGTCTTTTCAGTTTCCCTGTCAAGGCACATTGGGAAATTCATGCCTGAATCTCTAGTAACATCTGTCTTGCCAGGAGTCAGCCAAGTGTGCCTGCCAAACCCTGCCTGCTGCCTGTTTTTGTGTGGTCTGTGGGCTAAGATAGTTTTTGCATTTTTTAATGATCAGAAAAAACCAAAAGGAGAATGGTATTTTGTGACATGTGAGAATTATATGAAATTCAGATTTCAGGGTCTGTAAATAAAGTTGTGTTGGAACTCTTATTCCTTTGTCTATTGTCTATGCTACTTTTGCCCTGCAGAGCAGAGCTGAGTAGATGTAATACAGACCGTACAGCCTGCAAAATTAAAATATTTACTATCTGTCCCTTTGCAGAAAATGTTGGCTGATCCCTGTCTTATACTAACAAATTCACACATAGTAGCATATCCATTGCAAAATAACTTCAAGTTTAATTTTTTTTTTTTTGCTGTTGTTGAGATAATTGCCATTTGTTTTGTGCCAGGGTTAGAGACATTGAGTACTTTTGGAGGAGATTCTTGGAGTGAACATTTTTTTCTTCCCAAAGAACTAACAAATGCCAGTTTGTGAAAACCATATAGTCACCATAACATTGTGGAATGTTGATAGTTGGTTTTGTTTCTAATGCAAATTGTTGTATCTATTTTTTTTTTTTAAGAGACAGGATTTCGCTCTGTCACCCAGGCCGGAGTGCAGTAGCACGATCACATCTCACTGCAGCCTTGACCTCCTGGGCTCAAGTGATCCTCCCACTTCAGCCTCCCAAGTAGCTGGGACTACAGGTGCACACCACCACGCCCAGCTAATTTTTAAACATTTTTTGTACAGATGAGGTCTTGCTATGTTACCCAGGCTGGCCTTGAATTCCTGGCCTCAAGCAATCCTCCCTCCTTGGCCTCCCAAAGTGCTGGGACTACAGGTGTGAGCCACCACACCAGGCTCATATCCCAGCTCTTAAGATGGTGCCTGGCATAGAGTAGGTGCTCAGTAAATCTTTGTTGAATAAATGAATGACTGAATATATTTAGTGTCTACCTCCTCCATTGGACTCAGCTCTATGGGTCTGGGACTGTGTGTCTTTTGTTTACTGCTCTAATCTCAGCATCCAGCACATGTTTCTCAAATGAGTAAGTAGAAAGAACAGAGTTGAGGACCTGCCCTTTACGTCCACCAGAGGATGGCGACATAGTTGGTTTTTCTCCTTTCCATCCTCTCACTCCTCCTCCCTTTCCCCATCCCTTTTGTTCTTCTCTTCCACTCCGCTTCTTTCCCCACCCTTTTTCTTTTCCTGCAGGGGATGACCTGGTTTTAGTTTTTAGTCTTGCTGCTAATTGCCGCTGTCTCTGAACCCTTTGACTCAGCCTCTGATTTAATTGGTCTGAGATTGGGTCCCCATATCTCGTATTTTTTAAACATACCAGGTGATTCTCATGTTGCACATTTTTCTTGCTCATGATTGCTTTTTGCATGAGCATGTAAGGAAATCTCCGCAAATGAGGGAAAAGGGGAGGTCTTTTGGGAGAGACTTCTGGAAAAGATTCCTTTCTCATAGGAGGCATCCCTATATATTTTACTGTCTGTTTTTGTTTTTTTTTTTGATGGAGTCTTTCTCTGTGGCCAGGCTGGAGTGCAGTGGCGCGATGTCAGCTCACTGCAAACTCTGTCCCCCGGGTTCAAGTGTCCAAGTCTCCCGAGTAACTGGGATTACAGGTGCCTGCCACCACGCTGTTCTGTGTGGGAAACGCACAAAGGGAAAAGAAAAGACACACACACTACCTTTAAGGGTAAACAACCTTTACCCCACGTGAATGGCAATGGAGATATAATAAGCAAATGATATAATAAGCAAATTGATATAATAAGCAAATTGCAATGGGAAGGGGAGAAGGGAAAAGATATATAAATTTACACTCAACAGACTATGGAGGATTCATCACTAGACCGGGAAGCAACAGCCTGGGCTCCAGAGTCGGCCACCCATCTGTGCACAGACGAGGAGAGGTCTCACGAAGCTTCGGCGTGGTCTGGGACCCTAGCTCTTTTTGTAATGAGTTGTTTGGCATGAGGCCCAGTCACGACAGCCCTTCGCGACTGGACTCAAGGAACACAGAAAGATCAACTTGTTTTTGCAATGGTCAGTTGTTTTTCAATAACTAACATACAGGAATAGATTAAAATAGAGATTTTCCTGAAACAGCGCTGGATGAATGCATCAAGGGGCTCATACAACCTGTTCTGGGACTTGGTGACCATTGTTTGTGTCCACTTTCAATTGAGTTCAAATTTAATATTTAACTTTTCCTCCACACATGCCCGGCTAATTTTTGTATTTTTAGTAGAGATGGGATTTCGCCATGTTGGCCAGGCTGGTCTTGAACTCCTGACCTCAAGTGATCTGTGCGCCTCAGCCTCCCAAAGTGTTGGGATTACAGGCACGAGCCACTGTGCCCGGCCTCTTTTTATATTTTCTTGCATATGTATGAACAACTCTGGAAGATGCACAAAAAAAGAGGGGGCAGCAGTGGGTCCCATAGGAATCAGGATTGGTAAATAGGATGCAAAAAAGGAGACCTCACCTTCCCCACCACAAGGGTGAGTGTAAGACCCCAGCTGGCCCCTCGGTGATGGGTTTAGAAGTGAGCATGTGAGTTCCTTTTCTGGGACTGTTTGGATCCTGGGGGAGAGAGAGACACTTCTTACTCTCTGAGATCCAAGGTACTAAGGACCAGTTCAGCCTGGAGATGTTGGGCACCATCTTTGTAGGCAGGTGGAGAGTCTGTCTGAAAATGAGAAAAGCACAGCCAATGGAGAAAGAAAGTGAGACAGCGACCTGATGGCATTGTTTGAACACCTGCATCTCGCTGTGCCTGAGGTACATTCCCCTAGAATTCCCTTTGGCTTGAGCTTATCCATGCTCTCCTTTCCTTAATCTAGGTTGAGGTTGGTTTCTGCCTCTGGAACTCAAAAGTTTCCTAAGAACAACTGGCCATTGTGAAATGGTTGCACTTCTTTAGAAAGCCCTCAGGCTGCCCTGTGGAGAATAGACAGGGGAAGAGAGAGGGCAAGGGGAGGGAAGGGAAGAGGAGGGATAATGTTAGGAGGTGTTTGTTGTTGTTGTTGTTGTTGTTGTTGTTGTTGTTGTTGTTTGAGACAGAGTCTCGCCCTGTAGCCCAGGCTGGAGTTTAGTGGTGTAATTTCAGCTCACTGCAACCTCCGCCTCCCGGGTTCAAGTGATTCTCTTGCTTCAGCTTCCCGAGTAGCTGAGATTACAGGTGTGCACCACCATGCCCAGCTAATTTTTTGTATCTTTAATAGAGATGGGGTTTCACCATGTTGGCCAGGCTGATCTCAAACTCCTGACCTTGTGATCCACCTGCCTCGGCCTCCCAAAGTGCTGGGATTACAGGTGTGAGCCACCGTGCCCAGCCGGCCTTGGAGGTGTTCTTAAACCCAGTTTAGATGTCTAATAGGCACCTCACCTGGAATGCATCTGCTGTGGTCTGAATGTTCATGTTCCCTCAGCAAAACTCATATGTTGAAGCCTAATCCCAAATGTGATGTTATCAGGAGGTGGAGCTTTGGGGAGGTAATTAGGTTGTGAAGGTGGAGTGCTCATGAATGAGACTTTCGCCCTTATAAAAAAGACCCGAGGGAGCTGTTGGTTGTTTCCACTGTTGGCTGTTATGAATAATGGTCCTGTAAACATCCGTGTACAAGTTTTTGCATGACTATAAGTTTTTATTTCTTTCTATATACCTAGGAGGGAATGGCTGGGTCAGTCAGGTCATTCTTGCACTGTTCCTGTGACGACTCCTGCTGTCAAGCTCCCCCAAAACTGTCCTGGTTTATGCCTTTTGCAAACCTAATTCTCCAGTCTTCTTCGTAAAAAACCAGTTTGTTTTAGTTCAGGGATTCCTTTCCTTCCCAGATGGGCAAAATTCTGAAGATCTAGAAGAACAGTGACTTGGTACTACTGGGGTATGTTCAGTTTTTTTGTGTTGCCATCCTATTAGGCCTTGAGGCACTCTGGACAGTACACCCCACTGGGTTCTGATTTATACCAGTCTTGATGCAAAATTTAGCTTTCCTGGAGAGCTCTGAAGAGAAAACATGTCAGTCTTTTACTGAGTACAGCCCTACACAGAATGCAACTCTTGATGGAACCAACCCCACCACTGCCCAGTAGCACCCAGCTTGGCATTAGTGAGCAGAAGGGAGATGGATGTTTTCAGTCCTCATTTGGAAAACCACATCATACACATGACCCCAGAAATTACCATGATTGTCCACATTTGAGCCATAAACTACAAGTTATGGATTTTGTATTGACTTTTATTACCAGACTCGTTTTCTTTACTGAGCTGAAAAACCACACACCTGACTCTCCTCCCGTCACTGGCCATTTTTTCTCAGGCTTCTTTGGCAGCTCCTTCTCCTGTTCCCAACTTTTTGATGTTAGAGGATCATCAGTACTCAATCCTAGGACTTCTCTTCTCTCTTCACTGACATCCCAGGTGATCTTGTCCAGTCCCATAGTTTTAATACCAACTATACAATGATAACCCCCACATGTATATAGCCTTGTCAATTCACAAAGAAGAGATGACAATTATAAACATATGTGCACCAAACAACAAATCCCCCAAATCTATGAAGCAAATATTGGCAGAATTGAAGGGAGAAAGAGACAGCTCTACAATAATGGTTGGAGACTTCAATGCCCCACTTTCAAAATTGAATAGAACATCTAGACAAAATAATCAATAAGTAAATAGAGGACTTGAGCAACACTACAAACCTACTAGACCTAACAGACATATATAAAATACATAAAACAGGCTATCCAACAACAGCAGAACATACATTCTTCTCAGGTGCACATGGAACATTCTCCAGAATAATCCATATGTTAAACCACGAAATAAATCTCAATATATTTAAAAATACTGAGATCATACAATGTATCTTTTCTGCAATGGAATGAAATTAGAAATCAATAAAAGAAGGAAAAGTATAAAATTCACAAATATGTAGACATTAAACAGCATACTCTTAAACAACCAGTGGATCAAAGAAGAAGTCATAAGGAAATTAGAAAATACTTTGAGACAAATGAAAACAAAAACACAACATACAAACTATATAGCTCTTGCTCCAACTTCTCTCTTGAAGCTGATACACCCATATACAATAATCTACTTAATATCTTTATTGGAATGTGTAACAGGCAGCTCAAGGATTTTTTTTTTAACTCTCCCCTTGAAATGTGCTTCTTCTGCTCTCTTCACCGTCTTAGCAAATGGCAACTTCCAGTTGTTTAGGACAAAAATCTTGGAGTCATCCTTGATTTCTTTCTTTCACAGCCTACATTCCATATATGAACAAATCTTGCAGGCTGTTCTTTCAAAATAGGATCCATATTTGACCCTTTCTCACCATTCCACTGCTGGCACTGTGGTCCAATCCACCATCATCTTTTACCTTAATTATCACAATAGTCTCCCAGCTTTCATCTTGCCCAGTGAAGTCTACATACAGCAGCCAGTGTGATTCTTGTGATGCTACTAAAACAGAAATTGGAGCCAGGTACCATGACTCAAGCCCCAAATCCCAACACTTTGAAAGACTGGGGCAGGAGGATTAATTGAGACCAGGAATTCAAGATCAACTTGGGCAACATAACAAGACCCAATTTCTACAAAAAATAAAAAAATTAGCTGGGTGTGGTGGTGTGCACCTGTAGTCCTAGCTACCCAGGAGGCTGAGACAGGAGCATTGCTTCAGCCCAGGAGTTTGAGGCTGCAAGTGAGCTGAGAAGCTGCCACTGCACTCCTGCCTGAGTGATAGAGTGAAATCCCATCTCAAACACAATAACAACAGCAAAACAGAAATTGCATTATCACATCCTCCAAGGTAGGTGGATCACGAGGTCAGGAGATCAAGACCATCCTGGCTAACATGGTGAAACCCCATCTCTACTAAAAATACAAAAAATTATCCTGGCATGGTGGCGGGCACCTGTAATCCCAACTACTTGGGAGGCTGAGGCAGGAGAATGGCATGAACCAGGCAGGTGGAGCTTGCAGTGAGCTGAGATGGCGCCACTGCACTCCAGCCTGGGCGACAGAGCGAGACTCCGTCTAAAAAAAAAAACCCTTCCACTATGTTCTACCACACTTTTGTGACTCATGCTTGCTTGTTTTGAACATATCTAAGCTAGTAATAGTCCATTGTTTCAGTTTGTATTTTAGACTTTGTATGGTTAAGTGTCTTTTTATCCTTATTGACCATGCCTCTTTTACATCTTATCCCAATTATTTTTCCTATTGGATTGTCTTTTATCTTTTACATATACATATTTTTATGTATGTACATACGTATATACATATTTTTATGTATGTACATACGTATATACATATGTGTGTATGTATATATATATGTAGCCATACGGAGGTTTAAGTTTCATGTAGTTCAAATTTGTCAAACTTTTAATTAATTAATTAATTAATTGAGACAGGGTCTCACTCTATTGCTCAGGCTGGAGTGCAGTGGTGTGATCACAGCTCACTGCAGCCTCGAACTCTTTGGTTCAAGCGATCCTCCTGCCTCATCCTTCCAAGTAGCTGAAACTACAGGCAAGTGCCAGCATCCTCGGCTAATTTTTGTATTTTTTGTAGAGACAGGGTCTCGCCATGTTGCCCAGGCTGGTCTGGAACTCCTGGGCTCAAGTGATCCACTCTCCTTGGCCTCCCAGAGTACTGGGATTACAGGTGTGACCCACTGTGCCTGGCCATGTCAATCTTTTCTTTATGATTTCTTTGTTTTGTTTCATATTTAGAAGACCTTCTTCTGTTTAGTATTATAAGAACAGCTACCCAAGATTTTTTCTAGTATTACATGGTTTCATTTTGCATTGAAATCTCTATTCGATCTGGAATTTATTATATTTTGGTATAAAAAGGTAAAGTACAGCCTTATTTTTTTCTCCCAAAAGACAGAGAGAGGACCCAAATGACATTTTTGAATGTCACTAATTTGAAATGTTACTTTTATCAAATGCCAAATTTCCATATATATTTGGGTATATTTCTGACTTTCTCCCCTTCTTTCCTTCCTCCCTCCCTCCCTCCCTTCCTTCCTTCCTTCCCTCCCTCCCTCCATCCTTCCTTCCTTCCCTCCCTCCCTCTCTCTTTTTCTCTCTTTCTTTCTTTCTTTTTCTTTCTTTCTTTCTTTCTTTCTTTCTTTCTTTCTTTCTTTCTTTCTTTCTTTCTTTCTTTCTTTCCCTTCCTTCCTTCCTTCCTTCCTTCCTTCCTTCCTTCCTTCCTTCCTTCCTTCCTTCCTTCCTTCCTTCTTTCCTTTCTTTCACACGGGAAAGGGTCTAGCTCTGTCACCCAGGCTGGAGTGCAGTGCTGCGATCTCGGCTCACTGCAACTTCCACCTCCGGGGCTCAAGAATTCTCCCGCCTCAGCCTCCTGAGTAGCTGGGACTACAGGCTGTGCACCATCATGCCCAGCTAATTTTTGTATTTTTTGTAGAGATAGAGTTTTGCCATGTTGCCTGGGCTGGTCTTGAACTCCTGGGCTCAAGTGATCCACCTGCCTCAGCCTCCCAAAGTGCCGCGATTACAGGTGTGAGCCACTACACAAGGCCTCTTGTCTCTGTGTGTGTGTGTGTGTTTTTTAATTGAGATGGAATCTCACTCTGTTTCCCAGGCTGGGGTGCAGTGGTGCGATCTCGGCTCACTGCAACCTCCGCCTCCTGGGTTCAAGCAATTCTCCTGCCTCAGCTTCCTGAGTAGCTGGGATTACACACACCCACAACCACACCTGGCTAGTTGTTATATTTTTAGTACAGACGGGGTTTCACCATGTTGGCCAGGCTGGTCTTGAACTCCTGACCTCATGATCCACCTGCATCGGCCTCCCAAAGTTCTGGATTACCACGCCTGGCCCTTTATTCCTGTTTCTTACCTCTCTATTCCTGGTAGAGGAATTTGTATTTCCCTGATGACTAATGATGTTGATGTCACCCACCCTCATTACTTTTCGTCCCAGAGCTTTCCTGGCTATTCTGTTTTTAATTTTTATTTTTTTGTTTACTTTTTTCTTTCAAATTTTTTTTTTGTTTTATAGTTTGTTTTTAAGAAGACAAAAAAAGATCCCTCTGTAGGTTCAGCTACAGAAATCTTGTTACAACTTTTATTTCCTCTGGAGAGTCAAGTTTGACTGTCTTCTCTGTGCTGTTTTCTTTTAAAAAAGTTTTAATGAGATATAATTCACATACCACACAATTTGCCCATTTAAAGCATGCAATGCAATAGATTTTATTACATTCACAGATATGTGCAACCAAACTATCACCAGAGTCGATTGTAGAACATTTTCATCACCTCAACAAGAAACCCTGGGACCAGGCGCAGTGGCTCACACCTGTAATCCCAGCACTTTGGGAAGCAGAGGCGGGTGGATCGCTTGAGCCCAGGACAGCCTGGGGAACATAGTGAGATCCCATCTCTACAAGAAAACAAACAACAACAACAACAAAAAATTAGCCAGTTGAGATGGCATGTGCCTATAGTCCTAGCTACTAAGGAGGCTGAGGTGGGAGGATCATCTTAGCCCAGGAAGTTGAGGCTGTGGTGAGCCATGATCACTCCACTGCACTGCATCCTGGGTGATAGGAGACCCTGTCTTAAGAAAAAAAAGAAAAAATAAGAAACCCTGTACACTTTAGCTATTATCCCTGACTCCCACCTACCTCCCTTAGCCCTCGGCAATCACTAACCTACTTTTTGTCTCTACGGGTTTGCCTATTCTTAACATTTCATGTAAGTGCAATCATATAATACGTGGTCTTTTGTGACTGGTTTATTTTACTTAGCATAGAGTTTTCAAGGTTCATCCATTTTGTGGCATATATAATACTTCATTACTTTTTATGGCCAAATGATATTCCGTTGTATCAATATACCATGTTTTACTTATCCATTCATCAGTCAAACATTTGGCTTATTTCCAATTTTTGGCTGTTATGAATAGTGTCGCTATGAATATTCACTACAGGTTTTTGTTTGAGCTCCTATTTTCTTTCTTTCTTTCTTTCTTTCTTTCTTTCTTTCTTTCTTTCTTTCTTTCTTTCTTTCTTTCTTTCTTTTTTTTTTTTGAGCCGGAGTCTCGTTCTGTTGCCCAGGTTGGAGTGCAGTGGTGCAATCTCGGCTCACTGCAACCTCTGCCTCCCAGGTTCAAGTGGTTCTCCTGCTTCAACCTCCCAAGTAGCTGGGATTACAGATGCGTGCCACCATGCTTGGCTAATTTTTTTGTATTTTTAGTAGAGATGGGGTTTCATTATGTTGGCCAGGCTGGTCTTGAACTCCTGACCTCAAGTGATCTGCCCACCTCTACCTCCCAGAGGGCTGGGATTACAGGTGTGAGCCACTGTGCCTGGCCTGAGCCCCTATTTTCAATTCTTTTGGGTGTATACCTAGGAGCAGAATTGCTGGGTCACATGGTAATTTTGTTTAGTGTATTGAGAAACTTTCAAACTGTTTTCCACAGTAACTGAACCATTTTACTTTTCCATCAGCAATGAATGAGGCTTCCAACTTTTTCATAGCCTCACTAAGACTTGTTTTTGTTTGTTTTAATTCCAGCCATCTTAGTGGGTATGAAGTGATATCTCATTGTGGTTGGTTTGTATTTCCCTGATGACGAATGATGTGGGGAATCTTTTCATGTACTTATTGGCTAAACATATATGTTTTTTTGGAGAAATGTCTATTCAAGTCCTTTGCCCGTTTAAAAAGTTGGGTCATTTATCTTTTTATTATTGAGTGCTAATTGTTCTGTATTTTCCTGACTATTCCTGGATGTTCATTCTTCTAGTTGAACCTTCACCAAGAATGACTAGCGGCCAGGCGTGGTGGCTCATGCCTGTAATCCCATCACTTTGGGAGGCCGAAGTGGGCAGATCACTTGAGGTCAGGAGTTCGAGACCAGCCTGGCCAACATGGTGAAACCCCATCTCTACTAAAAATACAAAAATTAGCCAGGTGTGGTGGTGCATGCCTGTAATCCCAGCTACTAGGGAGGCTGAGGCAGGAGAATTGCTTAAGCCCAGGAGGCAGAGGTTGCAGTGATCTGAGATGGCGCCACTGCACTCCAGCCTGGGCAACAGAGTAAGACTCTGTCTCAAAAAATTAAATAAGAAAAAAAAAAAAAGAATGACTAGCAACTTTTACATAGCTGAAAAGCAAAAACCAAATATTCCTCCTGACTCTAGTCTAACAGATTCTGCAGATAAAATTTTCCCCAAAGCATCTTCCCGCTTAAATGACCTGAAAAAACTGTGAAGTTGATTTAAGTCTCACTTGTGTACATGAAACAGAAATGAGTTCTAGCATAGCCTGCTCTCTCTCTCTTTCTTTTTTTTTCTTTTTGAGATGGAGTCTTGCTCTGTTACCCAGGCTGGAGTGCAGTGGTGTGATCTTGGCTCACTGCCACACCTGCCTCCCAGGTTCAAGTGATTCTCCTGCCTCAGCCTCCCAAATAGTTGGGATTACAGGCGCCTGCCACCACACCCAGCTAATTTTTTGTATTTTTAGTAGAGACGGGGTTTCACTGTGTTAGCCAGGATAGTCTCAATCTCCTGACCTCATGGTCTGCCCGCCTCAGTCTCCCAAAGGGCTGGCATTATAGGTGTGAGCCACTGTGCCTGGTCCAGCCCTCTCTTAAAAGCTTGTGTATGATGTGTGCATGGGAGTTCCTAATTACTCTCCGGCCTAATTTACTTTGGTGTAGCACTGACTCCAATATTAAGGCTGGAGAAGCCCTTTCCAAGATCAGCATCCCAAGCTGGCCTGCGGTGCTTATCACAGCTTCTTAGGGCTCTCATCTCCTCCTGGGTTCAGAACTGAACCCAAACTACATGCACAGCCTGACTCACAGCTGTGGGTTGCAGTGATTGCTGGGCTTCATTAGGGAGGAGTGTGGTTTCCCGCATGCTTAGTCTTTGGGGGGAGTCTGAAAGAGAATCAAGCATTCCTTATGCCAGTTGCTTAATCCTTGGGGGTATCTGAAAGAAGCAAGCACTTCTTAGATCAATATTTTCAAGACTTATCTGATGCAGGCCTCTGCCTGGGGCTGGAGGATAGACTGTTTCTTCAGCTTCTCTCTCTCCAGGGTGGATATGAACTTGAGCCCTTGCAATGAACTGCTTGCATGTTTTCCCCCCTGGGAAATTTGTGTATGTATGTGCAATTATGATGGGGGAAACGGTTTAAAGATACTTTCAAAAGTGGACACTTCTAGTGTTTGTCCCTTGACAAATGAGTTTCTCGACCTGTTTTTTTTTCATTATCAACGCCTCCCCTAGTCTTTTTAATTTCCCCACCCTCACCCCTACCCCATGAAATTTTATTTTCTTTCTTTTTTTTTTTTTGAGACCAAGTTTCGATCTTTTTGCCCAAGATGGTGTGCAATGGCGCGATCTAGGCTCACCTCAATCTCCACCTCCCGGGTTCAAGCGATTCTCCTGCCTCAGCCTCCCGAGTAGCTGGAATTACAGGCATGCACCACCACGCCCAGCTAATTTTGTATTTTTAGTAGAGACTGGGTTTCTCCATGTTGGTCAGTCTGGTCTCAAACTCCTGACCTCAGGTGATCCGCCCGTCTCGACCTCCCAAAGTGCTGGGATTACAGGCATAAGCCACCGCGCCCGGCCTCTTTTCTTTTCAAGACAGGGTCTCACTCTGTCACCCAGGCTGGAGTGTAATGGCGTGATCATGGCTCCCTGCAGCCTCAACCTCCTGGGCTCAAGTGATCCTCCTGTCTCAGACTCCCAAGTAGCTGAGACTACAGGCATGTGCCACGACACCTGGTTAATTTTTTTTTTTTGTATTCTTTTGTAGAGATGGGGTCTCACTATGTTGCCTAGGCTGGTCTTGAGCTCCTGGGCTCAAGCAATCCTCCTGCCTCTACCTCCCAAAGTGCTGGGATTACAGGCATGAGCCTCCACGTCTGCCCTGAAATTTCAATATCACAGCTATACTGTATATCTATTTATGTGCTGTATGTATGCTGTGCTTTGTACATAAAAAATATGTTTTATTTTTTGCCCCGTTGGGGTGAGATAGAGACCGCACTGAGAATGCACGCTTTACATAATTAGTTCACAACTTGCCCCCGGCAGCCTCCACCACGTAAAATTAGAAGAAAGCAGCCCAGCAGGGCCTACAAGGAATGTGTGAACGGATGCACGTAAAGTGCTTAGCAAAGCGTGGTAAACAAGAGCCCTTGTTGTCATTCTTGCTTTAAGCCTAGTCCCAGTGATGTCTGTAACCCTCTCTTGGGCCAAGGAGTCCCATGGCTCTGGAGGGCTGTTCAGAGGACTAAGTCATTCCCAGTCTGGAGCTCTACGGGATCAGTAGGTACCTAAGGGAGTGAATTGGGCTTGGAGGGACTGTGGCCAGAAGACAGCTCTGGGCCTGGTGGTGATAGAACTTCTGATTTCTCAGGAAAAGCCAAGAATGTGGATTTTGGGTTAAATCTCCTGAATTTTAAGCATTGGCTCAATTAAACAACAATAAGGCAATGTGAACCGAACAAAAGGGATGAAACCAAGATTTACTGACTTTCCCAGAGTCACGGGCACGGCTGGGATTCCAACAAGGACTCCCAAACCAGTGCTCTTTCCACTTAACCTAACGCACACCCTTCATCTCGCCGCCCCTCCCCACTTCCCCGTCTTTGGGAGTTCTTCGATGCCTCTTCCCCCCTCCCCCCAGGATTCCCTCCCCATAGGCCACCCGCCTTCCAGCAGGGCGTGGTCTCTACAGAGGAGGTCAGGTCTCCCAGGCTTCCTCAGCGTCGACGCCGGGGAGCGCCCTGGGGTTGGGAGCGCCCGGGGCCCGCGAAGGAGGAGGTGGCTCAGGTGTCAGGGCGCACCGTGGGAACCGGCCCCGGGGGAGGCGTGGAAACGCGGGGCCTGGGACTCGACCAGCCTCTCCCGTGCGGATCGCAAAATCTCGGAGCT
Organism: Homo sapiens; assembly: GCF_000001405.40. Taxonomy (NCBI): domain Eukaryota; kingdom Metazoa; phylum Chordata; class Mammalia; order Primates; family Hominidae; genus Homo; species Homo sapiens. Next base: position 23,754,817 of record NC_000016.10, read on the forward strand.
GAAACAGCCCGTTGTTCGCAGCCTCCCTCTGACCCGCCACCCTGCACATTGTTTTCCATTCGCCCGGGTCGCGGGTGGGAGGAGAGGCACGCCGGGGTTCTGGAGCTTGGCCGCGCGCCAGGCTTGTGGCCTTCGTCCCCCTGGGGCCACTGGGGCGGCCACGCCTCTCCGGCGGGAGGAGAGAACGCGTGGGTCCGGGTGGCTGCTCCGGCCCTTCCGCCTCCAGCTCGGCCATGGGGTCGCGCAGCTCCCACGCCGCGGTCATTCCCGACGGGGACAGTATTCGGCGAGAGACCGGCTGTGAGTGCGCCCGCGTCGGCGGCTGCGGAGGGGACGGGGCGAACCCAGGCGTCTGGGGCTAGGGAAGGGGTTGGGTTGAAGGATGGACGAACTTACAAGTCTGGGGTCCGGGGCTCCCCGGAGCTGGAAGACCAAGGCCCCTGTGCCTGGGATCGCTGGGTTAGGGGCGGGTTAACCTAGGGGTCCCAGCCTCCAAGTCTGGGGAGGATCCGGGTTCACGGGGTCGGAGTCCAGAGGAATCCAGGCACCCAGGTGTCCTCCAGCCCGGCTCGAAGCTGAAGGCAGAGCTGACGGCGGTTGGAAGGGATGGCTTTGGTTCTTTGGTTTTCGGGAGGTTGCGAGCCGCCCGGGTCTTGAACCTGGATCTTCGCGGGGTCGTGTCACTCTCCCTCCGCCCCGGCCAGCTCAACCCCTGATTCCCCGGGATGATCGCCCCTTCCAGCCAGCCCCCGCTGTTCTGGCCCATCTTCCTGGCCTGTTGGGGCGGGTTTCTGGAGCTGGCCCTGCAGAGTCACACACCCCCACCCCACTCTCCTTCCCGCAGTCTCCCAAGCCAGCCTGCTCCGCCTGCACCACCGGTTCCGGGCACTGGACAGGAATAAGAAGGGCTACCTGAGGTGAGGGGGAGCCGGCCTCATAACTTCTGGCCTCTGTCTCTCTGACTCCATGTCCCTCTTTGACCCTCCGTCTGGCATCTCTGCCTTACCCTCTTTGAAATTTGGCTTTGCAGCCGCATGGATCTCCAGCAGATAGGGGCGCTCGCCGTGAACCCCCTGGGAGACCGAATTATAGAAAGCTTCTTCCCCGATGGGTGAGGCTTGCTGGGCGTGGGGAGGTGAAGGCGGGAAAACCGGTGTGTGAGTGGGTGGGAGGGGAGGTTAGAGACGGAGGCAAAGTGATGGCCAAGGTGACCACCACCTCTTTCCATTCTGTCCCGTCTCCCCAGGAGCCAGCGAGTGGATTTCCCAGGCTTTGTCAGGGTCTTGGCTCATTTTCGCCCTGTAGAAGATGAGGACACAGAAACCCAAGACCCCAAGAAACCTGAACCTCTCAACAGCAGAAGGAACAAACTTCACTGTGAGTTTGTGAGGACCTGCACAAGTGAGAATGCAGATGTACCCACACCAGGGACAGGCTCCAGGGATCTCCCACTCCCTTCCTGAGGGCATTGACAACCTCCCCCCTCCTCCAAGGTGGGGGGAAGGAAGGTGGCTGCTGGAAGAGAGCCAGGGAAGACCTACCTTCCTTTCCCCCTCCCACCCTCTCCCCAGATGCATTTCAGCTCTATGACCTGGATCGCGATGGGAAGATCTCCAGGCATGAGATGCTGCAGGTTGGCAGAAAGCGAGAGCAAGAGATGTGATGTGTGAAGGATGGGATGGTTAAATGCAATGGTGTGAGAGATGGGGTGGGATGATTGGGGAACTGGGGCGCAGATAATTGGGGTATTGGTTGGGAAATGGGAATGGGTGCAGTTAGAGTGTGGGTTTGTTGGGAGTCGGAGTGGGGAGCAGTTGACTATGAGGTTGGGAATAGATCAGTGATTCTCAACTGGGGGTGATTTTGCTCCCTGAGTGAATATCTGGCAATATCTGGAGATGCTTTTTGTTGTCACAATGGGGGAGAGAGTGTGCTACTGGCATCTAGTGGGTAGAGGTCAGGAATGTGGCTATATATCATGCAATACCCAGGAGAGCCTCTTCCAACAAGGAGTTACCTGGCTCCAAATGTCAACAGTGCCAAGATTGAGAAACTCTGGAACAGATGTGATGGAATGAGGATGGAATTAGAAACCCTTAGTGGCTAAGGTGGAGAATGGTGTGGAGGATGGATGGAGGTTGGGTGATAAAGTTGGGTAATGAGTTTGAGCATATTTTGAGGGTAGTGCAGGATGGTGAGGGAGAGATAGGAGATTGGTTGTTGAAGCAGTAGGGAAAATTATTGGGGGATATGGTGAAAAATGGATGAAGGATGGATTATAAAATTAGCAATAACTTTTGGGATGAGGTGGGCAAGGTTTAGGAGATGGGGAGTTGCAGCCTTCGTGCCCCCTCCTTATGGCTGCCTCTTCACTCATCTCTCAGGTTCTCCGTCTGATGGTTGGGGTACAGGTGACAGAAGAGCAGCTGGAGAACATCGCTGACCGCACGGTGCAGGAGGCTGATGAAGATGGGGATGGGGCTGTGTCCTTCGTGGAGTTCACCAAGGTCAGAGTGCCCTTGGGGATTGGGGAGTTGAGATCAGGAGTTCTGGGGCAGACAGACTTGGGAAACGTTCAACGGAGGAGGGCGGAAAGATAGGGGTTGCCTGGGAATGATGGGGTCTCTGGAATGGGTAGAACCCTGGGGGAGGAGGTTGGGAGCATGGAGAGCTGAGAGTCAAGCCTCTTGCCTGCCATTTGTTTTTCCCTCAGTCCTTAGAGAAGATGGACGTTGAGCAAAAAATGAGCATCCGGATCCTGAAGTGACTCCGTTTGTGCCTTGGGCTTGCTCCTGCAACCAGTATCTCCTTGGAATTCATCCAAAGCCCCCATGGACGCATGGACGCAGGGCGACAATAAACTGTATTTTCGTTTCTAACTCTATTTAGGGCCAAGAGAAGAAAGCTGGAAGGATGTGTACTAAAGTCTAGCTCAGCAGTCCCCAACCTTTTTGGCATCAGGGACAGTTTTTCCACGGATGGGTGACAGGGGATGGTTTTGGGATGATTCAAGTGCATTACATTTATTGTGCACTTTATTTCTATTATGATTACATTGTAATATATAATGAAATAATTATACAACTCACCATAATGTAGAATCAGCAGGAGCCCTGAGCTTGTTTTCCTGCAATTAGACGGTCCCATATGGGAGTGATGGGAGACAGTGACAGATCATCAGGCATTAGATTCTCATAAGGAGTGCACAATCTAGATCCTTTGGTGTGCAGTTCACAGTAGGATTTGGGCTCCTATGATAATCTAATGCCACTGCTGATCTGACAGGAGGCAGAGCTCAGGCGGTAATGCAAGCAATGGGGAGTGGCTGTAAATATAGATGAAGCTTCAGCTCGCCTGCCGCTCACCTTGTGCTGTGCAGCCCGGTTCCTAACAGACCACAGACCCCACACCAGGTCTATCTCATTTGGTCTCAGAGCTGTGAATCAGCCAGCAATATTTTAGTTGCAAATCACTGAAAACCCAACTCAAAGTGACTTAAGTCAGAAAGAAATTTTATGAATTCAGGTAATTAAAAAGTCCAGAAGTATCTGCCTTTAGGCACAGCTGGATCCAAGGGCACAAATGATGTCATCAGGCTCCAGTTATTCTCCATCTCCCAGCTCAGCTTTTTCTGTCTGTAAGCCTGATTTTCAGGAAGGCTCTTTCCTAGTGATGGAGATGACCACCATCAGCTCCAGGCTTCTATCCTGCTAACCCAGTAACCCAGTGGGAAGAGATTTACTTATTCCAATAATTCCAAGTGGAGAGTGTCATTGACCCGTTTGGGGTCTCATCTCTACTTCTAGGGGAATGAAACACTCTGAGTGGCCAGGCCTGTGTCATGTGCTAATTCCTAGAGCCAGGGAAATAAGGTCTGAGGATTCAGGATGGGGTGAAAGGTGGTTGCTTAAAGGAAAATGAAATACAATTAGCAGAATAAGGGGAAACGAGTGGTCTGCTCTGCTCGGGCAAAACAAGAGATGCCCATTACTGTGAGGGACCCTTGAAGTCTGGACTCTTAAATGGGTTTTTGCTGATTTCCTGGGTGCATGCTAGGATGATGGGGCTTGATGCAGTAGGGAAGAGACGATGTAAAAATAATAAACAATATATACCTTCCTAGAGTGTGAATGCATTCGAAGATTCTAAGAGTAAGCTTGTTTTCATGGTAAGATGTTCAAACATTGATATAAGATGGAATGGAGCAGGAAGTCCCATAAAACTATGAGACTCTATGTCTGCAGCAGAGCTCTCTGGTTGCACCTGTGGGAGACACTGTAATTGCCCTGCTGTTTTTCTCCCTCCCAGAGCTGGTCTTTGGTTGTCTTGTATCATCAACACATGAGAACCAGTTGTGCTCATAACATCTCAACTCTGCTTTCAATGATATGTTAGCAGCTTGAAACTGGCTATAGCAGGAATATTTACACCACAGACATTGGTAACTGCAACAGGTTAAGGCTTTTTCCTCCTGGAAAGCCAGTTGTTAAACATTTATCTGCACACTACCTGCTAGACATTTCCCATTACTTTGCATGCCAATGGTTTCTTTCCTTTTTTCTCCCTTCTTTCTTTCTTTCTTTCTTTCTTTCTTTCTTTCTTTCTTTTTCTTTCTTTCTTTTCTTATCTTTCTTTCCTTTTTTTTTTTTTTTTTTTTTGAGACAGGGTCTAGCTTTGTCACCCAGGCTGGAGTGCAGTGGCAGTCTTGGCTCACTGCAACCTCTGCCTCTCGGGCTCAAGCAATGCTCCCACCTCAGCCTCTTGAGTAGCTTGGACTACAGGCACATGCCACCATGCCTAGCTAATTTTTTTTTTAAAAAGAGGTGGGGTTTCACCATGTTGCCCAGGCTAGTCTTGAACTCCTAGACTCAAGTGATTCACCCACCTCGGCCTCCCAAAGTGCTGGGATTATAGGCATGGGCCACTGCACCCAGCCTTACATGCTAGTGGCTTCTTTTTGCAAGCACTGTGATGCCTTGCTCCAGGGCTTTGCACATATTCAGCCTGTATAAAGGGCAGGGTGGAAGTGCCAGGATTTAATGACATTAGGAGTAGCTCTCAACTAGTGACAGATGGAAATTGGTTGGATAAATACCCATTACTTCATCATTCAGGTGGCACAATTTAGATACATGTTTTCTTAATTTTCATAGCAATTTCCAGCAGATTTGAGCCCCCATTGCTCACAGGGTTAATTCATTTGCTTGTTAAATCACCCTGTCCTGGCCGGGGGCAGTGGCTCAGGCCTGTAATCCCAGCACTTTGGGAAGTCAAGGTGGGCAGATCACCTGAGGTCAGGAGTTCGAGACCAGCTTGGCCAACATGGTGAAACCCTGTCTCTACTAAAAATACAAAAATTACTCAGGCGTGGTCACATGCACCTGTAATCCCAGCTACTTGGGAGGCTGGGGCAGGAGAATTGCTTGGACCTGGGAGGCAGAGGTTGCAGTGAGCCGAGATTGTGCCACTGCACTTCAGCCTAGGCAACAGAGTAAGACTGTCTCAAAAAACACAACCCCAAAACAACAAACAACAACAACAACAACAACAACAAAAAACCCACCCTGTCCTGGCTTCCTTCCCTTCCTGTATCACGGGCGTACTTCCCTATTAGTGCTTCCCGGATCACCTCACAAATAAACTTACTGTCAAACCTCAGGGTGCTTCTGGCAAAACCCAACCTAAGAGACACTAGACCTTCCAGAACATAAGCTCACACTCAACCATGGTTGTGAGTACTCAGTGGGACATTTTGAGGAAGCATTGCACAGCTGCTGGCACTTTCTGATTTTAGAAGTTTGAGGTCATGTAAACACGACACACTTTGGGGCCCCAGGAACCTGGAATTGTCCGGGGTTAACCACAATGTGAAATGTGGATTAACCACATTTCAACTTTTAACATTTATTATTATTATTATTTGAGATGGGGTCTTGCTTTACAGCCCAGGTTGGAGTGCCGTGGTGGGTTCTCAGCTCACTGCAACCTCCACCTCCTGGGTTCAAGCGATTCTCCTGCATCAGCCTCCTGAGTAGTGGGGACTACAGGTGTGCGCCACCATGCCTGGCTATTTTTTTTTTTTTTTTTTTTGAGATGGATTCTTGCTCTGTCGCCAAGGCTGGAGTGCAGTGGTGTGATCTTGGCTCACTGCAACCTCCACCTCCTGGGTTCAAGCAATTATCCTGCATCAGCCTCCCGAGTAGCTGGGACTAAAGGTGTGCACCACCATGCCTGGCTAATTTTTGTTCTTTTGTTTTTTTGGAGTTGGAGTCTCGCTCTGTTTCCAAGGCTGGAGTGCAGTGGTGTGATCTCGGCTCACTGCAATCTCAGCCTCCTGGGTTCAAATGATTCTCCTGCCTCAGCCTCCTGAGTAGCTGGGACTACAGGCGTGTGCCACCATGCCCGGCTAATTTTTGTATTTTTAGTAGAGACGGGGTTTCGCCATGTTGGCCAGGCTGCTCTTGAACTCCTGACCTCAAGTGATCCGCCCGCCTCGGCCTCCCAAAGTGCTGGGATTACAGGCATGAGCCACCACACCTGGTCTGAACCCCCTTTTTTGGCTTCCCAAAGTACTGGGATTATAGGCAAGAGACAGTGTGCCCAACCCAGATATATATATTTTTAAATAAGTGATTCTGATACCAGAAGATGAAGGAAAAAACTTTTAAAAACATTGACCTAAAGCTTCCGGCCAGGCTCCTAGTGACTGCTATCTATAAGAAGGTCTCCAACAGCCATAAGGCACTGAGCATAGCACCGGGCCCACAGGCTCTAAAGAAAGGTCTCCCCATCCATTCATGCCCACACCTTCTCTAGGAACTCAGTACCAATCACTAGTGCTCCTCATCTAATAAGGGTTACTAGAGGGCCTGAGGGATCCCCAGGATTCCACTCGCTGCTCTGGTTGTTGGGGGCACAAACCACTCTCAGCACGAAAGTCCCCAGATCCCACCCAAACCTCAGGAGGGGAGGCTTTTGTCATGCAGGTGAGGGGCTGCAGTCTGGCTGCTGGGCAGAAACTGCTGAACGCCACCCTCCGGATGTCAAGTCTGGCAGATGCCTGTGGATTTGTTCTAGAGGGGTCCTGATGAGAAGCCCCTCTCCTGTGAGCAGCAGTTGACAATGTTCAGCGATTTGTTTACCATCGTCATTATTGTTGCTGTACAGTATCTATGTCCTGTACTGTTACTCATTGTTTGTCTATAAACACACTCATTTAAAATTTATACATTTGAGTTTGTAAAGGAAATTGTATTTACTCCTATAAATTTTATTTTCTTTTTAAAATATATTTTCTGCATCCAATCATCCATTATCACTCCTATAAAATAAAAGCAGCATCAATGGCTATAAATAAAATAACTACACAAATACAGTACATGCAAAGAAACAAAAAATACACATATAAGGGAATATCAACACAAAGAAATGATATATGTTTGAGGTGAAGAATATGCTAATTACCCTCATTTGAGAATTACACATTGTATGCATGTATCAAAATATCACATTGAGCTGGGCGCAGTGGCTCATGCCTCTAATCCCAGCACTTTGGGAGGCTGAGGTGGGCAGATCACCTGAGGTCAGGAGTTTGAGACCAGCCTGGCCAACATGGTGAAACCCTGTCTCTACTAAAAATACAAAAATTAGCCAGGCATGGTGGTGGGCACCTGTAATCCTAGCTACTTGGGCGGCTGAGGCAGGAGAATCACTTGAACCCAGGAAGTGGAGGCTGCACTGAGGTGAGATTGCACCACTGCACTCCAGCCTGGGAAACACTCAAACAAAAACAAAAACAAAAACAAAATATCAACTGTATTGCATAAATAAGTATGATTATTATATGTCAATCAAAAATAATACTTTCTTTACAGGGGGGAGATTAACAAGTGTTAAAGAGTTTTAAAAGATAAACCTGCCTCAAACAGAGATTTCTCTTTGGTGATCTGAAGAATGCAAAAAAGAATTGAGAAGGGTACAATTTTTTTTTTCTTTTTTTGAGACCAGATCTTGCCCTGTCACCAAGCCTGGAGTGCAGTGGTGCAATTTTGGCACACTGCAGCCTCTACTTCCTGTGCTCAAGTGATCCTCTCACCTCAGCCTCCTGAATAGTTGGGATCACAGGTACATGCCACTACACCTCGTTAATTTTGCTATTTTTTGTAGAGATGGGGTCTTGCTATATTGCCTAGGCTGGAATTACAAGTGTGAGCTACCGCACCTGGTTAGGAATAACCTTTTCACTGTGTGATTCAATGTTATTGAGCTGTGTTGTTACTACCCAAAATCATCTTGTGTATGTGAGTGGTGTGTTTCCCACACCTTGGGAACCTCTGGCTGGAGCAATCTATGAGGAAATAAACTTGGGTTGAGTCTTCCCTTCCTGTCCCTTCAGGGAGCATCTGGAGGCAGCCATCAGTGGGCTGAACATCGTGATGCTCAGGTTGGCCACTGGTCAGGTTGGGTTTGGCAGAGGTTGGCCATCGTAGCGGAATTCACTTATCAGGCCAGGTCCAGGGACAAGTAACAGGACATTATGACAGATGCTTCGTGGAGCTGGAAATATTAAAAGCAACAGCCCTCTGCTGACATTCGTCTCCAGAACCTGGTAAGACTTGTAAGTTTGGAGACAGGGCCCATGAACTTGCCCACTTGCTGGGCTAAGATGGCAGAGTCCCCAAGGGAGAAACTGGAGGTGGCTCTAGTCCTGGTGCTTGCGATCCTCATTTGAGAGGGAGGGTGCTTCCCAGCCAGGAGTGGGAAGGGCACTGGAGTGGTCCCAGCTTGTTCCACTGTGGCTGCTGGGAAAGGCCTTGGCTATCCTGGAATTTTCTAGAATAACTCATCTATGTATCTCAAAGAGGAGACGGGAGTTCCAGAAGAAGCACCTCTCCTTGCCAAGGAGACAAAACTTGAGAGGGTATGTAGGGAGCCCTCGGAAGAGAAGCAAGTACAATCATGCATCACTTAGCGACTGGGAAATGAAATGCGTTGTTGGTGATTTCGTCATTGTATGAACATCATAAAGCGTACTTACACAAACCTAGATGGTGTAGCCTACTACACGCCTAGGCGATACGGTGTAGCTGATTGCTCTCAGGCGAGGAGAAACCTGCACGGCATGTTACTGCATTAAATACTGTAGGCAACTGCAACATAATGGTAAGTATTTATGTATCTAAAGATAGCTAAACATAGGAATGTTACAGTAAAACTGTGGTATTACAGTCCTGTGGGACCATCGTCATATATGTGGTCCATCATTGACCAAAACGTCATGACGCAGCGCATGGCTGTAGAAGGACGTAGGTAGTGATGTTGGGTAGACCTGGTTATGCTGCCATTGCCCCTTGCTAACTGATAAGGAAAATAGTTAGGAGTTCTGACCTTGTCCTCAGCCCTGCCTAAGCAACACCAATAAAACTCTTTTTTTGTGAGTGATGGAGTCTCACTCTGTTGCCCAGGCTGGAGTGCAGTGGCGGGATCTCAGCTCACTGAAACCTCTGCTTCCCGGGTTTAAGTGATTCTCCTGCCTCAGCCAACCGAGTAGCTGGGATTACAGGTGCCCACTATGACGCCGGGCTAATTTTTGTATTTTTAGTAGAGATGGGGTTTTGCCATGTTGGCTAGGCTGGTCTTGAACTCCTGACCTCAGGTGATCCACCTGCCTTGGCCTTCTAAAGTGCTGGGATTACAGGCGTGAGCCACCACGCCTGGCTCCAATAAAACTCTTAATGTTTAAGAGGCAACATACAGACTTGATTCCTGGTAGAGCCCTACCCTGAGAATCAGTGTGGTTTAGTAAAACCACACTGGCGATACAGTATAGCTGAGTCTTGTTAGGCCTGGGTTTGAATCTGGACCCTTATAATGAGCTGCCGTACAACCTTGGGTAAGTGATTTTAACCCTTGGGGCTTTAGCTTCTGTCATCTGTGACAGAGAGAGATACTAGCAGCTGCCCTCCAGAGCTGCATCTTATCCTTTCTCTCTCCCCCTCTCCCTCAAACCTACTTATTTTAGCTGAGGCCCTTGGCCTCATTTGTAAGCCTGGACTCTGGCCTGCACCAGCTGGGATTCTTTAATTGTTAACTGGCTAATAAAATAATAGAAATTTATTGGTTCATATAACTGAAAAAAAAGTCCAAAGGTACACCAGGCAAAGGTGAGTCCCAAAGGCTCAATGATATTACCAGAAACTAGTCTTTCATTTCTTAACTCTGCTGTCCTCTGTGTTGGTTTCATTCATTCATTCATTCTTTTTTTTGAGACAGGTCTCATTCTGTTGCCCAGGCTGGAGGGCAGTGGTGTGATGTTGGCTCACTGCAACCTCTGCCTCCCGGGTTCAAGGGAACCTCCTGCCTCAGTCTCCCAAGTAGCTGGGATTACAGGCATGCGCCACCACACTGGGCTAATTTTTGTATTTTTAGTAGGGACAGGGTTTCACCATCTTGGCCAGGCTGATCTTCAACTCCTGACCTCAAGTGATCCACCCACCTCAGCCTCCTAAAGTTCTGGGATTACCAGCGTGAGCCACTGAGCCCAGCCAATGTGTTGGTTTCATTCTTAAGCAGTAAAATAAAATACCAATAAAGAGAGCCTCTCTCTCTTTTTTAAAAACTTCTATTTTAAGTTCAGGGGTACAAGTGCAGGTTTGTTAAACAGGTAAACTTGTATAATGGGAGGTGGCTACACAGATTATTTAGTCACCCAGGTATTGAGCCTAGTACCCATTAGTTATTTTTCCTGATCCTCCTTCTCCTTCCACCCACCACCCTCCAAAAGACCCCAGTATGTGTTGTTCCCCTCTGGGTGTCCATGTGTTCTCATCATTTAGCTCCCACTTATAAGTGAAAACATGTGGTATTTGGTTTTCTGTTTCTGTGTTAGTTTGCTAAGGATAATGAGTCTCTCTTTCCCAACAGTTCTGTCAAAAGTCCCAGAACAAAACCTCATTGGTCCATCCATTGTAGCCAGGTAAATGCAACACTCTGGTTAGCCAGACCTGCTCACATGCTTGCCCCAGTACTATGGACTGAAGTCAATCCCACTTGAACCAAATGCAATGTGTATGTGTGTGTGTGTGTGTGTGTGTGTGTGTGTTGATTCCCTAAAGGAATATCAGAATGTTGTTATGGGAAGAAGGAGGCTGCATGTTGGACAGGCAAAATCCACAGATAACTATATACTAGTTAGTTTGCTTTTGGCTACAAATAACAGAATTGCCAGCTAACAGTGGCTTAAATAATTAAAACAATTATCTCACATTATAAGATGTCTCTGGTGGTAGGCAGTCTTAGAGTTATTGAATGACTCATCAATATAATTGAGACTCCAAGATGTTTTATCCTTCTATTCCTCAGTATGTTGGCTTTTAATGCTCAGGTGTGTTGACTCATGGTTACAGAATGGCTGCCATAGCTCTAGCCATCACATCCTCACAGGAACAGTGTCTAGAAAAGGCTTCTGGAGAGAGTGTCCTAAGAAACAGGAAGTGTAAGACCCCAGTGTCTTAAAGCCTGAGAAAGTGGCACAATGTCACTTCTGTTATAATGTATTGAGACAAAACAGGTGGCTCATGCCTGTAATCCCAGCACTTTGGGAGGCTGAGGTCAGGAGTTCGAGACCAGCCTGGCCAACATAGGGAAACCCTGTCTCTACTAAAAATACAAAAATTAGCCGGGTATGGTGGCAGGTGCCTGTAATCCCAGCTACACGGGAGGCCGAGGCAGGAGAATCACTTGAACGTGGGAGGTGGAGGTTGCAGTGAGCTGAGACTGGGCCACTGCACTGCAGCCTGGGTGACAAAGTGAGACTTTGTCTTGAAAGAAAAAAAAATGAATTGAGACAAAACAGTCCTAGAGCACACAGAAGAGGAAATATAGACTCCATCTCTGGATGGCAGGAGTACTGATGAATTTATGGTCATCTTTAATCTGACATTGTGGTTACAGGTGGGGATGCATAATTTTCTTGCAGGGAAGGAAAGTAGACATTAAAAAAAATGAATAATAAAATGGGCCTTATCTTACCGGTTAACATCTATCATTTATCACGAAACTAAAGTAAATAAAATGGTTGGTTTGGGAAGCCTGTAAAGTTTAGGCAACTCTATGTAAACTGCTTTGTGAATGGATTTTTCTCATGCTTATTAATGCAAAGCACTAAATAGGTAGATGTAAAAGAGCTTTGTGTATATAAATAATGTAAAGTATCTAGCAAACTATTACAGTATTCAAAAAAATATAATAAAATACACTTTGGGAGGTCGAGATGGGAGGATCGCTTGAGGCTAGGCATTTGAGACCAGCTGGGCAACATAGTGAGATCATGTCTCTAAAAAGTAAAACATTAGCTGGCAGTGCACACCTGTAGTCCTAGCTACTTAGGAGACTGAGGCAGGAGGATCACTTGAGCCCAAGGAGGTCCAGGCTGCTATGAGCTGTGATCATTCCTTGCATTCCAGCCTGGGCAACAGAATAAGAATCCATCTCTAGGCTGGGCGTGGTGGCTCACACCTGTAATCCCAGCACTTTGGGAGGCCGAGGTGGGTGGATCACGAGGTCAGGAGATCGAGACCATCCTGGCTAACACAGTGAAACCCCATCTCTACTACAAATACAAAAAATTAGCCGGGGGTGGTGATGGGCGCCTGTGGTCCCAGCTAATCGGGAGGCTGAGGCAGGAGAATGGTGTGAAACTGGGAGGCGGAGCTTGCAGTGAGCCGAGATAGCGCCACTGCACTCCAGCCTGGGTGACAGAGCAAGACTCCATCTCAAAAAAAAAAAAAAAAAGAAAAGAAAAGGAGTATAATAGCACTTTAGGAGGCTGAGTGGGAGGATCACATGAGCTCAGGAGTTCAAGACTAGACTGGGCAACATAATGAGACCCTGTCTCTACAAAAAATACAAAAATTAGCCGAGTGTGGTGGTGTACACCTATAGTCCCAGATACTTAGGAGGCTGAGGCAGAAGAATTGCTTGAGCCCAGGGGGTTGAGGCTGCAGTGGAGTGAGCTGTAATCACATCACTGCACTCCAGCCTGGGTGACAGAGACAGATCTTGTCTCTTAAAAAAAAAAAGAAAGAAAAAAAGTGTGATTATTAATGTATTAATATAATCCTGAGATGCGGAAGCTTTCCTAAGAAGAATCATAAAGTAAAATATTAATAGTGTTGACTACATAAAAATTTAAAAAATTAAAGGTAAAAGACAAACTGGAGAATTATTTGCATCATGCATATCAGACAACAGGTTGCAATCTTTTACATATAAGTAGCTCTTTCAATTGGAAGAATATGACCATCCTATATCCAACAATATGAACAAGAAGGTTTTTTTCTTTTTTTTTTTTTAGAAATATAAATATCTAGGCTGGGTGTGGTGGCTCAAGCCTGTAATCCCAGCACTTTGGGAGACCAAGGCAGGTGGATCACCTGAGGTCAGGAGTTCAAGACCAGCCTGGCCAACATGGAAAAACCCTGTCTCTACTGAAAAATACAAAAATTAGCTGGGCATGGTGATGGGCACCTGTAATCCCAGCTACTTGGGAAGCTGAGGCAGGAGAATTGCTTGAACCCAGGAGACAGAGGTTGCAGTGAGCCGAGATCGTGCCACTGCACTCCAGCCTGGACAACAGAGCGAGACTCTATGTCAAAAAAAAAAAAAAAGAAAGAAAGAAATATAAATGTCTAAATGCATATGAAAACATTCAACCTCAATGTTGATTAAAATTTGATTAAAATCACAACTCTTCTGAGGCCCAGTCTAGTTTTATATATCAAAAGCCCTAAAAATGGGGAGATTATTTGTCCCAGATCCTCATTTCTAGGCATGTATCCTAAGCAAATAATTAAGGATGTGCAAAAAGATATGACCTACCAGATTGTTCACTTAGGTCTTGTTTATAACAAACAAAGTGGATCATCAGAGTCATCCAACTGTGCGCCAATATGGGTGGGGCAGCTCTAGGGTGTGCTGTTCTGGTCTCCCTTCAAGAAGGAACTTGCCCTTCGGCTGTGAGGAATGCTGGGAGCTGACAGATTCCAGCTATTTTTATTTTTCTATTTTTGAGGCATGGGCCTTGCTCTGTCACCCAGGCTCAATGCAGCTTTGACCTTCTGGGCTCAAGTGATCCTCCCACCTCAGCCTCCTGAGTAGCTGGGACTACAGGTGTGCACCACTACACTCAGATAATTTACTTTTTTATTTTTAGTAGAGATGACGTCTCACTATGTTGCCCTGGCTGGTGTTGAACTCCTGGGCTCAAGTGACCTTCCCACCTCGGACTCCCAAAGTGCTGGGATTGCAGGTGTGAGCCACTGAACCTGGCCTCTGCCTCACCTGTTAAGCTGAGGTTGTGCTGTTCTCAGGCAGCCCCAGCGAAGGACTGAGCAAGGTACTGGGACTAGTGATTATAGCTCACTGTGGGATTCCTTTGGTGGGAAATCTTTGCTCCAGAACTCCCCACTGGGTTGGATGAACATTTTCCAGATCTGCATCTCGATCTGATATTCTCCCTGGCCAATCCTCCTTCTTCACCATTTTATCTTTCATGGATGTTACTCCCAAATAAACCTGATACTACCGCAGAGAACCCAACTAACACATTGCATTAGCATTCAATTGGAGTTTGATCAGAGGAGCAGAACCACCATGGCTGACATGCAATGAGAGACTTATTACATGTGGGGATTAGTCCTCATGCAACTGTGGGGGCAAGTTATCAGTCAATGTGGGCGGTGGCTCTTCTGAATCTGATGTTGCATCTGAAGTCATCAGGGCCAGCAGCTGGACAGGAAAAAATGTACATGAAGTAGGGGATGCAAAGACCAACAGGAACCTACAAGGACAACGTGGAACCTGAGTCTGTTGCCACCTCCAATCTTGATGATGTGAGTGACTGGCAGGAGGAGCCAGTGCCCATGACAGGCACCTGGTGTAGGGTTTGGAGAAGCTGAAGGAGACCTGGAGGAGCTGGAGGTACCACAGGCCTGGCTGATGCCTCACACCCACAGGTGAAGCATCAGGCTAGCTGCAAATTGTGTAAGTGGCAAGAATGCCATGCACCTGTGCTCAGAGCATAGCAATTGCTGCACCTTCAGTCCTGTCTGCCAAATCTTTTTTTTTTTTTAAGCGACAGAATCTCACTCTGTCACTCAGGCTGGAGTTAAGTGGTGTAATCATAGCTCACAGCAGCCTCAAACCTCTAGACTCAGGTTATCCTCCTGCCTCAGCCTCCCGAGTAACAGGGACCACAGGCCCATGTCACCATGCCTGGCTTATTTATTTATTTATATTTATTTTCTTATTTTTTTTGTAGAGATGGGGGATCTCGTTATGTTGCCCAGGCTGGTCTCGAACTCCTGGGCTCAAGCGATTCTCCAGCCTCAGCCTTCCAAAGTGTTGGGATTACAGGCGTGAGCCACTGCATCCGGCCAGTCTGTCAAATCTTGCATATGTTTTTCTCATGGCCAACAATAACATAGACCATAGAGAAGGGATTTCTTGGAAATATAGTTCCAGTTTTGCTAAGTTAAATAAAATTAAATAAACCTACCACAATAGGATTGGTTAAAATAAAATGATATATTCATAAAATGAAATGGTATTCAGCCATTTAAAACGATGTCATAGATGAATATTATCATTAAGAAAACAATATAAATAGCATAAACTAATTTGCAAACATGCATATAAACATATAAAGAAAAGTATTTTGAGGGGTTATGTTCTAAGATGTTACATTTTTAAGTCAAAACAAGTCAGTCTGGGTCACTTCTCTTCTTTAAACTCTTTTTTTTAGAGACAGGGTCTTACTTTGCTGCCAGGCTGGAGTGCAGTGGCACAATACAGCTCACTGCAGCCTCAACCTCCTGGGCTCAAATAATCTTCCCACCTCAGCCTCCTGAGTATCTGGGACTACAGGTGTGTGTCATCATACTGGGGTTAAGTTTTCTTTTTTTTTTTTTTTTTAGAGATAGGGTCTTGTTGTGTTGCTCGGGTTGGTCTCGACTCCCTGGTCTCAAGTAATCCTCCTGCCTCAACCTTCCTAATCTCCTTTAAATTCTTAAATAGTACTTTGGGAGGCCAAGGTGTGTGGATCACCTGAGGTCAGGAATTTGAGACCAGCCTGACCAACATAGTGAAACTCCGTCTCTACTAAAAATACAAAAATTATCTGGGCGTGGCGGCGGGTGCCTGTAATCCTATTTACTCGGGAGGCCGAGGCAGGAGAATCGCTTGAACCCGGGAGGTGGAGGTTGCAGTGAGCTGAGATCACACCATTGTACTCCATCTCAAAAAAAATTCTTAAACAGTTTTGCACAATTGATCAAATCTAAGTATTTTTATAGCTTCCAGGTCCTCTGCAATGCAGATGACGTATGCGGTCTTTCCAGTTTCATCTCTGACTCCCACGTGCGTGTCATTTCATGTTCTAGGAATGCCAGCTGTTTGAGGTTCTTCCTTTCTATGCTCTGCTGTTTCTCACTGACTTTGGCTTTTCTCTTTGGTTGGACTATCTTTCACCCCAACCTTTGCCTGATTAGTTCCTGCTTATTATTCAATAATAATTTTCTGGTAGTGCTTTATTGAGCCATTTGCAGCTCAATAGTTCCCCAAAGTAATTATTTTGAACATCAAAATAAATTACCTGGGAAACTTACAAAAATACTGATACTTGGGCGTCACTATAGATCTTCTACATTATAATTTCCAGAGACAGGACCTGCAAGTCTGCATATGATTTTGAATATAGACTTGTCTGCATGTGATAGAGATCCAATGGTTGTGTGGTGAATTTCCATAGTTTTATGTTGCCTTGGTACCCATTTTGAATATAAGTTAGACTTTCTCATATCAGACGCAGGGCCCAGTCAACCTTGACACAGTTCTTCACCTCTTCCCAGTTCCTCAATGTGGCTGATCCAGACACCTGCCTTATATCTCCTCCTGGTGTAGATACAACCTACTTGTCTCACCCCACCTAATTGACTCACCCCTCTGGCCCCTACACCTTGCATAGGTTGCACAGATATGCTACAGTGACCACCTCTTAGTCACAGTGTGGCTTTGCAGAGCTCCTGCCTGCTTAGTCTAAACCCACCAATTAGAACTTCTCTTGGGAAATCTGCTGGGGTAATACCCAAGACGTATTTTTTTTTTTTGAGATAGAGTTTCACTCTTTTGCCCAGGCTGGAGTGCAATGGCATGATCTAAGCTCACCACAACCTCTGCCTTCTGGTTTTAAGCAATTCTCCTGCCTCAGCCTCCCGAGTAGCTGGGATTACAGGCACCCGCCACCATGCCCAGCTAATTTTTGTATTTTTAGCAGAGACGGGGTTTCCCCATGTTGGCCAGGCTGGTCTCAAACTCCTGACCTCGTGATCTGCCTGCCTCAGCCTCCCAAAGTGCTGGGATTACAGGCATGAGCCACCGTGCCTGGCTGTACCCAGGACCTTAATAAAGGCTTTGAGCCACAGGTCTCTCTCTTTCTCTCTTGCTTTCCACTTACAGGTTCAACACGCTGCTGTCTCCAGACTTCCCATCAGTCCTTGCAGGCACCCTTGGCCTGATGACCAAAGTTTTAAAATAGCTTCATTGTTTTAAATGGTGCCATTTTAAATATGAAATATATATATATGTGTATATATATATACACATACACATATACATATATATGTATATACAATATATATGTATTTTAAATGGTACCATTTTAAATGTGAAATATATATGTATATATATTTGTATATATGTAATATATATTTCACATTTAAAATGGTACCATTTAAAATACATATATATTTATTTTTAATACATATGTATTATTTAAATATATGTATATATGTATAAATATACATATATATTTCACATTTAAAATGGTACCATATGTATATATGTGTGTGTATATATATTTTTTTTACCAAATTTTAATGATAAAGGCATAATGGTAATGGCTACTTCCTATTGAGCTAAGCCCTACACAAACATAACCTCCTTTAATTCTAACAATAAACCCATGAGTTAGGTATTTTTGGTAACCCCACATTATGAATATGAAGTAATATTCTCAAGGTCATGCAGTCAGTAAGTGGTGAAGTGCTTGCTTTTAGTCATTAAGCTTTTCAGTCTGTTGAGAAATTGCTGGTTTCCAATCACATACATTTTTCTTTTAAGTAAACATTCCCTCTGATTTTTCCACAATTTTGTGTATGAATTTTCATAATTAGACTTCAGTGTATACTAATTTGATATTTAAGAGGTCTGTTTGTCGCTTCCTAGCATGAAAATAATTCACAAAAGATATTTAATTTAATACTCGGATGATCAACTTCTCATTTTAAGCCATACCAAACTCTTTCCCAACTCTGAGCAATATTTTCAGATTCTGTTTTAAGCAAATGATTAATTAATAAATAATTAATATTCATGCACACTTTGGCATGCCAGACACGGAGCTAAATAAAAGCAGGTGTTACAGGGATAAGCAAGACAGACAACCCCACTGCCATGGAGTTTATATTCTAGAGAGGTAGGCAGACCACACAACAAATAAATGTATGACAAAGTAAGTTCAGGCTGGACAGAGTGGCTCATGTAATCCCAGTGCTTTGGGAGGCTGAGATGGGAGGACCGGGCTCACAGGAATTCAAGACAAGCCTGGGCAACATAGTGAGACTCTGTCTCTACAAAAAATTAAAAAATTAGTGGGGTGTGGTGGTACACATCTGTTGTCCTAGGTACTTGGGAGGTTGAGGTGGAAGAATGGTTTGAATCCAGGAGTTTGAGGCTGCAGTGAGTATGATTGCACCACTGTACTCCAGCCTGGGCAATAGAGCAAGACTCTGTCTATGAAATGAAAATAACATTTATTTTTTTAAAAAAGCAGGATGAGGGAGACTCGGTGGAGGCTATGGCAATAGTTTAGGTAGGGAGGAGGTGGTGACAGTAGAGGTTAGATTTGGAAAGGCATGGGACATATTTTGGAGGTAGAGTCAAGAAAACATGCTCATGGTTTGCATGTGGGGCTAAAGTAAAAGAAGAATCAGAGATGGTTTGTAGATTCTTGGTTTGAGCATGTGGTTGGAGAATGGTAGCATTTCTAGAGCTAGGGATTTCTAGGGATCAATATGCTTGGAAAAATGAAGAGTTTTGTGCAAAGTAATTTTTTTTTTGAATGAGTGCCCATTGCAGAGACTGCTAGGTGTCTACTATAGCCTTTTCATTCCCCTCTTTTTTTAATAAAGGAAAGCCAATTTTACCGGGGGTGGCAAAGTGTCTGGAGAAAACATAACATTTCTTAGTTTCCTTTGTAGCTAACCTCTTTTGCTTGTCTATTACGTGAGCTCCATATACATAATGTGAATGTGAATAACCTTGAGTTTTGAAATTACATGCTTAGACTAAGAGAAGGAGCCTCTATGCCAAATAACTTTGCAGAGTTGCCATATCAGTTCTAGCCTTTTTTTTTTTTTTCTCACCCTGTCACCCAGGCTGGAGTGCAGTAGCGTGATCTCAGCTCACGGCAACCTTAGCCTCCCAGCGTCAAGCAATTCTCCCACCTCAGCTTCCTGTATAGCTGGGGCTACAGGTACACACCACCATACCTGGCTAATTTTTGTAGTTTTTAGTAGAGACACGATTTCACCATGTTAGCCAGGCCAGTCTCAATCTCCTGACCTCAAGTGATCCGCCCACCTCAGCCTCTCAAAGTGCTGGGATTACATACGTGATCCAACTGTGCCCAGCCAATTCTAGCCTTTTATATCAGAGAAAAAACTCTAAATTGCTTAATCTACAATAATTGGAACCCTGTTACTAGTAGTTGAATACAATTCCTATCTGATACCATACTGATTCTAGAAAAAAATTATTAAGCTATAATTTCCAGAGTTTGTCCCTGAATTCCCATTCTCCTCCAAGCAGAACATGAAGTTGCCCAGAAATAGTTTATCTGTGGTATGCAAATCCAGTGTATTAGAAAATATTTTCTGAATCTACTTGCGGTTCCATTATCCTCAACCAACATATGTCAGCAAAATAAAACAAGCATTTGTATTTTTAGTATGTCACTGTTGTGCAGTCTCCTAAATTTTGATGTTTTAAGCACTATGCCTTTAACATTCACTAAAGCTGATAACATGGAAGAGGTTGATTATGGTTCCCCGGGTGCCAAGAATTATACGGGTTTCTGTTCCAATGTTGAGGACAGAAATCCTTCAGCGCAGATGGAAACATGGTTGGATTCTGTAGATACATTTCTTATTCACACAACAGAGAGTCTAATAGAGACGGGACATTATTATTTTTTTGAAGCCTCTACAAATGCCCACTTAAAAAGCTACAAGCATTATATACAGATACTTTTTTGTTTTTTTTGAGACAACGTCTCATTCTGTCACCTAGGCTGGAGTGCAGTGGCTTGATCTCTGCTCACTGCAACCTCTACCTCCTGGGTTCAAGCGATTCTCGTGCCTCAGCCTCCCGAGTAGCTGGGACTGTAGGCGCCTGCCATCAAGCCGGCTAATTTTTGTATTTTTGGTAGAGATGGGGTTTCACCACATTGGCCAGGCTGGTCTCGAACTCCTGACCTCGGCCTCCCAAAGTCCTGGGACTACAGGCCTGACCATTGTGCCTGGCTCATTATTACTTTTATTTTTTAAAAAATAGATGTGGGTTCTGTCATTTAGGGTGGAGGCTTGGGTTTGTGCGTGGAGTGCATAGTTCCTTTCTTTTGGGAAGGGCCATCTGGGTGAGCTCTTTTGCTTTGGGCAGGGACAATGCAAGGACAAATACCATTTTCATAGGGGACACTCTTGCTCTCTTTCCAAGGTTGGGGCTGGAAGGAATTTCTGGGCCTAGTGGGAGGGGGAGGCCAGCTCCCAGCATGTGGAGTCTGAGGCTGGGGCCTGTGCCCCTTGGAGCAGCCCAGCTGGACAGTGCATCTCACGACCTGAGGGTGTCTAATTGGGTCTAATCAGAGGCATTAGAGAGTGACAAGTCTCCTGGAGGCCACAGATTGCAGAGGCCTAAGTGTGGTAACAAAGACAGAGACTGAATTCAAAAGCCCAGTTATGCTTCAAACTCAACCCAGAAACCAGCAGTCCCTGCCGCACTCTCTTCCTCCCCAGTTCCAGTCTAGAGAGGCAACCTCTATAATTTTTTTGTTTTTTTGAGACGGAGTCTTGCTCTGTTGTCCAGGCTGGAGTGCAGTGTTGTGTTCATGGCTCACTGCAGCCTCAAGCTCCTAGGCTCAAGCAATCCTCTTGCCTCAGCCTCCTGAGTAGCTGGGAATACAGGCACATGCCACCACACCTGGTTAATTTTTAATTTTTGTGTAGAGATGGGGGTCTCACTATGTTGTCCAGGCTGGTCTTGAACTCCTGGCCTCAAGTGATGTTCCTGCCTTGGCTTCCCAAAATGTTGGAATTACAGGCATAAGCCATTGCAACCCAGCCAATTTCACCACTAGGTTTTGCTACACTGCTGTAATAATTGGAACACCTTTGTGGTAGGCGGCCTCAAAGATGATCCCCCCAGTGATCCCTGTTTCCTGATATTCACACCCTGTGTAGTCCTCTCCAACCTTGTACCAGAGTTCATCTCTGTTGACCAGCAGAATAGATCAGAAGTGAGGGCATATTAGTTCTAAGATTAGTATATAAGAGACATTGTAACTTCTGTCTTGGTCTTTGCTTCATCCCCATCTCTATTTGATTATTCACTCTAGAGGGAGCCAACTGCCATATGGAGCAGCCCTATGGAGAGGCCCAGGTGATAAGTAATTGAGGGATCTTGCCAGCAATTTTGGGAATGAATAGATCTTTCAGCCCCTGTCAAGCCTTTTGATGACTTCAGCCTCCGCTTAACTGCAACTTCATAAAAGACTGAACCAGAGGCTGCTCCCTGATTTTTGACCCTTAGAGAGTGTGTGAGATGATATATATTTGTTGTTTTAAGCTACTAGCTTTTGGGGTGTCATTTGCTACACAGCAATAGCTAACTGATACAACCTCCTATTTGGCTTCCCTTTTTAAAATATATATATATATATTTTTTATTATACTTTAAGTTCAAGGGTACTTGTGCACAATGTGCAGGTTTGTTACATATGTATACTTGTGCCATGTTGGTGTGCTGCACCCATTAACTCATCATATACATTAGGTATATCTCCTAATGTTATCCCTCCCCCCTTCCTCCACCCCACAACATGTTCCAGTGTGTGATGTTCCCCTTCCTGTGTCCATGTGTTCTCATTGTTTAATTCCCACCTATGAGTGAGAACATGTGGTGTTTGGTTTTTTGTCCTTGCGATAGTTTGCTGAGAATGATGGTTTCCAGCTTCATCCATGTCCCTACAAAGGACATGAACTCATCATTTTTTATGTCTGCATAGTATTCCATGGTGTATATGTGCCACATTTTCTTAATCCAGTATATCATTGTTGGACATTTGGGTTGGTTCCAAGTCTTTGCTATTGTGAGTAGTGCTGCAATAAACATACATGTGCATGTGTCTTTATAGCAGCATGATTTATATTCCTTTGGGTATATACCCAGTAATGGGATGGCTGGGTCAAATGGTATTTCTAGTTCTAGATCCCTGAGGAATCGCCACACTGACTTCCACAATGTTTGAACTAGTTTACAGTCCCACCAACAGTGTAAAAGTGTTCCTATTTCTCCACATCCTCTCCAGCACCTGTTGTTTCCTGACTTTTTAATGATCACCATTCTAACTGGTGTGAGATGATATCTCATTGTGGTTTTGATTTGCATTTCTCTGATGGCCAGTCCTGATGAGCATTTCTTCATGTGTCTGTTGGCTGCATAAATGTCTTCTTTTGAGAAGTGTCTGTTCATCCTTCGCCCACTTTTTGATGGGGTTGTTTGTTTTTTTTCTTGTAAATTTGTTTGAGTTCTTTGTAGGTTCTGGATATTAGCTCTTTGTCAGATGAGTAGATTGAAAAAATTTTCTCCCATTCTGTAGGTTGCCTGTTCACTCTGATGGTAGTTTCTTTTGCCGTGCAGAAGCTCTTTAGTTTAATTAGATCCCATTTGTCAATTTTGGCTTTTGTTGCCATTGCTTTTGGTGTTTTAGACATGAAGTCCTTGCCCATGCCTATGTCCTGAATGATATTGCCTAGGTTTTCTTCTAGGGTTTTTATGGTTTTAGGTCTAACATGTCAGTCTTTAATCCATCTTGAATTAATTTTTGTATAAGGTGTAAGGAAGGGATCCAGTTTCAGCTTTCTACATATGGCTAGCCAGTTTTCCCAGCACCATTTGTTAAATAGGGAATCCTTTCCCCATTGCTTGTTTTTGTCAGGTTTGTCAAAGATCAGATAGTTGTAGATGTGTGGTATTATTTCTGAGGGCTCTGTTCTGTTCCATTGGTCTATATCTCTGTTTTGGTACCAGTACCATGCTGTTTTGGTTACTGTAGCCTTGTAGTATAGTTTGAAGTCAGGTAGCATGATGCCTCCAGCTTTGTTCTTTTGGCTTAGGATTGACTTGGCAATGCAGGCTCTTTTTTGGTTCCATATGAACTTTAAAGTAGTTTTTTCCAATTCTGTGAAGAAAGTCATTGGTAGCTTGATGGGGATGGCGTTGAATCTATAAATTACCTTGGGCAGTATGGCCATTTTCACAATATTGATTCTTCATATCCATGAGCATGGAATGTTCTTCCATTTTTTTGTGTCCTCTTTTATTTCATTGAGCAATGGTTTGTAGTTCTCCTTGAAGAGGTCCTTCACATCCCTTTTAAGTTGGATTCCTAGGTATTTTATTCTCTTTGAAGCAATTGTGAATGGGAGTTCACTCATGATTTGGCTCTCTGTTTGTCTGTTATTGGTGTATAAGAATGCTTGTGATTTTTGCACATTGATTTTATATCCTGAGACTTTGCTGAATTTGCTTATCAGCTTAAGGAGATTTCGGGCTGAGACGATGGGGTTTTCTAGATATACAATCATGTCATTTGCAAACAGGGACAATTTGACTTCCTCTTTTCCTAATTGAATGCCCTTTATTTCTTTCTCCTGCCCGATTGCCCTGGCCAGAACTTCCAAGACTATGTGGAATAGGAGTGGTGAGAGAGGGCATCCCTGTCTTGTGCCAGTTTTCAAAGGGAATGCTTCCAGTTTTTGCCCATTCAGTATGATATTGGCTGTGGGTTTGTCATTGGCTTCCCAACTTATTGCTTCAGTGTGAACAGACCTGCTGTACATTCTGGGCCACTTTTTACTCTCATCCTAGGGATTCCCTTTCCTTTTTCCTGCTTCCACTGCTTCCTGGACCCCCTGTTTTCCTCTTTATAGCTTTAATTTCTCATTTTGATAGAGCAGACTACCTAGTAACCTCCTAAGAAAGAGTGCATTGGTGGTCAGGTGTGGTGGCTCGCATTTGTAATTCCAGCACTTTGGGAGGCTGAGGTGGGTGGATCATTTGAGATCAGGAGTTCAAGACCAACCTGGCCAACATGGTGAAACCCCGTCTCTATTAAAAATACAAAAATTAGCTGGGCATGTTGGCAGGTGCCTGTAATCCCAGCTACACAGGAGGCTGAGGCAGGAGAATTGCTTGAACCTGGGAGGTAGAGGTTGCAGTGAGCTGAGATGATTGCTCCACTGCACTCCAGCCTGGGTGACAGAGCAAGACTCCATGAAAAAAAAAAAAAAAAAAAAAAAAAGAGTGCATTGGTGAAAAATATTTGAGAGCTTGCATGATTTATAATGTCTTTATTCTGCCATTACGCTTGATGGTAAGGTGTCAGGGTCTAGAATTTTAGGTTGAAAATAGCCTTTCTCTCAAAAAAAAAAAAGGAAAAGTATTGCTTCATTTTTCTTCTAGCTTCTTATGATGCTCTTGAAGAGTATTAGTTTTTGTATGTGCCTATTATGTTTCTTTCCCCCACTCCTGAAAACTTCTAGGTGCCATTATTGGTGGCAGTTAAGTGTGCAAACTCTAGAAGCAGACTACCTGGGTTCAAATCTCAGTTCCAACAATCATTGGTTATGTGACTCTGGGAAATTTGTTTAACTGCTCTGTGCCTCAGTTTCCCCATCTGTAAAGATAACAGTACCTACCTCACAGAGTTGCTGTGAGGATCAAATGACCCCCTACCTTTCTGTGCTCCTCTGTATCCGTTGATGTAAACCTTCCTCAAGTTGGGTTGGTTCCACACACCATTTCTGGAGAGGGGTAGGGTCTAGAACAAGGCGGGCAAGCTTTACCTGTGAAAGAGCAGATAGTAGGCTGGCTGTGGAGGCTCATATTTGTAATCCCAGCATGTTGGGAGGCTGGGGTGGGTGGATCACCTCAGGTCAGGAGTTCGAGACCAGCCTGACCAACATGGTGAAGCCCTGTCTCTAAAAAAAAAAAAAAAAAAAAAAAAAAAAAACAAAATTAGCCAGGCATGGTAGCACATGCCTGTAATCCCAGCTACTTGAGGAGGCTGAGGCAGGAGAATCGCTTGAACCCGGGAGGCAGAGGTTGCAGTGAGCCGAGATCACGCCATTGCACTCCAGCCTGGGCAACAAGAACAAAACTCCATCTCAAAAAATAAAAAAAAAAGCAGATAGTAAATAGTTTTGACTTTGAGAGCTATAAAGCTAGTGTTTCAGCTATCGAACTTTACCATTGTAGGGCAAAAGCTGCCATAGACAAAATAAAAGTGAATGAACCTGGCTGTGTTCCAATAAAACTTTTGTTTATACAGCTGCAGGCAGATTTGGCTCGCTGACCGTAGGCATCTGACTGTGAAACACTATCCTCTCCTTTTTGTACTTATTTTATCCGACCCTTCTTAGAGGTATAGAGATGACTCCTAGTTGGAGACATCTCAGACTAAAAACTGACTACCTTATATTATAACTTCTACACAGTGCTCTAAGTGGTCCGATGATTGAGTTATATCAAATGCAGGGTTTCAGTTGCAACATTAATGAAATAGCCTGAGTAAACCTTTCGTGATGACAAGAGCCAGCCACCAATTATCTCATCCCTGGATTGACATTATTGTAAGCCACAAAGTACCAAGCTTTCCTTGTGCTTAAACTGTTGAGGAAAATGCTTGACTCTTTTTTTTTTTTTTTTTTGAGACAGAGTCTCCCTCTGTCACCTAGGCTGGAGTGCAGTGGCACGAACATGGCTCACTGAATCCTTGACCTCCTGGGTTCAGGTGAGCCTTTCACCTCAGCCTCCCAAGTAGGTGGAACTACAGGTGCAAGCCACCATACAGGCTAATTTAAAAAATTATTTCTAGATACGAGGTCTTACTATGTTGCCCAGGCTGGTTTTGAACTCCTGGGCTCAAGTGATCCTCCTGCCTCAGCCTCCCAAAGGGTGGGTTTGCAGGCATGAACCACCATGCCTGCCCAGCCAACTCTTTCTTTGTAACATTTTTATACAAATAAAAACAGCCATGCTATGGCACTTTTATCCATTAATTCTAGGTCAAGTGACATGCTGGGACTGGAAAGATGAAAATCACTGTGTCACCCTCAAAGGTTTGAGTAAGCAAGCAATTTAGATAGAACATCCCCTGTGTCACAATAAAGCCCTTTTCGCCAATCAGATTAGCAAAGACTAAAAAACAAACAAAAGACACAATCAATGCTTGTTAGGACATGATGAAAAGGGCACTTTGTAGATTTCTGATGTTAAATAAATTGCAACCCAGTCTGACTACATTAACTCTGTGCTGTTATGTTCATCCCAACTCTGTTTTCTTTGTCTTTTCTTTTTTTCTTTTTTTTGAGACAGGGTCTTCCTCTGCCATCCAGGCTGGAGTGCAGTGGCATAATCTTGGCTCACTGCAATCTCTGCCTCCTGGGCTCAAGCAATTCTCCTGCCTCACCCTCCTAAATAGCTGGGACTACAGGTGCACACCACCATGCCTGACTAATTTTTTAGTAGAGATGGGGTTTTGCCATGTTGTCCAGGCTGGTCTTGAACTCCTGAGCTCAGGTGAATCTGCCCGTCTTGGCCCTCCAAAGTGCAGGGATTACAGGCGTGAGCCACCATGCCTGGCCCCAACTCTGTTTTCTGCTCTGGCCCTCTGTGTCTTGCCTTGGGGGTATGGGTGGGTAGATGGGGGGGAGTTTCCTCTTTGTTCCCCACTGACTCTTTTTTTTTTTTTTTTTAAGGTTATCTATTTATTTAGAGATGGAGGTCTCAGTATGTTGCCCAGGCTGGTCTTGAACTTCCGGGCTCAAACAATCCTCCCACCTCAGCCTCCTGAGTAGCTAAGACCACTGGTGACCCAACTGATTCTTGGGGAAGGCAGCCCCAAGTGAGTTGACAACAAAAGTGCCTCCCTAGCCTGGGGCCAGTGAGACCCCAAATATCACCCCCCTCCCTTCGCTGGGTTTTTCCTGCCCATCTTTACCTGACCATTGGTCACTGGAGGAGCCTCTTAAACCTTCTAACCGGGAACTGCTCCTGCTATTGTATTTTCACCCACCTACACAATTACTGGACCACAGCATCTCCTACCACGCTCTCACTTCTCACATTGTCAGTACATCCATCCCCAGTCCTTGCCTGCCAAATTCCCCCATCTGTCATCAACACCCCCCCGCCATAGATTTTCTTTCCCCTTCCATCGACAAAAACCACTTTTCCCTTCTCCCAATGTTATTATGCTAGTATTGGTTAACACTGAGCTATTTTCATTTATTTGCTTCATTTGAAATTTTCAAATACATTCACGCTCCTTGTAAAAATTAAAGTAATTCAGAAGTACATGAAGTAAAAAGGTGAGAGTCCCTCCTTCGCTCAACTCATCTCAGTCCCCAGAAATAACCACTGATAGTAGTTTTGCTTTCCTGTTTCCAGAACTATTTTGCAAAATTCAATTTGGACTAATGGGGTTTTAGTGCTCATATGCATAATTTATAGAATATGGTGGATTAAGAAAATCACATCTCTGGGAATTGGGCTGATTCAATCGATCTGCATCTTATATGACTTTGCTGCATTTTGACATTGGCCAAACTAGCTTTTTTTTTTTTTTTTTTTGAGATGGAGTTTCACTCTGTTGCCCAGGCTGGAGTGCAGTGGTGCAATCTCAGCTCACTGAAGCCTCTGCCTCCCAGGTAGAAGCGATTCTCCTGCCTCAGCCTCCCGAGTAGCTGGGACTATAGGTGTGCACCATCACATCTGGATTTTATATATATATATATATATATATATATATTTGTATTTTTTAGTGGAGATGGGGTTTCACCACGTTGGCAAGGTTGGTCTTGAACTCCTGACCTCAAGTGATCTGGCTGCCTCGGCCTCCCAAAATGCTGGGATTATAGGCGTGAGCCACCGCCCCTGACCAAAGCCAAACTGTATTTTTTTTTTTTTTTTTTTGAGACAGAATCTCGCTCTGTCGCCTAAGCTGGCCAAACTGTTTTTGAGACTTGACTCCTTCTAGGCTTCCTGAGCACCATTCCCTGGCTGCTCTTTCTCATTTCCTTGGAGGCTTTCTCTTATCTGTTTCTCCCCTAAATGCTGGTATTCCTCAGGGCTCTGTTCTCATCACTCTTGGTGGATTAGGCACAGAGCAAATCATCCCTTCTTTAGACTTGCAAACTCACGTCTACTAGTGAAATATGTGTTGAGCAGGCAGTGCATGGTGGCTCGCGCCTGTAATCCCAACACTTTGGGAGGCTGAGGTGGGAGGATTGCTTGAGTCCAGGAGTTTGAGAGCAGCCTGGGCAACATCATGAGACTCTGTCTCTACAAAAAATTTAAAAAGTTAGCCAGGGGTGGTAGCACACACCTGTGGTCCCAGCTACTTGGGAGGCTGAGGCAGGAGGATCACTTGAGCATAGGAGGTAGAGACTGCAGTGAGCTATGATCGTGCCACTATACTCCAGCCTGGGCAGCAGAGCAAGACTCTGTCTCAAAAAAAACAAAATAAAACAAAACAACAACAACAAAAACAAACCCAAATCTCCAAAGCCAAACAAACAAAAATACTTTTTTTTAAAAATTTAATTTTATTTTTTATTATACTTTAAGTTTTAGGGTACATGTGCACATTGTGCAGGTTAGTTACATATGTATACATGTGCCATGCTGGTGCGCTGCACCCACTAACTCATCATCTAGCATTAGGTTTATCTCCCAATGCTATCCCTCCCCGCTCCCCCTACCCCACAATAGTCCCCAGAGTGTGATGTTCCCCTTCCTGTGTCCCTGTGATCTCACTGTTCAATTCCCACCTATGAGTGAGAATATGCGGTGTTTGGTTTTTTGTTCTTGCAGCCATAAAAAATGATGAGTTCATGTCCTTTGTAGGGACATGGATGAAACTGGAAATCATCATTCTCAGTAAACTATCGCAAGAACAAAAAACAAAAATACTTTTAAATGAGTGTTTTCTTTCACTTAACTTTATATCTGTGAAGTTCATGCATGTCATTGTGTGGAGTGTTTGTGCACTTTCACTGTTCTATGGTATTCCATTGTGTGAATAAATGACAATTAAAAAAACTCATTCTCCCGTTGAAGGATACTTGCATTGTTTCCAATGTTTGGCTTTTATAAACAATGCTGTCTGCAGAACTGTTTGGATAAGAGATTTTGTGATTGATGGGGAAGCGAGCAGATTTGCAGTGATGGAGCGATGGGGAAAAGGTGGTCCTGTGCAGAATCCACCTCACCTGGGGCACCCCCAGAACTGGTCACCTTGTGGGCACTAGGGGATGGTACCTCAAAACCAGCATAGGCATCCTCAAAAGAGACACTCTCAGCTGTGGCTAGTTTATGTGGCTTCCTGAACCTCAATCTGAAGCCAGAGAGAGAAAGAACTTGGCAATTTTTGTGTTTTTAGATTGCAGTGGAAAACTGGTGTGTGAGTGCATATGAGGTTGCTTTTTGAAAGTAGGAATGGGGTGCAGGTGGGAGGCTCAGAGGCATTGTAATTCAGGAATACGTGTAAATGTTCCATATATGAATCCACTGGAAACAATAATCCACAGGCCTGCTGACTAGTGGGGAAGGGTCTGGGCCACCTGGGGTGGGTGGGAATGTTTCTCACTGGGTCTGGCCTGAGCAGTGACAGGTTTTTGTTGGTGTTGCTGCAGTAGAAGGGCTTGCTTCTTTCCCATTGGCTAACTCTGAAGTAGCTGTTACTCACCAAAATGGTGTTGGAATGAGATACTCATGATCTGTGCAGATAAGCAATGACTAATGGTGCTTTTGCAAGTTCTGGAGTCCCTCCCTTGGGGAAGGAACTAGACTTGGAACCAGACTACGGGTTGGCAAAATTAAGCATAATTTCTTTCTGTACGTGCTCCACTTCAGCAGAGATCATCCCGGAAGTTTCCTAGTATCCTGACTTCACAGATCACATGATGTGATCAACATTGATTGAATACTTATTATGTATCAGGCACTGGTTGAAGCACCTTAATATACATTTAAAACTCAAACATCACTATGAGTGGGGCAATGTGTATCAGTTAGCTTTTGCTGTATAACAAACCTTCCCAAGTTTTAGTGTCTTAAAACAGCAGACATCATTTTATTTTTATTGAGATAGAGTCTTGCTCTGTTGCCCAGGCTGGAGTGCAGTGGTGTGAACATGGCTCACCGCAGCCTCAACCTCCTGCATTCAAGTGATCCTCCTGCTTCAGCCTCCTGAGTAGCTGGGACCACAAACCCGTGCCACCATGGCCAGATAATTGTTAAATTTTTGTAGATACAGCGTCCCACTATGTTTCCCAGGCTGTCTTGAACTCCTGGGCTCAAGTGATCTCCTGCCTCAGCCTCCCAAAGTGCTGGGCTTTCAGGCATGAGCCTCTGTGCCTGGCATTGTTTTATCTTTTATTGAATTTTTTTTTTTAAGAGACGGGGTCTTGCTATGTTGCCCTGGCTGGTCTTAAATTCCTGGGCCCAAGCGATCCTCCCTCCCCAGCTTCCTGAGTAGTTGAGACTATAAGCATAGCCACTGCAACTGACTAAGCAATAGACATTATTTCTCACAGTTCTGTGAATTTTCTGGGAGTTTATTCTGATTTGGGCTAGCTTGGCTGCAACTGAATGGCCTAGGATAGTCTCGCTCACGTATCTGGCAATTGCCTCAATGTCAGCTGGGGCGACAGCCATGTGTCTGTCAGTATCAGCCCACACTGGTTCACATGATGGTAGGAAAGTTCTCAGCAGCAAGAGAGTAAATCCTAATGTGCAAGAAGGCTTCCAGCCTCTGCTTGCATCACATTGGTTAATGTCCCATTGGTCAAAGCAAGTCACATGACTAAGACCAGATTATACATAGAGGTGACCTTCTCAAGATATGGATGTGGGGAGGGGGTGGATTATGGTAGTCATCTTATAAACAACCAGCTGCGTACTCTTATTATCCTCATTTTACTGATGATGGTTAGATAAGTTAAGAATCTTGTTACAGGTCACACAGCTGCTATAAGGTAGAGCTCAGCCTCAACTTTAGGTCTATATGGTGATGAAGCCTGTGCCTTAAGTCCTGTGCTATTTGTATTGCTTCCTTCCTCAGACCTGGACTGTTGTG
Organism: Homo sapiens; assembly: GCF_000001405.40. NCBI lineage: Eukaryota > Metazoa > Chordata > Mammalia > Primates > Hominidae > Homo > Homo sapiens. The sequence continues at coordinate 23,786,354 of NC_000016.10, forward strand.
TCTCAGCCCAGGGAAGAGGAGAGATGAGACACTTAACTAGCCTCCTCCAGGGACCACTGATCATAGAGCCTAGCCATTGCTTGTGCAGCCAGCTGGACTTAGCAACCCCTGCAATGCTGAAGAGAGTAATTCTCATGAATCTAACAATTCCGCCATTGCACTGGATTCTGTACCTTCAGATTAGTATTGGAGATCTATTACATAGACCGTAGGAAATAGATGGAAAGGATAAAGGATGGCAGCAGAAATAGGGCCCCACATTTGCTTCATGGGCAATCATCAAGCATCTACTGTGTCTGGGCTAGATTGTGGTTATTCAGGCAAAGTGCAGGAAGGGGAACAGTTGCTCTCTAAAGTACATTTTCAACAAGAGAACATGTTGACTGAGGGACATTAAAGACTGAGATGAAAGGCACTTAGATGCAGAAGCTGCAAGACAGTAAGACCTTGAGATTTGTAGGGAAGAGCAGAGGAGAGAAGACATTTCTTAATAATAACCAGCTGCTTTACCAGTGCTGGTGCAGACACTACCCCCTCTCACCAGGTGGTTATAGAAACTGCACCTTCTTCTATCCAATTTCAAGCCCACCATCTCTTAAATTTAAGGTCTCCAAAAGAACAGTTTTTGATGACACTGGGAAGAGGGTGAGCAGGCAGATTTGGGGTGGGAATTGAAGGAATCAAATCCCAAACTCCATTTTAGATTTGCAATCAAGCTGAAACTCTCAGCACCCCCAGAGTATGCCTTTAAAAGGAAAAAAAAAAGGCTATTTGTAAGAAAAAAAGACCAAGGTTTGCATCTGAATGGAGTGCCAATCAGCACTCATTAGTGGGAACACAATGCGGCCCCATTAGCACGAAAGGAGCTTTGGCAATTGCTCATTAGCTTTGTAGATTCAAATAATTATTTTAAGGGATGCTTCGGTGTTTGATGAGATCCAGCAGTGTCAATGATATGCCACTTTTCTCCCCAAAGAAAGGGAATGTTCCCAGGAGTAATTGTACTCTCTTATCCCCCTCCCTTCTCACTCACACCTCAATGCTTCTCTATATACTCCCGGGGGTACAGGATCTCAACAAAGGGCTGAAGGTGGATAGAAACTTCTCCATCAAGATATTACTCACAGGAAAACTGTGGTCCCGAGAGTACAGGAACACAAAAGTAGTTATCTGAAGAGCTGGGAGAATCTGTTTATTACACGCACTCCCTTCTTCCATTGACAGGAGGGAATCTCGATGAGCTGGGGGAAGAATAGAAACATGCAATAGGGTCTTGAGTACATACTCAAGAGAGAGGAGTGTGGGCATACCAAGGGAAGGAATATTCATGAAAATTCCTGGAAAAAGCTGGAGATTTCTCAGAATTATGGTGCCACCAATTTTTACATCAATATGGGTGCTCCTGGAACTGTCCTGGCACTGGTGGGTTTGTGATTAAGAATGTTAATGAGTATATAGGCTGGGTGCAGTGGCTCATTCTTGTAATCCCAGCACTTTGGGAGGCCGGGGCAGATCACCTGAGGTCAGGAGTTCAAGACCAGCCTGACCAACATGGTGAAACCCTGTCTCTACTAGAAATACAAAAATTAGCCAGGTGTGAATGTGGGCACCTGTAATCCCAGCTACTTGGGAGGCTGAGGCAGGAGAATTGCTTGAACCCAGGAAGCAGAGGCTGCAGTAAGCTGAGATCACGCCATTGCACTCCAGCCTGAGTGACAAGAGTGAAACTCCATCTCAAAACAACAACAAAACAAACAAACAAACAAAAACATAAGGTTCTAGGTGAAACCTAGGTCAAATCCAGTGCCAATTAAGTTCAATTGGTCTTAGCCAGCATGGTCCACACCCTGGTTTTTCAGGGTTTTATCAGACCCTAGCTTCTGCAGCTATTTCAACATCTGCCTTTTGCCTAGCCATGTGAAAGTGCTGCCTGGAATTTTCTGTTCTCCTGTGACCACCCTGTATTATTCCTGTCTCACTTTGATGAAAATTTCAAAGATCAGAACTCTGTCCAAGGGGCTGGAAAATTGGGGTGGGCACAACTTTTTTTTTTTTTTGGCTGGAAGGAACATTCTGGAGGATAAGGTGGGTCACAGGGGACCTATGAAGGGGAACTTCTTAGGCCTAATTCTGCTGTAGGCATTAAGGGAGTGCTCCTAGAGCAGTGCTTGACACAGGGTAAGAGCTCAATAAGACAATGGTTAAAAGCCCAGGTGTTAAAATAGATGGATTTAGGCTCAAGTTCCATCATTCTCAGAGATCTGCCCTTTCACCAAACTTCTAGGGTGATTCTTATGCACATTATTGTTTGAGAACTGCTGAGACAGACAGTACTATTTCTGATAATTAATGCTGGTCCTCTGGAGCTTGTATTTGGGGAGGAAGAAGGATGAATCCCACTGTGAGGTCCACTTCTGTGGTTAGAATGTGGCAAAAACTTGGTTTCCTCTTCCTCTTTCCCAATAAAACCTCCATTTATTTTTTGCTGTCTACTGTCCTCCACGTGGTCATGTTCTTTACAGGAAGCGGTCTCTGACCTCAAGAAGTTAATAGTAATTGGTCTAAACCAACCATGTTTTCCTATTTCCCTTGCTTAGTGATAGGCTCAGCATGGGCACATGAAATAATTCTGGTCAATGAGACACGAGTGGGGAGTGTATTGGAGTTTCTGGCAAAGGTCTTCCTTAATGATTGAAAGGAGATTGATTGAAAGAGGGAAGAAACAGCCCCTTTATGAAAGAGGGAAGAAACAGCCCCTTTACTGTCTCTGGTTATTTGAGAACATGCTGGCTGGAGCTTGGGCAGCCATCTTGTGCCCATGACGGGGGCTGATTTAGGTCAAGGATAACAGTGGAAATCCACAAAGAAGTGGGCCTTTACTAATGTAATTGAGCTGTCAAATCAATCAACCATGAAGCTTCCCCATTTTATTATGTGAGATAATAACATTTCTTCAGTGTGTAAGGTCAGATCAGTTGCAGGCTCTGTTTCTTGCTCTGAAAGTTTTCCAGAGAGGAGGGATGGAGATGTATACTGAGAAGGCCTGAAGAAGGAGGGACTGAATAGAGGGAGAAGCCTGAGAATGGCTAGGAACTGGAGTGCATCTTTAAGGAGAGGCCCTATGAGTGGCCCAGACTTTACTGCAGCACAGTGGCTAAAATCAAGGACTTTAGAATCAGAATGTCTTGGTTCAAATTCTACCTCCACCACTTACTAGTTATATCACCTTGGGTAAATTACTTAACCTCAGTTTCATTGTTTGTAAAACAGGATCATGGTGGTATTAACCTCACAGGGTTTAAGAAGGTGAGTAGGGCTGGGCACAGTGGCTCACCCCTGTAATCCTAGCAGTTTGGGAGGCCAAGGCAGGTGGATCACTTGAGCTCAGGAGTTTAAGACCAGCCTGGACAACATGGTGAAACCCCATCTCTGCAAAAAAATACAAAAAATTAGCCAGGCATGGTGGCACATGCCTATAGTCCCAGCTACTTGGGAGGCTGAGGTGGGAGGATGGCTTGAGCCCAGGAGGCGGAGGTTGCAGGGAACAGGGATCACACCACTGCACTCCAGCCTGGGTGACACAGCCAGACCCTGTCTCAAGAAAAAAATAAAAAATAAAAAAAGATTAGTTAATAATGTAAAGTACCTAGTGTAGTGTGATCTGAGAGACCTATGTGTAATGTGCTCAGAGACTGAAACAGACACCCCTTTATCAACTAAGACAAGCCCAAGGTTAAGGAAACAAAAGTTACCTACCTAAGGTCAAGGGTTCAGGTCCTGGCAGGCATGGCAAATTTCTAAATTCCTATAGCTATAAGAAAAACCAGCTGGGCGCTGTGGCTCATGCCTGTAATCCCAGCACTTTGGCATACCTAGGAGGGCAGATTGCTTGAGTCCAGGAGTTTGAGACCAGCCTCGGCAACATGGCAAAATCTCATTTCTACAAAAAATGCAAAAATTAGTTGGATGTGGGCATACCTGTATGCCCAGCTACTCAGGAGGCTGTGAGAGGATTGCTTAAGCCTGGGAGGTGGAGGCTGCAGTGAGCCATGATTGCACCACTGCTCTCCAGCCTGGGTGACAGAGCGAGACCCTGTCTCAAAAAAGAAAAAGAAAAAGAAAAAAGTAAAATCACAGCCTTGCTAAACTCCCTAACCATAGGAGCTATATCAGGTGAATTTACGGCCCAGACCGCTACAACTCTGGACAGGGACCAGCCTTATAAACATTGTTTTCTTATATGGAACTGCAGACCTTAAGCCAGTTTCAGCGGCTTATAGAGGCTGCACACAAGCTTTCTTTGTGTCCTGTAGGTCACCTTTTGACGTAACGAGTCAAATTCCACCTCATTTTAATGCTAAAACCTGCCCCGAAGTGAACATGGGATGTATGCTACGTCCCGTGTGTGTGTGATTAAGAATGTTAAAAAGCATATAGGCTGGGTGCAGTGCCTCATGCCACTGCAGATTCCCCTTCCTGCACTTTGCCTGAATAACCAGAATCTACCCGAGACACAGTAGGTGCTTAATGATTGCCCATGAAGCAAATGTGGGGCCCTATTTCTGCTGCCAATGTTTACCCATTGCTCATGCATTTGGCTCCTCTCATAAATATGTATAGCGTTCTCCCAAACCTGCTGAATATGCATGACTATTGTATAATAAGACCTTGTGTGACACAAAACCCAACCTGCCCTTTCTCTCTTCAAAGCTAAGTGTGGTGGCTTATGCCTGTAATCCCAGTACTTTGGGAGGCTGAGGTAGCCAGATTGCTTGAGCCCAGGAGTTTGAGACCAGCCTGGGCAACATGGTGAAACCTTGTCTCTGCAAAGAAAATACAAAAATTAGCCAGGTGTGGTGGGGGCATGCCTGTAGCTCACTGTAGCCTCGAATTCCTGGACTCAAGTGATCCTCCTGCCTCAGCCTCCTGAGTAGCTAGGACTGTGATGTGTGCTACCATACTTGACTATTTTTTTTTTCTTTTTGTACAGATGAGGGTCTTTGTGTATTTCCCAGGCTGGTCTTAAACTCCTGTCCTCAAGTGATCCTCGGCCTCCCAAAGTGCTGGGATTACAGGTATAGGCCAGCATGCCCAGCCTAACCCATTTTAGACAACCAATAAGTTTTATTTTTTATTTTTAAATTTTATTTTTGGAGACAGAGTCTTGCTCTGTTGCCCAGGCTGGAATGTAGTGGCGTGATCATGGCTCACTATAGACTCCACCTCTTGGGCTCAAGCAATCCTCTTGCCTCAGCCTGCCAAGCAGCTGGGACTACAGGCACATGCCACCACACCTGGCTAATTTTTTTTCTTATTTTTATAGAGACGAGGTCTCACTATGTTTTCCAGGCTTTTATCGAACTCCTGGGTTCAAGTGATTCTCCTGCCTTGGCCTCCCAAATTGCTGGGATTATAGGTGTGAGCCGCCATGTCCAGCCCTAATAAATTTTAATAGCCAGCTCCACTTCTCTAGGAGAATGTCTCTTTGCCCATTGCTGGACATTTCAGCCTGTACAGTGTGCCCCTTGGTCTGAAGAAATGACAGTTAGCTGCCCAAATCCATGTACTATTTTTGATCCTGTTTTTTAATGGCATCGTGAATAGTTGCATCTTCCATTGGGTAAGCAAGGCCCAGTGCAGAGTCAGTGTCTATTATTGTCAAGACCCACTTGTGGTCCCCCAGGGCTACCAGTGTCGGTCTCACTTGCCAGCTACGTTCAGGGCCTTCCCACCAAGGAATCTTTTCCATAGCCCTCAGCAGCTTCTGTCTCTCTTGCTGACAAACAGAACAGTCTCACTGGCATTTTGTACCTCAGAGGGCACAAGAAGAACCTGTCTAGATTCAGCCCGTCTCTGCACTGCTGCAGGGCCCTGTCTCATAGACCCAGCTGGCCCCCACAAGGGAGCAAATGGGGATATCTGCTTGTCGATTCCAATCACCTTCCAAACCCGGAAGGAGGTTCTTCTGATGGGCAGCCCATGTCTTACTTTAATGTACTCTCACACTTCCATAGGGCTGTCCCCTATAAGGGCATCTCTTTAATAGGCCAGGTTTCCATGCCCTCCTGCCTGAGTATGGTTAGGTCTCTGACCACTGCCCATGAGTTAGTAAAAACCCAAACACAAAGACTTTTTATTACTGTTCAATCTTTCCATCACTGCTAGGAAACCACCATGCAATTCAGCCCACTGAGCTGATTTGCTTTTACTGTCTTTGATCAGAGTGGCATCTTTCCAAATAAGATGTTGTCTATTCATCTTGGAACTTGGAACTGTCACCCATACTCCATGCAGTTTTTTTGTTTGTTTGTTTGTTTGTTTTGAGACAGGGTCTCACTCTGTCACCCAGGCACCCAGGCTGGAGTGCAGTGGCATGAACACGGCTCATTGCAGCCTTGAACTCCTGGGCTCAAGCGATCCTCCCACCTCAGCCTTCTGAGTAGCTGGGACCACAGGCATGCACTTGGCTAATTTTTAAATTGTTTGTAGAGAGGAGGTCTTACCATGTTGCCCAGGCTGGTCTCCAACTCCTGGGCTCAAGCGATCTTCCTGCTTCAGCCTCCCAAAGTGTTGGGATTACCAGCGTGAGCCACCATGCCCAGCCCCAACCAGCTGTTATTTGAGAACTGTTTGTAGGGCACTATCCAAGTGACAATAGAATCCAGCAACGCCTCCCACAATTCCAAAGTCTATCTGAGGGGAAAAGAGGCTCTCTGCGTGTATTTCTTCCTCGCATTCCCCAGGTAGAATGATCCGCTAAACCATTTCCATTTCATCATGGATCTCTGCTGCACAGTGTCACACTCATTACAGTGTTTCTCTGATGTCACTCCAGTCATCGAGGGTGTTTTCCACCTTCCTGGGATGAATCCTTTGACTTTCTTGTCTGCATTTCCCCATTCTCTTATTAATTAATCTGATTTTTGTTATTGTTGTTGTTGAGACTGAGTCTCTCTCTGTCACCCAGCCTGGAGTGCAGTGTGATCTCAGCTGACTGCAACCTCTGCCTCCCAGGTTCAAGCGATTTTCCTGCATCAGCCTCCTGAGTAGTGGGACTACAGGCATGTGCCACCAAGCCCTGCTAAGTTTTCTTTGTATTTTTAGTAGAGACGGGGTTTCACCATGTTGGCCAGGCTGGTCTTGAACTCCTGACCTCAAATGATTTGCCCACCTAGGCCTCCCAAAGTGCTGGGATTACAGGCATAAGCCACCGTGACTGGCCCAGAAAACATGATAAGGCTTCTTGAACTACCTTTTGATTTTGCAGCAGCAAGGTTATACGGGGCATCCACATTACAGGGGTGCCCTTAACCACAGCATTTACTATGACCTTGGCAATGAGCACATTCAGCTGGTGAATATCGCGATTCTCATAAAGCCAGGCCCACATGACTTGCATATGAAACACATCAGCTGCTTCTTCCGAGATGCACTACTGGATATTTATAGGAGGAGACAGAGTCCCCCTTCTCAGGGAGAACAGATCTTACAGTGGCTTTTTTTTTTCTTTTTGAGATAGGGTCTCACTCTGTCACCAAAGCTGGTTGCAGTGGCGTGATCTTGGCATACTGTAACCTCCGCCTCCTAGGCTCAAGTGATCCTTGCACTTCAGCCTCCCAAATAGCTTGGACTTCAGGTGCACACTACCATGCCTGGTTAATTTTCTTTTTCTTTTGGAAGGGATGGAGTCTGGCCACGTTGCCCAGGCTGGTCTCAAACTCCTGATCTCAAGCAATCCACCCACCTCTGCCTCCCGAAGTGCTGGGAGTACAGGCATGAGGCACAATATCCAGCCTATAGTGGCTTTTATCCAGTCCACCAGGCTGGCTGTTCTCTTGGGAATAACCACCTGTGTGTCTGCCTCCCATATAACCATTTGTGATTATTTTGTAGTGAGCTGTGGGTCAACCCAAACGTGCTCTTTCACTGTAGTATTTAAAACTAAAGACATAGGCCGGGTGCGGTGGCTCATGTCTGTAATCCCAGCACTTTGGGATGGTGAGGTGGGTGGATCACTTGAGGCCAGGACCAGCCTGGCCAACATGGCAAAACCCTGTCTCTACTAAAAATGCAAAAATTACCCGGGCGTGGTGGTGGGCGCCTGTAAACTCAGCTACTTGGAAGGCTGAGGCACGGGAATCGTTTGATCCAGGAGGTAGAGGTGGCAGTGAGCTGAGATCGTGCCACTGTACTCTAAGTATTCTAAGGATTTTAAGAGTTGTATGCCAGGAAATGAGGTCCAAAACCAAATATAATTTTACAATATCACAAGTTGTTTCCAATGGTTGCTTATTAAGAGTAGAGCTGTGATAAACATTCATGTAGAGGTTTTTGTATGAATATAAATTTTTATTTCTCTGGGATGAATATTCAAGAGTGCAATTGCTAGGTTATATAGTAGTTGCATGTTCAGTTTGCATAGATTATGACAATGAGACAGCGAGAGAAGTCTAATGTGGCTGACTCCATCCTCACAGCCTGGATGTCTTTGCCCATTCCTGGGCATAGGCCAAGCTAACCATGGGAGGAGTTTAATTTACAGTTTAACCTTGAAGCAAGGATGGGAATAGTCTTACCTTGAAATGGATCCTTTCCTTGTGCAGGGGCTGAAACTGTCTTTGTAAGATTAATAAAAGACCACAAGATTAGGATTATGGAAGGGGCATAAATTTTAAAATGTAGATATAGTTTTTATAATCCTTTTACTGCTCTGGTATCATGTAACCAGAGGTCACGAGATTTGAGACTTTGCTAATTGCTCCTGTAGATGACAACACTATTTGTAGAATCAATCTAAGGTTGATCTTTTTTTTTTTCTTTTGGGACAGAGTCTCACTGCGTCACCCAGGCTGGAGTGCAGTGGTGCAATCTTGGCTCACTGCAACCTCTGCCTCCCAAGCTCAAGCAATTCTCATGCTTCAGCCTCCCAAGTAGCTGGGACAATAGGCATGTGCCACTGCACCCAGCTATTTTTTGTTTTTGTTTTTGTTTTTAGTAGAGATGGGGTTTCACCATGTTGGTCAGGAAGGTCTTGAACTCCCAGCCTCAAGTGATCAGCCTGCCTCAGCCTTCCAAAATGCTGGAATTACAGGCATGAGCCACTGCATCTGGCCAAGATTGATCTTTTGAGATGTTTTTCAGGCTTTTACATTCTGAGTAAAGAATGGATTGACTCCCACTGAACCCATGACTCATGATTCAATCAGTCCCGTGACCTCCACCCAGAGGCAGACTCAGTGCACGAGGGCCATTTTCCGCACACCTGTGATTGCATTTCCAATCCATCAACAGGACCCATTCCCTAATCCCCCACCCACCAATCTATCCTTGAAAAACCCTAACCTCCGAGCCTTTGGAGAGAATGATTTGAGTGATAACTCCAGTTCTCCCACGTGGCCGGCCTCACATTAATTAAACCCTTTCTTTACTGCAATTTCTTTACTGCAATATCACAGTCTCAGTGAACTGGTTTTGTTTGTGTAGTGCACAGGAAGAACCCAACAGATAATTATGCATGGATACCAAAATTGGGGGATCTCCATTACTTCTGGGCGAGAGGGGGATTTCTTGCTCCCCACTAGGCCTCCATGGATACCTTCCTAGAAAGGGCAGGAATGGCTCCATACTGCTTCCCACATGGCTTTTACTGACATCATGGACCAGGGGTGGGGTGGGGAGATAGGAGAATAGAGGGTTGGGGGGATAGGAAGTTGGGGGATGGGGGGGTTTCTTCTCATGACTGCTGGGAGGCCATAAAAATCCTAACTTTCCACTAGACCTACTATGACCCCACCCAGCAGAGAGGGAGACCTTGCTACTGACTTGTGGAGATAAAAGGCCCAGTTCCCTACCTGCCCTTCTCTGACACCACTTCTAGACATCTCATTACAGCCTAGGGAGTGTGGAATTCTAGACTATTCACTCAGCTTTGCTGCATGGCTGTGGGTGCATTCAGTTTTTTTTTTTTTTTCCTCCCCTGTGGCATTTCCTGGAGAAGAGTTATTATCATTTAAAAGTTTTCTGTCTTGCTAGGCTGCCTCTGCCTGCTCCCTTAGCTACAGAGAACACTTTTGGAAGAGCATATTTATCTGCACCTCTTGGCATTTCTGGGTTGCTGGCTTCTCCAGCTCCAAGTCTAGGCTATATCAGGCAAAAAGAAAACCCAGAGAACTCAACAATATGTCATTCCTTGAGTCCCGAGGTTCTTAACTGGCCTCTCTTCTCTCTGCCTCTCAGAGCCTTTTTTTTTTTTTTGAGCGAGGGTCTCACTCTTGTTACCCAGATTGTAGTGCAGTGGCATGATCACAGCTCACTGCAGCCTCCTCCTCCTGGGCTCAGGTAATCCTCCCACCTCAGCCTCCAGAGTAGCTGGGACTACAGGCGAGTGCCATCACTCCTGACTAATTTTTGTATTTTTTTCTCTGTAGAGACAGGGTCTCATTATATTGCCCAGGCTGGTCTCAAACTCCTGAGCTCAAATGATCCTCCCCCCTTGGCTTCCCTAAGTGCTGGGATTACAGGCATGAGCCACCATGCCTGGCTGACTTTTTTCTTCGGGAATTGTAATGTGCCCAGCTGTCAAGAATGGATCATGACTTGTGTAGGCCAACCATTGCTATCCTATTCCCCTTTGCCAGATACTCATGTTCTCAGCCTCCCTTGCACCTAAGGGTGGCCGTGTGACCCAGTTCTAACAAATGATATGCAAAAGAAGATCTTTCTGGAGCCTTCTATGAGTATTTTTGCATTTTCATTGTCTTCTTTCCTGCTGGGGACAAAAGAGAGAGGGCATGAAGGCTGGAGGTGCAGCAGCTATCTTGTGACCTTGAGGTGATAAGCCTAAGAGAAAGGCCAGGTGAATGGTTACAGATGAGCTCCCAGAGACTGCAGCCATGCATAAGCTCCTGATTAGACTCATTACCTAGCTCCAGGTTCTCACTGAGAAAACCAGAAATGTCTTCACAGTCTAAATCTTCGCTGGTTGGGGTTCTTTTTTTGGTTGTTGTTACTTGCAACCAGACATATTTTGATTGATTCAGGGAGGGAGGAGTTTATGATGCAGGGAAATAGCTGCTAATAAATTAATTACAGAGTGGATGTAACACAAACTGATGTTTCTCAAGTATTTCAAAGGAAGATGATTCTTGAAAGGGAAGGAGGGAAGCTGGAACTAGGGTTTTGGATCATAAACACTGAATAAATTATATGTTTTCACAATAATAGACGTGAGCCAGCAATCCAGGGTGGGAAGGGAGATTGGAGTGAAAGAAGCCACTTGAGTTCTCTCTGGCCTTAAGGGCCTGGAACTGGGAGTTATTTCTAGTGAAAGCTCCCATTTGAGAGGGCCCTGAGGAGCTACCCCTGGGAGAACTCTGTCTTAGCAGCAGTCACAAGAGATGCAAAAATGTGGTCAGGGGCTAAAGAAAGATGGACGCTCTTCAGGATTCAGTAAACTACCGAGGGAAGCAAAGGATGCTTCTTGATTTCCAACAATAAGGACGTTTTTGATCTCAAATAATAACTCAAGAAGTAGACAGCTATGGGTTAGTTTGGAGAATACCTAGATCACCAGGAACATCAAGGTTGTGTGACCAGTTGCCTGCCATCCACATGGAAAATCCAGCTTGGGAAATGGACTCTGTCTCTCAGTCTCTCACATTCACTCAATACAAGTGCTCCTGGGTCAAAGAAAGAAAAGAGGCTCTGGAACATGGCTGGGCGCAGTGGCTCACGCATGTAGTCCCAGCATTTTGGGAGGCCGAGGCAGGTGGGTCATTTGAGGACAGGAGTTCGAGACTAGCCTGACCAACATGGTGAAACCCTGTCTCTATTAAAAATACAAAAAATTGGTAAGACGTGGTGGCACATGCCTGTAGTCCCAGCTACTTGGGAGGCTGAGGCAGGAGAATCGCTGGAACCCGAGATGTGGAGGTTGCAGTGAGCCAAGAGAGTGGGTGCCATTGCACTCCAGCCTGGGCGACAGAGTGAGACTCTGTCTAAAAAAAAGAGAGACACTCTGGAACATTCTGGAAAGGGGATATTTAAAAGATTATTATTATTTTAGAGACAGGGCCTTGGTCTGTCTTCCAGGCTGGAGTGCAATCATAGCTTACTGCAGCCTTGAACTCTTGGGTTCAAGCAATTCTCAACCTTCCAAGTAACTGTGACTACAGATGTACCCCATCACAGTGGATTAATTTTTTTTTTTTTTTTTTTTTTGGGTAGAGACAGGGTCTTGCTGTGTTGCTTAGGCTGGTCTTGAACTCCTGAGTTCAAGCAATTCTCCTGCCTCAGTTTCCCGAAGTGTTGGTATTACAGGTGTGAGCCACTGTGTGTGACCTTAACAGTTTAAAATAGAGTTGGAAGAACTAGAGGAAAGAAGGAAATGTTGGGAAAGGTGTAGTGGCTCGAGGGATGATCCTTGCAGATTTGAAAACGTTGCTTCTCAGAAGTGATATCTCTGGAAATGAGGATTTCTGTAAAGTGGGAGGGTAATTGTTCACCAGGATACGAAATATTTCTAAAGGGGAAATAATGTCACATTTAATCTTTTTTTCCTTCCAATAATAATTTTCTCTCATTGTAAAAGTAGGGCATGTCCTTAAAGAAAATGTAGAAAGTACAAGTACAAGAAAAAAAAGAAGAAAAATAAATCGCTCATATTTCTGCTACACTAACAAAGCCGCTTCCTTTATTGATTATGTTTATTTTACATTATTTTTAAAGCCATAGGCTGGGTGCCATGGCTCAAGCCTGTAATCCCAGTTCTTTGGGGGGTTGAGGTGGGCAGATCACTTGAGGCTGGGAGTTCAAGACCAGCCTGGCCACCATAGTGAAACCCATCTCTGCTGAAAATACAAATATTAGCTGGGTGTGGTGGCACATGCCTGTAATCCCAGCTACTCAGGAGGCTGAGGCAGGAGAATCGCTTGAACCCAGAAGGTGGAGGTTGCAGTGAGCCGAGATCGTGCCATTGCACTCCAGCCTGGGCAACAGGAATAAAAAATGAAAAACAAAAACAAAAACAAACCATGCTACAAAGCTTGATATTTTGTGTTCTGTTTTCTTTTTACTTTCCCATTTCCATTATATTGTGAACAGTTTTGCTTATTATTATTACAGACTTTTGGCCAATATCATTTTTAATGCCGCTTACTAATATATGAAGTGCATGTACTATAATTTCCTGAATAAATCTTTTCCATTAGTTGGACAATTAGGTTGTTTCCAGTTTCTCTCTACTAAAATTGATGTTTCAGTGAAAATTGCCATGAGAATGCCCACCGTCACCACTCACCAAGCACTTATTGTGCTGCGTGGCTTCCATTCCACATTTATTTCATCCTCACAACAACCCAATGAGGCAGACGTTATTGTGGTTTATTTCCTTTTCTTTTTATTAAATTATGAAAATAAAATGTGTCTCTGTAAAAGCAATTCAAGCAGAACCAAAGGGGCCTAAGGGGAAAGACCAAGCCCTTCCTCCCCTTTCCCTCCAATCTCACCGCTGCAATTCCCCAGAGATAACACTCATACATTTCTTGTATACCCTTCCAGAAATTTTTTGTCCATATCCAAACACATTGGGAAATGGACTCTGTACTGGCATTTCATGGCATGTATTTTACTCTGAAACTTCCTATTAGTCTGAGTGACATATCTCAAATGTCTTTTTTTTTTTTTTTTTTTTTTTTTTGAGACGGAGTCTCGTTCTGTCTTCCAGGCTGGAGTGCAGTGGTGCAATCTTGGCTCACTGCAACCTCCGCCTCCTGGGCTCAAGCGGTTCTCATGCCTCAGCCTCCCAAGTAGCTGGGACTACAGGTGTGTACCACGGCACCCTGCTAATTTTTGTATTTTTAGTAGAGACTGGCTTTTGCCATGTTGACCAGGCTGGTCTCAAACTCCTGACCTCATGATCTGCCTGCATTGGCCTCCCAAAGTGCTGGGATTACAGGTATGAGCCACCGTGCCTGGCCTCAAATGTCTTTCTATGTCAGAAAATTTCAATCCTATGAGCTGGCTATAATTATTTTCATTTTACACTTGACTAAATGAAGGCTTAGGAGGTGAAAGACTATGCTGTTGAATTGCATTGTGTGCCCAGAAAAAGATATGTTGATGTCCTTCTTATCCTCCAGTACCCCAGATGTGAGCTTAATTTGGAAATAGAGTCATTGAGGTAATTAGTTAAGATGAGGCTGTACAGGAGTAAGGTGGGCCATAATCCAATACAACTGGTGTGCTTATAAAAAGGGGCGATGTGGACACAAAATAGACAGGCATAGGAGGAAGATGTCATAAGAGACACAGAAAGAAGGCCATGTGAAGATGGAAGATTGGAGTGATACATCTGCAGCCATGGAGAGATTGCTGGAAACCACCAGAAACTGGGAAGAAGCAAAGGAGTCCCCTGCAGGTTTCAGAGAAGGCATGGCCTGGCCGACACCTTGATTTCAGATTTCTTGCCTCCAAAACTGAAACATACTTTATTATTTATTTATTTATTTATTTTGTAGAGATAGGGTCTTGCTATGTTGCCCAGGCTGGTCTTGAATTCCTGGGCTCAAGTGATCCTCCTGCCTCCAATTCCCAAAGCACTGGGATTACAGGTGTGAGCCACTGTGCCTAGCTCTTTTTTTTTTTTTTGAAATGGGGTCTCCCTCTGTCGCCCAGGCTGGAGTGCAGTGGTGCAATCTCAGCCCACTGCCACCTCTGCCTCCTGGGCTCAAGCGATTCTCCTGCCTCAGCCTCTCAAGTAGCTGAGATTCCAGGTGCCCTCCACGACGCCTGGCTAATTTTTGTATTTTTAGTAGAGATCAAGTTTCTCCACATTGGCCAGGCTGGTTTTGAACTCCCGATCTCAAGTGATTGGCCTGCTTTGGCCTCCCAAAGTACTGGGATTACAGGCGTGAACCACAGCGACCGACTGGCTCAGCTCATTTTTTAAAAACCACCCAGTTTGTGTGACTTTGTTAAGGCAGCCCTAAGAAACCCAAACACATGTCAAAGTTTCAAAACTCGTAGGTAGCAGAGCTGGAATTTGAACTCAGGTAGGTGTGACCCTAAGGCCAATGCATTTAAACGAACAGGATCTATCTATTTTCTTTTTTGAGCGAACCCCTGTATATAGTGCTTAGCCTGTGCCAGGCTCTAGGCTAAGCATTGGCATGTATCTCTCTGAAACTGGCATTTCGCCTTCTGGGCAGTGCAGTAATTTCCTCCTTGAGGTTGTCTGGTGGCTTCCACCAGGGGGCAGACCTGGGCTTTCGTGCACAGGCAGGAAAATAACACACAAGGCAGGAGGTGGACTTTTCCCTTCCCTTCCCTTCCCTTCCCTTCCCTTCCCTTCCCTTCCCTTCCCTCCCCTCCCCTCCCCTCCCCTCCCCTCCCCTCCCCTCCCCTCCCGTCTTCCCTCCCCTCCCCTCCCCCCCCCTTCCCTTCCCTTCCCTTCTTTCCTTCTTTCCTTTCTCTCTTTCTCTCTTTCTATCTTTCTTTCTTTCTTTCTGACGGAGTCTTGCTCTGTCCCCCAGGCTAGAGTGCAGTGGCGCTATCTTGGCTCACTGCAACCTCGGTCTCCTGGGTTAAAGCGATTCTCCTGCCTCAGCCTCCCAAGCAGCTGGGATTACAGGCGTCTGCCACCACACGTGGCTAATTTTTGTCTTTTTAGTAGAGACGGGATTTCACCATGTTGGCCAGGCTGGTCTCGAACTCCTGACCTCATGATCCACCCACCTCGGCCTCCCAAAGTGTTGGGATTACAGGTGTGAGCCACTGTGCCTGGCCAGGAGGTGGACTTTCTGGCAGTTCCCTCTGTAGAGATTGTCTGTAGGTTTGGTCTACCAAAGCAAAGACCACATTAAAAACAAAAAAACAAAAAACAAAAAACAAAAAAAAAAAAAAAAAAAAAAGAGAGAGAGAGAGGATCGACCCAGACGATTGAGTGCAAATAAACTTCCATGTTTTCTGAGGGAGAGAGAGCCAAACACCAGGGGTACAGGCAGTCTGATTTCCAGAGAGGGACTCTGTCATGGATGTGATGGGAGATGTGTTATCTGCTTTTTCTCCAAACAGATCCTGAACCCATTCTCACTCAGCAAGCTTCTGATGAAAAAACAACGAACATTTGTGTCATAGGCACAATTCTAGAGATGGTCATCCAATAATTAATCTTGCCGGGTGCGGTGGTTCAAGCCTGTAACCCCAGCACTTTGGGAAGCCAAGGCAGGAGGATCTCTTGAGTCCAAGAGTTTGAGACCAGCCTGGGTAACATAGAAAGACCCTGTCTCTAAAAAAAAAAAAAAAAAAAATTAAAAAATTAGCCAGACATGGTGGTGCACGCCTGTAGTCTCGGCTACTTGGGAGGCTGAATTGGGAGGATCACTCGAGTCCTGTAGTTTGAGGCTGCAGTGAGCTATGATCATGCCACTGCCCTCCAGCCTGGGCAACAAAGCCAGACCTTGTCTCTAAAAAACAAATAAAAAATTAATCTGCCTTTTTGTGCAATGGTCTCAGCAGCAGCAGCCGTATCTATACCACATGACCTTATACCCCTAGCTGAAGCAGAGCTTAGGGTTTTGACATGAGAGATGTAAAAGTGGCCCCTTAGGAGGAAGTTTGCACATTCCTGCTGCTGAGTTTCTGCAGCTGCCCTGGTTGCTGGCCCTGCTAAGCCCTGGTTGTTCAGCCCTTCCTTGGATTCTGTTAATATACCCAGTATCCATCCCATAATCTTTCTTTTTACAATGCCTTTTAAGCCAGTCGTAGTTAGTTTCTATTACTTGCAAAAGCACAAAACAAAAAAAACCCTGAATTTATATGAATAAGAATAGAAAAAATAAATGATTAAGTATATTATTTAAAGCCATGCAGGCAATTAAAAAGTTATAAATAATAAAGTCATTAGAACAACCAGCACCCAGAAAAGAGGTGGAGGTTCTCAATAAATATTTATTCAGTGACCGCAGGAATTTACCCACAATAATATCAAACAAAACTGATGTAGAAACAAGGGAAAAGGGGATAATAAGGCTGAACTAAATTTCGCTCTTTTCAATGGAGACAATATGGTTTTAAGTTGATCAATCAAAACACAGAAGCACAATCATATTATTTAGAATTATAGTGTGAACGCCAGAGTTAAAACAAGAAAACGTTTTCTGAGGAGTGGGAGAGTGTTTTTCTGTCTCCTTCTAAACATCTCCTTCTAAACTCTCAACCCTTTAATAATTTGGCAGAGGGTTCTAAGCTTGTTTGGAAACCCAGGCTGCGAGGGAGTAGGACTGAAATCCAGAACTCGCCCGGGTCACCGGCACGAGGCACATCCTCCCAGAAGGGGGTGCTGCTTTCTGATGTGCACAGAGGTGCTCACAGGCCAGACTCCACCTCCTGTTTGCCAGTCCCATAGGAGACAATGGTATCTCATTATTGTTTCAATGTGCATCTCCTTAATTGTGTGTGAGATCGAGTGGTTTCTCCCGTGTCTATAAGCCATGTGAATTGCCTCTTCATGTCCTTTGCACTAAATGGAAGCTGTGTCTCATCTCGTTCAGAACTTTCTTTTTCTTATCTGATCGTTTTATTACTCAGCTCCTCAGTTTAGCTCATTTTTGGCATACTAGCTGGGTTTTAAATTCTCCTTTCCTCTTCCTTCTTCTCCTCTACCCCTCTCTTCCTCCTCTATCCCTCTCTCCTTCTTTACAGATTTGATTTTGTAAATACCTCCCAGAATCCTAACACTCCTGCTTAGTTCCTTGCAACAGTGTTTGGGGAATCATACATACCAATGACAGGAATACATCTCGTATCGGTTACAAAATATAAAATGACCATCTTCCTTTTGTTCAGTGCCATTTACTTCTGCAAACATCCCTCCATTCTTTCTAGCTCTTCCACAAACCCTCTGCATTCTCCTATGGGCTTAGATTTTTAGGGCAAAAGCCAAGACATCTTGGAGATTATTGTGCTTTTCAGACCTGCCACAAACCCCCTCAGAGACTAGGACTTTCAAAGTTGACTTTCTGCTTGCTTGGCTGGGGGAAAGACAGTGGGGAGAGGAAAAGTGTATAAAAATCCATAAATTAAAGTCAAAATGTTATTCAATTACATTTGGGTAAACCCAGAAACAATTCTGGAAGCACTTGAAGGCAATATTTATCAGTGATTAGCCCGGGGGGATTTTATGTCTTACTTTGTATAATTTTCTATAAATTAGGATTATGCATGAGTTTTACTTTATTTTCCCCCCTTGGGCATCTCTCATATATATATATATACACGTATATATATATATATACACGTATATATATATACACTTGTATATATATACACATATATATACACGTATATATATATACACACGTATATATATACATATATATACGTGTGTATATATATATACGTGTGTATATATATATATATAATTTTTTTTAAGTGAGGTCTTGCTCTGTTGCCCAGGCTGGAGTGCAGTGGTGCAATCTTGGCTCACTGCAACCTCCGCCCCCCAGGTTCAAACGATTCTCCTGTCTCAGCCTTCTGAGTAGCTGAGATTACAGGCATGTGCCACCACGTCTGGCTAATTTTTGTATTTTTAGTAGAGACGGGTTTCCCCATGTTGGCCAGCTGGTCTGGAGCTCCTAACCTCAGGTGATCTGCCTGCCTCGGCCTCCCAAAGTGCTGGGATTACAGGCATGAGCCACTGCACCTGGAAATATTTTTCTTTTTAAAAATTTTTTTCTGGCCGGGCACAGTAGCTCATGCCTGTAATCCCAGCTACTCAGGAGGCTGAGGCAGGAGAATCACTTGAACCTGGGAGAAAAAAAAGGAAAGGAAATTTTAAAAAAATGTTTTTTAAAAATTCCTTTCTTTTTTTTTTTTTTGAAACAGGGTCTCACTCTGTAACCCAGGCTGGAGTGCAGTGGCACAATCTTGACTTGCTGCATCCTCAACCTCCCGGGCTCAAGCAATTTTCCCACTTCAACCTCCTAAGTAGCTGGGGTGACAGGCTTGCACCACCATGTCTGGCCAATTTTATAATTTTTGGTAGAGATGAGGTCTCACTATATTGCCTAGGCTGGTTTTGAACTCCTGGACTTAAATGATCCTCCCGTCTCTGCCTCCCAAAGTGCTGGAATTACAGGCATGAACCACCACTCCCGGCTCTCCTAATATTTTTTATTTGAATATTTTCTAGAAAAATAACATCGTAAAATTCAGAGTAACAAAATGTATACAATGAACACCTAATTTCTCTCTTACTTTCACCCAAGAAACAATTACAATTAATGTTCTCTTATGTAAATTCCTTGTGATATGATCTTTGTAGTGTCTCTATGTGTGTGTCTCTATCTCAATCTCTAACTCTGGATATCATCCTCCATTCTTTTTACACAAGTGGGTATGTCACCTACAGACTTTTATGTCCCCAGTGCTACAACTTGTAAATTGCTTAATGTCAGAGCCCATAAAAATCTACCTCATTTAAAAAAATGGCTGTGTAGCATTCTTCTGTGGAAGTTCTGTAATATAACAAACACTCTCCCATTGAGTGGGAAACATTGTTTCTCATCTTTTGCTACTATTAATAATGTCAAAAGAAATAACTTTGAGCAAATATCTTTACTCAGATTCCAGCTTATGTCTAGGATAAATTCTCAAAACTAGAGTTCCTGGGTCAAAGGATTTTTTTTTCTTCCTCATTTCTAATTTTTGATAGCTATTTCAGAATCTCCTTCCAAAGAAGTTGTACCAGTTTATGCTCACACCAACAATGTGTGAAGCTGGATTTTTTTTTTTTTTTAAGACAGGGTCTCACTCTGTCACCCAGGCTGGAGTGCAGTGGTTCGATCTCGGCTTCCAGGCTCAAGCTATTCTCCTGCCTCATCCTCCTGAGTAGCTGGGATTACAGGCATGTGTCACCACACCTGGCTAATTTTTGTATTTTTTGTTTTAGTAGAGACAGGGTTTAGTTATGTTGGCCAGGCTGGTCTCAAACTCCTGGCCTCAAGTGATCTGCCTGCTTTGGCCTCCCAAAGTTCTGGGATTACAGACATGAGCCACCACACCTGGCCAGAAGCTGAAGCTGGTTTTTTTTTTTTTTTTTTTTTTGAGATGGAGTTTCACTCTTGTCGCCCAGGCTGTGAACTCAGCTCACCGCAACCTCCGCCTCCCGGGTTCAAGTGATTCTAGTGCCTCAGCCTCCCTAGTAGCTGGGACTACAGATGTGAGCCACCACATCCAACTAATTTTTGTATTTTTAGTAGGGACGGGGTTTTACCATGTTGGCCAGGCTTGTCTCGAACTCCTGACCTCAGGTGATCTGCCCGCCTCAGCCTCCCAAAGTGAAGACATTTATTTATATAAATGAAGAAAGTATACAGATAAATTACACAAACACAAATTAGAGAAACTTTGATCTCTCTCTTCTACTTACTAAATTAGCAACAACAGGTAATACCCCTGCCCAAGTGGTGATGCTATAAAATGTTACAGCTCTTTGGGAATACAATAAGGCAAACATAAGCCATACAATTGTTCATATTATTCTATTTAATAATCCCACTCCCATGAATTTATCCTAATAAAATTAAAAACTACTTAAGTATTCAGTAATACTGATGCCCTCTGTTGATGAATCCATTTTCGCCCCCACTTATTTGAAATACCACTTTTATCTTATTTAGGGGTTCAATGACATGGATACTCACAGAAAGTCTTGGGTAACTGAACTCTGAGATCCTGTTCATTTTTATTGCTGACATTTTTGTCTTTCAGATGGTAAAGGAAGTATCTAGAGGAACTGTTGCCTTGGGCCAAATTCTGGCCAACCAGGTGGAACAAGCTGGTGAGGGGAAGTGACAAGGACCTTAGTAGAAAGTGACTGTGTGGGTCTAGACACCCTGTCTGCCTCCTACCACTTTGGTTAACCCTCCAGCTCTTTCCAGCTTAGCTGGGAACATCCCTTGTGGTCAGTATCCTTGACAGCCTAGCACTGTCTCTAATAACAGAAAGTTTGACCAATGAGTTCCCCAAATGTGCCCTCCTTTCTCTTGTCTCCACGTTTTTGCCTCTGCCCTTCCCTTTGCCTGCAATATTTTCCCTCACTTTTAGCCTAGCTAACTCTTCAGCCTTCACATCTGTTTAAAGGTTACCTGCAATGTGAAGGAGATAACATGCTAAGCTAGACACTCCATAATACCTTCTATTTTCTTCTTCTTCTTTTTTTTTTTTTCTTGAGACAGTCTCACTCTGTCACCCAGGCTGTAGTGCAGTGGTATGATCTTGGCTCACTGCAACTTCTGCCTCCTAGGTTCAAGTGATTCTCCTGCCTCAGCCTCCCAAGTAGCTGAGACTATAGGCACCCACCACCACGCCTGGCTAATTTTTGTATTTTTAGTAGAGACAAAATCTCCTGTTGCCCAGGCTGGTCTCGAACTCCTGACCTCAGGTGATCCACTTGCCTCAGCCTCCCAAAGTGCTGAGATTACAGGTGTGAGCCACAGCGCCTGGCCTGCTTCTATTTTCTTAATGGTCTCTATCCAAGATGGATGGGGTGCAGGCAAGAAAGCCACTCAAATTCCAGGGGCCTGATGATCTGGAAAGTGGGCTGAGGTAAATCCCAAGTAAATACTTTCCATTTCCTGTTTGCCTCAGGACTAGAACCAGCTACATAAAAGCCCAATACAAAATGAAACCGTGCTGGGCACAGTGGCTCATGCTTGTAATCCCAGCATTTTGGGAGGCCCAGGCGGGAAGATCACCTGAGGCAAGGAGTTCGAGACCAGCCTGGGTAGCACAGTGAAACCTCCATCTGTACAAAAAATTAAAAAAATCAGCTGGACATTGTGGCATGCACCTGTAGTTCCAGCTACTCATGGGGCTGAGGTGGGAGGATTGCTTAAGCTTGTGAGGTTGAGGCTGCTGTGAGCCAAGATTGCACCACTGCACTCCATCCTGGGCAACAGAGCGAGACCCTTTAAAAAAAAAAGAAAGAAAATGAAAAGAAAGAAAGAAAAAGCCACGCTTCTTTGAGGTGTCATGGAAGTCTAGCTGAAGATTTGTGGAAGTAGGAAATATTTAGTGAACAAAGTCTCCAATGAGATAAGCATGAGTTCCAGAGCCAGAGGCAAGGATAGCACGGAACAGGATTTGGAGTTGGAGGGATACTTCTTTAGACCCTTCTGTGTGACTATCAGGACTGGATGAAGATATTTAGAATCACAAAGAGCTATCTTCATATATGATAAAAACGCCAACAGTGGGGAGAGCATTAGGGAAAAGAGCTAATGCATGCTGGGCTTAATACCTAGGTGATGAGTTGACAGGTGCAGCAAACCACCATGACACACCTTTACCTATGTAACAAAACTGCATGTCCTGCACCTGCACCGTGGAACTTAAAAAGAAAAAAAAACCAGCCAGGTGCGGTGGCTCACACCTGTAATCCCAGCACTTTGGGGGGCCGAGGCCGGTGGATCACCTGAGGTCAGGAGTTCAAGACCAGCCTGACCAACATTGCGAAACTTCGTCTCTACTAAAAATACAAAAATTTGCCGGGCATGGTGGTGGGCACCTGTAATCCCAGCTACTCGGGAGGCTGAGGCAGGAGAATCGCTTGAACCTGGGAGGCGGAGGTTGCAGTGAGCTGAGATCGCGCCATCGTACTCCAGCCTGGGTGACAGAGTGACCCTGTCTCAAAAAAAAGAAAAGAAAAAAAAAAGAAAAGAAACATCAACCGTAAGTCATAAAGGATGGATAGCACACAAAAGACATGCTTCTCACCCCCTCTTAGGTCTGCTTTTTTACTCTAGCCAACACTGTGGTGCCTGGGTGTGCACAGCCATAAACGGGGAGCATCTCCCTTTGGTTGCATTGTGTATCTTTCATTCTCTGTCTCCGGGCTTTTCTGCTTTCTCCAGATGGTAGGACTGTAGGAATCTGCATGAATGAACCACACTGACTCATTCACACACCTGGAAAGGCAAGGGAGCTAACAGCCCATGCAGCAACCCTTGACAGATGAAGGAGGCCTCCATGGATAAATTGCTCTTCTCTGGAGCCTCCTGTTTGGAGAGGATTCACCATCATTCCTCTAAGGACCTCAGCAGGACTGAGCCGCAGCTGCCCATGGTGGCAACCAGCTCAATAACGTATCCGTGGATCCGTGATCACTCCTTGGTTTCATGCTTCTCCAGCCTCTGCTTTCCTGGAATCACTTTCCAGATTAAACTGGCTGCCTGCAAGCCCTTATCTCAAGCTCTGCTCTTTGGAAGAACCTAGGCTAAGACAACAGGTGTGAGAAATTCTACCAACGTTTTAGTTTTTCCATGACCGTTTTTTATTTTTTATTTTCAAGACAGGGTCTCACTCTGTGGCCCAGGCTGGAGTGTAGTGGTGCAATCATGGCTCACTGCAGCCTAGACCTCCTTGGGTTCAAGCGATCCTCCCACCTCAGCTTCCCGAGTAGTTGGGACTGCAGGTGCACACTACAACTGACTAATTTTTTTAGTGTTTTTCTTTTTTCTGTTTTTTGTTTGTTTGTTTGTTTGTTTTTTGTTTTTGAGACAGGGTTTCACTATGTTGCCCAGGCTGGACTCAAACTGAAGAGATCCTCTTGTTTTGGCCTCCGAAAGTGCTGGCATTACAGGCATGAGCCACTGCGCCCAGCCTCCTTGACTATCTCAACGTTCCGGAGTCACTGCTGTTGCTGCTACTGCTGCTGCCTGAACTGGTTCAAGAGGGCAGGAAAAAAGATAGGCTCAGGAAAGTTTCCAAACAGGGTGGGGAGAATTCAGGATGAGGCTGAGGCCATTGGGGCCTAGTAAGAGACTTGCAGAAAGGATGGAAAGAACTGGGTGGACAGGATCAGCCATGCATGTGGCAGAGTTAGGACACATTATTAGGAGTATAGCATTGAAAACAAAGGAGGCAAAAGTTCTCCATTCTTCATGGATCTGATCATAGGCTGGAACACTGTGCGTCGGTTCTGGACACTATACTTTAATAAAGACAACGAAAAACTGAAGCAAATTAACTCAAAAGTCAACAAAGGTTTTTCAGGACTTGTTACCATGTTATACAAAGAAATAAGGAGATTTACTTGCAGAACTGCTAGGAGAAAGGGAGGGATAGGGGAGCTATTTTTCAACGTGTGAAGGGTTGTCATGTGGAAGAGGGAATAGGTTTATTCTGCAGGTGAGAAATAATCAGTGGAAGTTAGAAGGAGCTGGATTTATCTCAGCTTAAGGAGAAACTCTGAAACCTGGGGGCCGCCTTCTAACTCCCAAAGGGTCCAAATGCCTGGGGCTACTATGCATGGTATGGTATACAACCCAAGAAGAACCAAAGGCAATGGAATCAAAGTTTCTTAGCTTGTCTCTTTCCTGTCGCCTCCATTCATTCCATCAAATTACTGAGCATCTCAAATTTGCATGAAGGTCTTCCTTACAAAGAATTAAAAACCTTTGGGTAACTTTCATCTTTTGTCCCTAGGCTCTTCTCTCAAAAGGAAATACAAGTCTCCAGTGTTGCTTCGTTTTGCCAGAGTCCTTCTTGAAATGTGGTTCATGGAACTGAGTGTGTCTGTGATAGCCACGTCCACACACCTTGGCAGCAAGAGTCATTTGTATTAGTTCATCACCTAGGATACTTTTTTGTAAACAACAGAAACAGACCCTGGCTAATCCTATGGGAAAAAAAATAAATTTATTAGATTGCAAAATAGGTACAGGTAAAACTAAAGGTTAATAGTTGATGCTGGAACATGGAAGGTTCTAAGGGTCTGGGTATCAGGAACAAAGGAACCTATATTGTGCATATCTCCCTCTCTCCCTCTGTATCTGTCTGTCTTGTCTATCTGTCTATGAACCCTGTGCTCACAACCACAATGTTGTAGAAAGAATCTTTCTTTTCTTCTTTCTTTCTTTTTCTTTCTTTCTTTTTCTTTCTTTCTCTCTCTCTCTTTCTTTCTTTCTTTCTCTTTCTTTCTTTCTCTCTCTCTCTCTCTTTCCTTCTTTCTTTCTTCTTTCTTTTTTTTACTTTTTGACACAGTCTCACTCCACTGCCCAGGCTGGAGTGCAATGGCACGATCTTGGCTCACTGCAACCTCTGCCTCCCGGGTTCAAGCGATTCTCCTGCCTCAGCCTCCCAAGTAGATGGGATTACACGCACCTGCCACCACACTGGCTAATTTTTGTATTTTTAGTAGAGACAGCGTTTTGCCAAGTTGGCCAGGCTGGTCTCAAACTCCTGACCTCAGGTGATCCTCCCGCATCGGCCTCCCAAAGTCCTGGGATTACAGGCATGAGCCACTGTGCTCGGCTGTAGAATCTTTTTCACAGGAAGTCAACTTTACAACCTTACCTTAGTTGAAACCTAGCTCCCCATGGAGTTTATTTCTTCTCTCCCTTTCCATTACCATCCTGAGAAATTTTAGTGTTCTTGCAGATGACTTTCCCAGCATGCTGGGTGGTTGTTCTGCAATCTTCTCAACGAGTGACCTTCTCCTCTGTTTCCTCATGGCCACACCCTGGACTTGGACATCAGCTAGAGCTGCTCTACTTGAAAAATGTCAGAAATGGATACTTCTATCTGGTCATAGCTTCCTATCTCTTCACCTCTTCTACACCTTCATTCCCAGTTAACCTATTTTTCAACCTCATCAAAGCCACTGGTTCCAGCCAGGCTTAGTGGCTCATGCCTGTAATCCCAGCACTTTGGGAAGCCAAGAAGGGCAGATCACTTGAGGTCAGGAGTTTGAGACCAGCCTTGCCAACATGGCGAAACCTTGTCTCTACTAAAAATACAAAAATTAGCTGGGCGCAGTGGCTCACATCCATAATCCCAGATCTTTGGGAGGCCAAGACGGGCAGATCACTTGAGGTCAGGAGTTTGAGACCAGTCTGGCCAACATGGTAAAACCCTGTCTCTACTAAAAATATAAAAATTAGCCTTGTATGGTGGCAGGCACCTGTAATCCCAGCTACTTGGGAGTCTGAGATAGGAGAATTGCTTAAACCTGGGAGGTGAGGGTTGCAGTGAGCTGAGATCGCCCCACTGCACTCCAACCTGGGCAAGAGTGAGACTCTGTGTCAAAAAAAAAAAAAAAAAAATAGCCACTGGTTCCTCAACTCCTCTTGGCTTCACCTTCTTCCCCAGCTGGGAGTCTGTGGTTAGTGAAATGAACATCCCTGTGACCAATAATTCCAGTTCCTCCACACCTTTGCCTTTCTAACCATTCATTTTCTCAGTTCCTATTTCCAGGCTTTTTGGCATGACTGGAGAAAAATCACAGTATCAAACTCTTTGGCTTCATGAAAAATTCTTAGTTTATATCCTTAGCTTGATCTTTACACTATCAACAATCCTTTTATGAATTCTTAGATGTTCTCCTTCTCATACAAGCCTTTACCACATTCCTGAAGGTCTCTACTCCATTGTATTATTTGATTCCCGAGATGACTTTACTTACAGAGCAAATATAAGCCAACAATTTAAAACAACCTCAACTTTCCTTTCCTCCATTTTGAAATCAGTCTGTATTTTCCTAGACCTTACCATAATCATGGCATTTTCAGTAGGACAAGGATACTGTCTAATTTTCTTTTCTTTTTTTCCTTTTCTTTCTTTTCTTTTCTCTCTTCTCTTCTCTTCTTTTCGTTTTTTTTTTTTTTTTTTTGAGACAGAGTCTCACTCTATCACCCAGCCTGGAGTGCAGTGGTGGCATCTTGGCTCACTGCAATCTCTGCCCCCTGGGCTCAAGCGATTCTCTCGCCTCAGCCTCCAGAGTAGTTGGGATTATAGGCATGCGCCACCACGCCCAGATAATTTTCATATTTTTAGTAGAGACGGGGTTTCACCACGTTGGCCAAGATGGTCTTGAACTCCTGACCTCAAGTGATTCATCCTCCTCTGCCTCCCAAAGTGCTGGCATTACAGGCGTGAGCCACTGCACCCGGCCGGATGCTGTCTGATTTTCAAGGATGTGTTCACCTCTTTCTTCACCATGTCTCCTATCTTCTCCCCAGGAACCTTGCTTCAGCAATTAATTCTCTATCCACGTACTGTTTCTTCTTTTCCTGCTATGCCTGGTTTCTCCCTCATCTTATATCTATTTCATGTCTCCATCATCTAAAAATTTAAAATCCAGCAATTCCAGCCCCTTTACTTAATCCTATGTTCGCCTCAAATCATGATCATATTGCTCCCCGCATAATCATCCAAACCTCTGGAAAAAATGCATATAGTATACATTTTAAAAATGTATCTCCTTTGAGATAATTGTAGATTCACATGCCATTGTAAAAAATATTACAGAACACATACATAATGCAGTACTATGGAGCCATAAAAAAGAATGAGATCCTGCCATTTGTGACAACGTGGATGGAACTGGAAGTCATTATGTTTATGAAATAAGCCAGGCACAGAAAGACAAACTTCATGTGTTCTAATTTAACTTGTTTGTGGGAACTAAAAGTTAAAACATTTGAACTCGTGGAGATCAAGAGTAGAAGGATGGGTACCAGAGGCTGGGAAGAGTAGTGGGGGTGGGGGGATGGGTACCAGAGGCTGGGAAGGGTAGTGGGGGTGGGGGGATGGGTACCAGAGGCTGGGAAGGGTAGTGGGGGCGCGGGGAGAAAGTGGGAATGATTAATGGGTACAAAAAATAGAATGAATAATATCTAGTATTTGATAGCACAACAGGGCATCTATAGTCCATGGTAATCTAACTGTACAATTTAAAATAATTAAAATAGTATAATTGGATTGTTTGTAACACAAAGGATAAATGCTTGAGGGGATGGATACCCCAGTTACCCTGATGTAATTACTATACATTGTATACCTGTATCAAAATACCCCATAAATACATACATCTACTATGTACCCACAAAAATTAGAAATTAAAAATAAAAAAAAAATAATATAGAGAGATCCCATATACCCTCCACCCAGTTTTCTCCAACAGAAACACCCTGTGTCACAGTAGGGCGATACTCCAACCAGGGAATTCACATTGATATAATCAATTGATCTTAGTCCGATCTCACCAGCGTTTCAGCCATTCATTTGGTGTGCGTGTGTGTGTGTGTATTTAGTTTCTTGAGATTTTATCACATGTGTAGACTCCTGTGACCACCAGCAGTGAAGACAAGAACAATTCCATCACTGCAGAGATCCTCGTGCTATTTATTCTTTTATAGCCACACGGCCATCTCCCTTCCTCTATCTCCTTGTCCCTGGCAACCCCTCATACATTTTCCATTTCTATAGTTTTGTCATTTTAAGAAAGTTATATAAATGCAGCCATGCAGCATGAAACCTTTGGGATTGGTGTTTTCCACTCAGAATAATTCTCTTATGATCTATCCAAGTTGCTGTGCATATCAATAGTTTGTTACCTTTTATTTCTGAGTGTATTTCTATTCTATGGTATGGGTATACTGTAGTTTGTTGAACGATTCATCCTTAGAAAGACATTTGGGTTGTTTCCAAATGTCTTTCCAGTTTTTTTTTTCAATTACAAATAAAGTGGCTATGAAAATTTCTGTATGGATTTTTGTGTGAACATAAATTTTCATTTGTCTAGGATATACCTCCAACAGTGCAGTTGCTGGGCAATTGCATGTATTTAGTTTGATTGATTGATTGATTATGGCAAAAAACATATACCATAAATTTACCCTCCCAACGACTTTTAAGTGTAGAGTTCAGGAGTGTTAAATATACTCACATTGTTGTGAAACAAATGTCCAGAATGTTTTCATCTTGCAAATCTGAAACTCTTTACCCATTAAACAACCACGCCTCTTTTCTTCCTTCCCTCAGCCCCTGAAAATCACTATTCTATTTTCTGTCTCTATGAATTTGACTCCTCAGGGTTTCTCATGCCAGTGGAATCATACAGTATTTTTCTTTTTTGTGACTGGCTTATTTCATCTAGCACAGTATCCTCAAGATTCATCTATGTTTAACATGGGTCAGAATTTCCTTCCTTTTTAAGTCTGGATAATATTCCGTTGTATGTATATACCATATTTTGCTTATCCATTTCGCCAGTAATGGGCATTTGGGTTCCTTCTACATGCTGGCTGTTGTGAATAATGCTACTATGAACACGGTGTACAAATATCGCTTTGAGATCCAGATCCAATTATTTTGGATAATTGAAGTGGTTTTGCTGGATCGCGTGGTAGTTCTGTTTTTAACTTTTTGAGGAACCTCCACATTATTTTCCATGCTATGTTGGAATAATTTTACAATGGTACAACAAAAATGTTGCATCATTTTACAATTCCACCAACAGTGCTGAAGGGTTCCAATTTCTCCACATCCTCACCAACATTTGTTATTTTCCCTCTTCCTCTTCCTCACCAACATTTGTTATTTTCCCTCTTCCTCTTCCTCTCCTGCTCCTCCTTCTTGTAGCCAGCCTAATGGGTATAAAGTGATATCTCACTGTGGTTTTGATTTGCATTTGTTTGATGATTAGTGATGTTGACTACCTTTTCATATGCTCATTGTGTTTTGAATATCATCTTTGGAGAAATAGCTATTCAAGAGCTTTGCCTTGAATATTTTAAAATTGGGTTATTTGATTTTTTATTCTTGAATTGTAGGTGTTCTTTATGTATTCTGGATATCTACCCCTTGTCAGATAGATGATTAGCAAATATTTTCTCCAATTCTGTAGGTTGCCTTTCCAATCTATCGATTATGTCCTTTGATACACAAAAGTTTTTAACTTTGATGTAGTTCCAACCACATTTAGTTTGTAAGAAATTGCCATGCTGTTTTCGAGAGTGGCTGTGCCATTCTACAGTCCCACCGGCAATGGATGTATGATCCTGCTTTTCCAATTTCTTACCAGAATTTGGTGTTATCACTTTTTTTAAAATTTTAGTCATCCTCATAGGTGTGTGGTGCTTTCTCACTATGGCTTTAATTTGTATTACTCTAATGGTTAATCATGTTGAACATATTTTTTTTTTAGATAGGGTCTTTCTCTGTTGCCCAGGCTGGATCACAGTTGCGTTATCATGGCTCACTGCAGCCTCCACCTCCTGGGCTCAAGCAATTCTCCCACCTCAGCCCCACTAGTTCCTGGGACTACAGGGATGTACCATCATGCCTGGCTAATTTCTTTATTGATTTTTAGTAGAGAAGAGGTCTCACTATGTTGCTCAGGCTCGTCTTTAACTTCTGGGCTCAAGCAATCCTCTTGCCCTAGCTTCCCAAAGTGCTGGGATTACAGGCATGAGCCACCATGCCAGGCTGAACATATTTTCATGTTTTTATTTGTCATTTATATATCCTCTCTCATGAAATGTCTGCTGATGTTTTTTTTTTTTCTCACTTTCCAATTGGGTTGTTAGTTTTAATACTGCTGAGTTGTGAGGGTTCTTTATGCGTGGTAGATACTAGTCTTCTGTGAGTTACGTGGTTTGTGAATACTTTCTCCTAGTATGTAGTTTGTTTTTGCATCTCTTAACAAGGTCTTTCAAAGAAAAAATTTTTAAAAATTTCATGAGGTCCAATTTATCAATTTTTCCTTGCTTTTGGTGTCAAGTCTAAGGAATCTATTATATATTTTTTAACCCTTTACTTAGCATTTCCTTTTTGAGACAAACATTGCTCCGCTTATTTCATAAAAATCCTGTTCAATCCCTGTGGCTTGAAGGCTAACAAGGGCACAGCAAATCAGAATACTCCATCTCCCAGGCTGGAGTGATAGGGTCAGGCGTAGTCATGTCTCCCAAGCTGGACCATGCAGAATTGTCCTCCCTGAGACTTTTGCTACAGTCACTGGGGAGGCTGTGCTCCACTTCTCCATGTGGAGAGAGACTTTTTTTTCTTTTTTTTGAGACAGAGTATCATTTTGTCGTCCAGGCTGGAGTGCAGTGATGTGATCTTGGCTCACTGCAACCTCTGTCTCCCAGGCTCAAATGTTTCTCCTGCCTCAGTCTCCCAAGTAGTTTCTGAGATTATAGGTACATGCCACCATGCCTGGCTAATTTTTGTATTTTTATTAGAGACGGGGTTTCACCAGGTTAGCCAGGCTGGTCTTGAACTCCAGACCTCAAGTGATCCACCCACCTCGGCCTCCCAAAGTGCTGGGATTACAGGTGTGAGCCACCATGCCCAGGATCTATGTGGAGGGAGACTTTCTGAGAAGAAGGCAAGTAGAACCAAGAAATGGAGAGAAAGACAGTGTTTCCATTATGTACAGTGGGTTCTCCATATCCAAGGATTCTGCATCCTTGGATTCAACCAATTGCAGCCCAAAAATATTAAAAAACAGGGCTGAGAATGGTGGCTCACACTTGTAATCTCAGCATGTTGGGAAGCTGAGGTGGAAGGATCATGAGACTAGGAGCTCGAGGCCAGCCTGGGCAACATAGAGAGACCTCATCTCTACAAAAGAAAAACAAAAAATTTAGCCGGGCATGGTAGTGTGTGCTTGTAGTCTCAGCTACTCAGGAGACTGATGTGAGAGGATCACTTAAGCCTAGGAGTTTGAGCGGTGAGCTATGATTGCACCTCTGCACTCCAGCCTGGGTGATGGAGTGAGACCCTGTCTCAAAAAACAAACAAACAAAAAACCAATACAGTATAACAGTTATTTACATAGCTGTTACATTATATTAGATATATAAGTAATCTAGAGAGGCTTCAAAGTATATAAAATTATATTCATTGGTTATATGCAAATCTTACATCATTTTATATAACAGTTTTGAGCATCGTCAGATTCTGGTATCTGAGAGGGTCCCGGAACAAATTCCCCACAGATAATATGGAGTGACTCTAGTTTGAACCTCTGAATCCAAGTACGTCTGATGCTAGATACTCTTTGAGTTTCAGTTATAAGAGCTGTTAAATCTACACCCTCAAACTAAGCGGTTTAAGGTGGGATTATGAGGCACATAATCGAAAGAGTCCAAGATAATGTGACATCTTATATTTATTATTCATCCTTTCTTTTCTGTAGTTTACTCTTCGATTCCTCATAGTCTGCTTTTCATGTCACAGCACTGAAACTGTCCTTGCTATGTTGACTGGTGACAAGAATTTTATGGTCTCTTTTGAGCCCTTTTTATACTTACCCTATTTGTTATATTTGGCATTAAATAAAATCTTTTTTCTAATATCTCTCTCTCTCTCTCTCTCTCTCTTTCTCTCTCTCTCTTCTGTTTCTTGGGATTGTAACGTGGGGTATTTTCTACTACACAGCAGAGGCCATGATGGGCATCATCACTTAAATTATATCATCTACCCCTCCATCTGTTTCACATGTGTTATGCCATCTTTCTATGTATGTGTGTATTTGGAATTTTGGACCTCAAAACTGGACTTTCCTTCTCATCTTCTGGACTCTATGTAATTTAAGGATGTATAAATTTGCATCTGATTTTTGGGTAACCATCCCTCAAATTTGGCTCATATTATGCAGGCAGTCAGCCTGGACTCCTTCACAGAAACTTAAAAAATATCCAGCCAGGCTGAGCGCGGTAGCTCATGCCTATAATCCCAGCACTTTGGGAGGCTGAGGCAGGTGGATTACTTGAGCTCAGGAGTTCGAGACCAACCTGGGCAACACGGTGAAACCCCTTCTCTACAAAAAACACAAGAATTAGCAGGGCATGGTGGTGTGCACCCGAAGTCCCAGCTACTCAAGAGGCTGAGGTGGGAGGATGGCTTAAGCCCAGGAAGTGGAGGTTGCAGTGAGCCAAGATCATGCCACTGCACTCCAGCCTGGGTGACAGCAAGACTGTCTACAACAACAACAACAACAAATATTCAGCCAATTTGGGATGTCTGGCAGTGGGTGAACCACCTCTTATCGTCTGGGAACTGACCTCCCCTTGTAACACCTCAACTGATATACAAAAATAATATACATCGGTTAATATCAGTTCAACTGTCTTAAACAGAAAGGAAAATTAATCAGCTCACATAACAAAAACTTCCAAGGTAGCACCTCTTCAGGGTTAGTAAATTCAGTGGTTCAATGTCATCATAGAGAATCCTTCCCATCTTCTGCCATCCTCAGGCTAGTACCCCTCATAGTCCCAAGATAGCAGAGTTCTAGGGGTCGCCAAGATAGACTGCAAAAATTGCTGCACTACATTTTATCCCCTCCCATAAAGAAATATGGTCTATTTCTCCACCCAACCAGGCTTAGCCACGTGGCTTGCTTTGGTCAATGGGACAACAGCAAATGTGATGCTTGAAGATATTTGAAAAGTGCTTGGGCAGGGCGCGGTGGCTCACACCTTTAATCCCAGCACTTTGGGAGGCTGAGGCGGGTGGATCACTTGAGGTCAGTAGATTGAGACCAGCTTGGCCAACATGGTGAAACCCCTTCTCTACTAAAAATACAAAAATTAGCTGGGCATGATGGCACATGCCTTTAATCCCAGCTACTTGGGAGGCTGAGGCAGGAGAATCACTTGAACCTGGGAGTGGAGGTTGCAGTGAGCCGAGATTGTTGCAGTGAGCCGAGATTGTACCACTGCACTCCAGCCTGAAGGACAGAGTGAGACTTTGTCTAAAAAAAAAAAAAAAAAAAGGCCTGACGCGGGGGCTCACACCTGTAATCTTTGAGAGGCCGAGGCAGGCAGGCAGATCAGGCTGGCCAACATGGTGAAACCTTGTTCTACTAAAAACACAAAAAATTAGCCAGGCGTGGTGGTGGGCACCTGTCTTCCCAGCTACTCGGGAGGCTGAGGCAGGAGAATCACTTGAACCCAGGAGGCGGAGGTTGCAGTGAGCTGAGAATTGCACTCCAGCCTGGGCAACAAGAGAGAAATTCTGTCTCAAAAAAAAAATAAATAAATAAAAAGAAAAGAAAAGTGCTTCCCCGGACCCCTGCCCAACCCTCTTACTGTACTTTGAGAGCCTGACATATCATGTTAGGAAGCCTGGACTAGGTTCCTGATGTAGTCAAGATGAGCCATCCTCAGCTGTCCCTTGTAGATCAAACAGCTTGTGAACTGCTAGACATGTGAATGAAGGCATCCTAGACCATGCAGTCCTAGCTGAGCTAGCTCAGATCAGAACCAGCTGGCTAACCTACAAAATCATGAGAAATAATAGGTGATTCTGTATTGTCGCTGAATTTGTATGTGTGTGTTTTTTCTTTTCGAGACAGGGTGTTGCTCTGTCACCCAGGCTGGAGTGCAGTGGCACAATCATAGCTTACTGCAGCCTTGACCTCTTGTGCTCAAGCAACCCTCCTGCCCCAGCCTCCCAATTAACTGGACTACAGGCATCCGCCGCTGTGCCTGGCTAATTTTTATTTTTATTTTTGTAGAGACAGAGTCTCGCTATGTGGCTCAGGCTGGTTTTGAACTCCTGGCCTTAAATGATCCTCCCACTCTTCCTCCCAAAGTGCTGAGATTACAGGTGTGAGCTACTGCAACTGGCCTAGGGTTTTTTTTTTGTTGTTGTTGTTGTTTTGAGACGGAGTCTCACTCTATCACCCAGGTTGCAGTGCAGTGGCACGGTCTCGGCTCACTGCAACCTCCGCGATTCTCCTGGGTTCAGGCGATTCTCTTGCCTCAGCTTCCTGAGTAGCTGGGATTACAGGTGAGGTGCGTGCCACCACGCCCGGCTAATTTTTGTATTTTTAGTAGAGACAGGATTTCGCCATGTTGGCCAGGCTGGTCTCGAACTTCTGACCTCAGGTGATCCGCCTGCCTTGGCTTCCCAAAGTGCTGGGATTACAGGCGTGAGACATCGCACCCCACTGTAGGGTGGTTTTTAATGTAGCGAAAGCTAATTGATAGAATCACACACAGACACAACAACATACAGTAACAGGAGAGTGGCCGTCTTGACATTGTATCTATTTTTAGCTGTGAGGAATGTTTCCTTATGTATCATTAGCTAGAACTGAATCACAGGTCTATTTCTAAACCCATTACTAGCAAAGGGCACGGAATTACCATGATTAGCTTGGAAAAGCACTGGGGCCATACAGAGAAGAGTAGACTATCCTTCACATGGGGCTTTGCAAAAACATAGGAGCCCTCTATCTTTTTGGGAGAATCACACTGGGAGAAGGGATGGTCAGTGAAGGGACCCTTGGTTTCCTATTGGCATTGCATTATCGGGGGGAAGCAATTGTATTTTCTGATTCTTATCGTTCTCCCACCTCCCACTATGGCAAATTGGACTAGGGATGCACTGTGGAAGAAAGATTAATCAATTAGAGTCTCTCTCTGGGAATTTGGAATTGAGACTATGTGAGAGCATGTGCGGGGGATGGAGATTGTGTCAGGTACACTGGGGGGATGTGGGGAGGCACACACACTCCTACACTCAGGAAGGAGGTATTTCCCAATTTGGAAAGAGAAAAGTAGATGAGAGGAGAGGAGAGAGAGATCAATCCAATTCACATTTTTTGTTTTCTAGATCTGGGGGCCTCGCTGGATTGCTGCTCTTGGCGGCATGAGACACCTCTTAATTCTTGTAGTAATTTCCCCTTCATTTGCTTGAGTTAGCCCTAAAGAGCTTCTGTCACTCACAATAAAAGTGTTTTTAATGTGCCATTCTTATGAAGAGATGCTCAACCTCATTCATAATAAGATAAATGAAAATTAAAATTCCACCAAGAGACTATTTATCACTTATCAGCTTGGCCAAAATAGAAAAGCATGACAATGTTGTGCGTACCGCTGTGGGGGAAACTGGCATTGTCATCATGAGTAGGATGAGTACAGAAGGCCATAGCCTCTGTGGAGGGCAAGCTGGGGACATCTATCAGCCTTGAAAATGCACTTACCCTTTGACCTAGCAATCCCTAGTTCTGGGAATTTATTCGACAGTTGCACTGCTGTGGGGAGGAGATGATGTATGTCCAAGGTCATTTGTTGTAGCATCATTTGCAATAGCAAAAGTTTGGAGATGACCCAAGTTTTTACTGATGAGGGACTGGTTAAACTAACAGTTATACAGAATATGATACAGCTGTAATGATTGATGAAGTTCTCTATGTTCTGATACAGAAAGAACTCCAGAAAAGTTGTGAGTTTTTTGTTTTTCTTTTGTTTATTTTATTTGATTTGTAGAGACAGGGTCTCACTCTGTTGCCCAGGTTGGAGTGCAGTGGTGCAATCATAACTCACTGCAGCCTCAAACTCCCGGGCTCAAGTGATTCTCCCACCTCAGCCTCCTGAATAGCCAGGACTATAGGCGTATGCCACCACACCCAGCTAATTTTAACTTTTTTTTTTTTTTTAATAGTGACAGGGTCTCACTATGTTGCTAAGGCTGGTCTTGAACTCCTGAGCTTAAGCAATCCTCCCACCTCAGCCTCCCGAAGTGTTGGGATTACAGGTGTGAGCCACTGCACCCAACCCAGAAAGATTGTTACGTGAAAAAATAAAGTGCAGAATATTTTACATAGTGAGATACTTTTTTTTCTGTAAGAAAAGAGGAAAGGAAGAATATATCAGAATATATGCAGCATTGATTTTTAAAAATATTTAAATAAGTAAATTTAATAAAGGAAGTATGGAAAGAAGAATAAGAAACGATAAACTAATAAATATGATTACCTCTAGGGGGTGAAGAGAAAGGCTAGGACGGGAGATGCTCCTCTCCATGAAAACCTTTTTATATTATTTTAGCTCTTAAAAAATGAACACATTAACTGTTCTAAAAATGAATGCAAGTAAAACGTCATATTTTAAAGTGAATTCAAATATTAAGTAATTCTATTCTATCCAATTGTCTAAAGAATTGAGGGCAGGCCAGGCATGGTGGCTCATGTCTGCAGTCCTGGCACTTTGGGAGCCCAAGGTGGGAGAATGGCTTGAGCCCAAGAGTTTGTGACCAGCTTGGGCAACAAAATGAGAACCTGTCTCTACAAAAAATAGAAAAAATGGGCTGGGTGCAGTGGCTCAAGCCTGTAATCCCAGCACTTTGTGAGGCTGAGGTGGACGGATCATGAGGTCAGGAGATGGAGACCATCCTGGCTAACACGGTGAAACCCTATCTCTACTAAAAATATGAAAAATTAGCCGAACTTGGTGGCATGCGCCTGTAGTCCCAGCTACTCGGGTGGCTGAGGCAGGAGAATCGCTTGAACCTGGGAGGCAGAGGTTGCAGTGAGCTGCACTCCAGCCTGGGCAACAGAGTGAGATTTGGTCTCAAAAAAAAAAAAAAAAACAAAAACAAAAAAACAAAAAAGAAAAGAAAAAATGAGCCAGGGTGTAGTGGTGTGTGCCTGTAGTCCCATCTATTCAGCAGGCTGAGGTGCGAAGATCACTTGACCCCAGGAGGTCGAAGCTGCAGTGACTCATAATCACACTTTAGCCTGGGTGACAGAGTGAGACCCTATCTAAAAGAAAAGAAAAGAAAAGAAAAGAAAAGAAAAGAAAAGAAAAGAAAAGAAAAGAAAAGAAAAGAAAAGACAAAAAGAATTCAGGGCCAGGGCAGTGGAAGAAAACATACTATGTTTATACCTTGACATTTGTTTAAAAAAAACACCCAAACCTGGAATGTACCAATGAAAATACAAAAGCAGAGAAAGTGTGTGGTAAGTATCCCTTTAACTGAGTAGTTTGTGCTTTCTACATTTGGCGCTGTGGTTGCTTGTTGAAACCTCCCCTCTCCAGGTCACACTACATCCGGAAGCAGTATTATGGATGGGCATTCTGCTTGGCCAGTTGAAGATTAAGCTGACCAGCCAAGCATAGAAAAGAATTCCAGGACAGAGAGAGATGTTGTATTAAACATTTCTTTTCAACCTGAAGGGATCAGGTGGCCTCTTAGAGAAATGACAGAACCTATTTTCTCCTTCTCATCTGTTCTCGCCGTTGGCAATCTCTTGTTGTAGGAGGGAGTAAGTAAAGATTGCCTGGGGGTGGAGGGGTAATAGAGCTGGCATCTTTTCACAGATGTGGGCGGGAGGGTTCTGTTAGCCTGGGAGCCCCATCTCATTGGATACTCAGGAGCATAGATTCGGGAGTCAGAGTGGGGTGGATGGAGCACAGCTGTCCTACGCTAGTAACTGAGTGACCTTGGGCACACACTTGACTCCTCTGTGCCTCAGTTTCTTCATCTTTAAAAGGGGAAAGTGATATCACCTACCTATATGATTACCATGAGGATTAAATGAGTTGATACATTGAAAAATGTTAGTAGAATGCTCAGCACATATGAAGTCCTCAATAAATGTTAGCACTGAAAGAAATAATGATAATTTTATTATTATATGACTTCAGACTAAATAAGAGAGTTGACAAGTATGTAAATGGTTGCCACTCCACATCTCTCGCCAACCAATTTACTGCATCCTTGTGAAGAAGGTTAGAGGAGAGATGTGTGGACACTGATTCACACTGATCTAAGAGAATAAATATAGTTCCAGTAGCTATTATGTGTGAGGCACTGTGTTTGGCCCAGGGAAGGATAAATTGGTAAGCAAAATAGGACTATCTCTGCCTTCACAGAGGTCCTAAGCTACCCAGGGAGATGAATGTGATGGACTGAGTATTTGTGTTTCCCCCAAATTCATGTGTTGAAGCCCTAAGGCCTGTGTGATGGTATTTGGAGGTGAGGTCCTTGAGAGATAATCAGGTTTAGGGGAGGTCGTGGTCCTCCTGATGGGATTAACGTCATTCTAAGAAGAGGAAGAGGCCAGAACTCTCTTTTTCCATCTTGTGAAGATAAACTGAGAAGGTTGCTGCCTGCAAGAGGGGAAGGGAGCCCTCATCAGACTCCGGATCAGGTGGCACCTTGAACTTGGACTTCCCAGCCTCCAGAACTGTGAGAAATAAATGTCTGTTGTTCAAGCTACCTAATCTGTGATATTTTGTTCTGGCGGCCTGAGTTGATGAAGACCATGGCCAAGTAAACAGACAACACAATGCTGTGTAAGTGCAGGCCAGTTCAGGATGCCAGAGGATCACAGGGAAGGAACATCTAATTTAAACCCTAGGAATCAGGAAAAACTTCTTACAGGCAAGGACAGGAACAGCAGACCCCCACTCCACTTGGTAATAAAACAACTATCTCTTTCCTACAGCAAAAATAGTAGTAATAGTAATAGTAGTAGCTGTAGTAGTAGCAGTAGTAGTAGTATGGTAACGATAATGCTAATAATTAAAACACATTGAGGGCTTGTTCTAAGCATGTTACATGCATTAGCTCATTTAATCTTAACGTCTTAGTGGAGCTACTCTGCACTTACATGACTTGGCCTTACCCTAATTCTGCCCACCATAACCTATATTTATTTTAAAAGTTGATATTTCCCTCATCAGGGATTTTTTGCATTAGTTTTGATGTTTTTAAATATTGCATTAAATGTTGTTTATCTTGCTTACTGATTTTTTTTTTTCCTTTTTGAGATGGAGTCTGTCGCCCAGGCTGGAGTGCAGTGGCATGATCTCAGCTCACTGCAACCTCCACGTCGTGGGTTCAAGTGATTCTCTTGCCTCAGCCTCCCAAGTAGCTGGGATGACAGGCATATGCCACCACACCTGGCTAATTTTTGTATTTTTAGTAGAGACAGGCTTTCGCCATGTTGGCCAGGCTGGTCTCAAACTGCTGACCTCAAGTTATCCACCCATGTTGGCCTCCCAAAGTGCTGGGATTATAGGCATGAGCCACCACGCCTGGCCTTACTTACTGATTTTTTGGCATCCCTTTAATTTTGCACTCAGGGCAAGCATCTTTCTCTCCTTACTCTAGTCCTGGCCCTGCTGAGGAACACCATGTGGGGAAGGGTAAGCAGAGCTGTCTAGCCTGCCCAATTCAGGCTGTCTATGCAGAAGGCATTTGCGGTTCCTCCTTTCCAGACAGCATCATGGGAGGAAAGAGAAAGAGAACGCATTCCCTATTTGGACTCAGTCACCCCTTAGCATCCTCCTTCCCAAATAGGGTCCCTGCAATGGCTTTTAGTATTACTTTAACGTGGCATCAAGTCCCACTGAATCTCACAATGAGAGTCCTTCCTTATTTAACTTGCTTTCAATTATTCTAAAACCATCAAGGAGAAAGTGCCAGATCGGTGCTAATAGGTTTTTAACACCTCTCTAATACTTAATGAGCAGGCCTCTGACTTTCCTCCCCTGCCTCCTTGAATGAAGAGGGTTATGGAGCTGGAATTTTAGAATCACAAGTCTGTCCTTGAATCTGAGCCCCATTACTGTACTATTACTGCTGGGAGGACCAGACGACTGTGATGGGAATGATGCTTCAGTCTGGATGTCTGACCTCTTTGTTTGTGCCCTCGTACCTTCATTTTTTTCAGTTTCCCTTTCTAGAATTTAGTAAACCAAACAAGAACTTTCCCTGACCTGAATACTGGGTTCAATTGTGCTGTGTTCATTATTACGCAGCATTTTACCCACGATTACTTCCTGTTCAAGTTCCTGTTTGTTGCTGTACTCTGAGACCCCACCTAGGTACTGGAGGCTCTTCAAGGGAAGAGGAAGACAAAACCTCCTTTCTGAAGGGGAACTTAGCTCAGGGAGTGGGGTAGATACAGGACCACGTGGCATCACAGATCCAACTGTTCAGAGTCAGTCTAAAGGACTTAAATTTTAGTAATTCTACTTCTGGGTGTATTCCTAAGAGAAATAGGCACGTATGTCCACAAAAAGACATGTACAAGGATGCTTATGGTAGGGTTTTCCAAAGTAGTCCTAAACTGGAAATAACCCAAGTAACTATCAACATTTAATGGATAAGTACACTGTGATATATTCATGAACAGCAATACAAAAGAACGAACACAGATACACACAAAAGCATGGATGAATCTTACTGACATTATGTCAAGTGAAAGAATCCAGAAACCGTATGATTTTATTCATATGAAACTCAAGAACAGGGAAAACTAATCTACCATCTCAACCTTAAAAAGGAAGGAAATGCTGACACACAATGGTACATGAATGAACCTTGAAGACGTTATGCTAAGTGAAATTACAGAAAGACAAACACTGTATGAGTCTACTTTTACGAGGTACCTGGAGTAGTCAAATTCATAGAGACAGAAAGTAAAATGGTGATTGCCAGGAGCTTGGGGCAGAGGAAATGGATAGTTGTTTAATGGGTATAGAGTTTCAGTTTTGCAAGATGAAAAGAGTTCTGCAGATTGGTTGCACAGCAATATGAATGTACATAACACCACTGAACTACAAACTTAAAAAGGCTAAGATGGTAAATGTTATGTTATATATTTATACCACAATTTAAAAGATTCTAACAACAACAGCAACAAAACCTAATCTATGATGATGAAAGTCAGACAGTGGCTCCCTTTTGAGGTAATATTTCCTGGGAAAAGGTACAGAAGAGTTTCTGGGGAACTAGAACTTTTCTGTATGTTGACCTGGTGGAAGTCATGTGGGTATATACATATATAAAAAACATAGTCTGTTGCATGTACAGCTTATTGCATAGATGTTATACTATAACAAAAAAGTATTTTAAAGAAGGTAGCCATCTGCTGGGCACAGTGGCTCATGCCTGTAATCCCAGCACTTTGGGAAGCCGAGGCGGGCAGATCACGAGGTCAGGAGTTTGAGACTAGCCTGGCCAACATGGTGAAACCCCGTCTCTACTAAAAATACAAAAAATTAGCTGGGCATGGTTGTGAGCACCTGTAATTCCAGCTGCTCAGGAGGCTGAGACAAGAGACTGCTTGAACCCTGGAGGTGGAGGTTGCAGTGAGCTGAGATCGCACTACTGCACTCCAGCCTGGGTGAGTGGCTCCATCTCGAGCCACTGGAGTGCAGTGGCTCAAACTTGGCTCACTGTAACCTCCGCCTCCCAGGTTCAAATGATTCTTCTGCCTCAGCCTCCCGAGTAGCTAGGATTACAGGCACATGCCAGCATACCTATCTAATTTTTGTATTTTTAGTAGAGATGGGGTTATACCATGTTGGCCAGGCTGGTCACGAATTCCTGACCTCAAGTGATCTGCCTGCCTTGGCCTCCCAAGTGCTGGGATTACAGGTGTGAGCCACCGTGCCCGGCCCATCTTAGCTATTTTTAAGTGTAGTCCAGTGATGTTAAGTGCATTCATGTTGTTGTGCCACCATCACCACCATCCATCTCCGGAACTCTTTTCGTCTTGCAAAGCCAAAGCTATACCCATTAAACAATAATGCTCCATTTCTTCCTGCTCCCAGCCCCCAGCAACCACCATTCTACTTTCTGTCCCTATGATTTTGACTACTCTAGGTACCTCATATGTATTAGTCCATTTTCTGTTGCTTATAACAGAATACCTGAACCTGGGTAATATAAAGAAAAGGAATTTATTTCTTACAGTTATGAAGGCTGAGAAGTCTAAGGTTGAGGGGCCACATCTGGTGAGAGCCTTCTTGTTGGTGAGGACTCTCTGAAGATTGCAGAGGTAGCTCAGGGTATTATATGGTGAGGGGGCTGACCATACTAATGTACTTGTTCAGATCTCTCTTCCTCTTCACATAAAGCCACCAGTTCCCCTCCCATTATAAGACATTAATTTATTAACCCATTAATTCACTCATGAGGGCAGACCACATCATGATCCAACCATCACTTAAGGGCCCCACCTATTAATACTACCACACTGGGGATTAACTTTCCAACACATGAAATCTGGGGGGGTGGGGGAGGCACATTAAAACAATATCGTATAAGTGCAATCATACAGTATTTGTCTTTTTATGACTTGCTTCTTTCACTTAGCATCATGTTCTCAAGGTTCATACATGTTGTAGCATGTGTCAGAATTTTCTTCTTTTTGAGGCTGAATAATATTTCATTGTATGTATATGCTACATTTTGCTTATCTTTTCATGTTTTAGCTACTGTGACTAATGCTGCTGTCAACATGGGTACAAATATTTCTTTCAGACCCTGCTTTCACATTTTTTAATTTCAACCTATTTGTGTCTTTGGATCTAAAGTAGGATCTCTTTATTATTTATTTCTTTATTTATTTTTGAGATGGAGTCTTGCTGTGTCACCCAGGCTGAAGTGCAGTGGCTTGATCTCGGCTCATTGCAAAGTCCACCTACCAGGGTCAAGTGATTCTCCTGCCTCAGCCTCTGTAGTAGCTGGGATTATAGGTGCCCACCACCACGCCTGGCTATTTTTTTTTGTGTTTTTAGTAGAATGAGGTTTCACTACGTTAGCCAGCCTGGTCTTGAACTCCTGATCTCAGGTGATCTGCCTGCCCTGGCCTCCCAAAGTGCTGAGATTACAGGTGTGAGCAACCATGCCTGGCCTAAGGTGAGTTCTCTTGTTGTAGACAGCATATAGTTAGGTCGCATTTTTGAAAATCTATTCTGCCAATCTCTGTCTTTTGATTTGAGAGTTTAATCCATTTACATTTAAAGTAATTACTGAGAATGAGAGACTTACTTTTCTCATTTTGATATTTGTTTTTTATATAACTTATAGCTTTTCTTGTTCTTCTTTTCCTGCATTGCTATCTTATTTTGTGGTTAGCTGATTTTTTTTTTTTTTTTTGCAGTGAAATGTTTTAATTCCCTTCTCATTCCCTTGTGTGTATATTCTATAATTATTTTCTATGTTGTTACCATGGGGATTACATTAAAATCCTAAAGTCAGAATATTCTAATTTGAATTCATACCAACTTAACTTTAATAACATACAAAATCTCTGCTTCTAATACCTCTGTCCCCATCCCTTTCAGTTATTAATGTCATAAAATTACATCTTCATACATTGTGCACCCAAAAACATAAAGTAGTAATTTTAAATAATGCATTAGTCTCTTAAATCACGGAGAAAACAGTAAGTGGATTTTATGATGATATTAGCTTTTATAATTGCCCATGTATTTACTTTTACTGAAATATTTATTTCTTTACATTGCTTCAAGACACTGTCCAGTGCACTTTGATTTCAACCTGCTGGACTTCCTTTAGTTTAGTATTTCTTGCATGGCAGCTCTAGTGGTGACAAACTCAGCTTTTGCTTATGTGGGGATGTCTTAATTTCTCTCACTTTTGAAGGACGGTTTTGACAGTTAGAGAATTTTGGGTTGATTATTTTTTCTTTTAGCATTTTGAATGCATCAGCCCACTACCTTCTAACTGCTGAAGTTCTGATAAGAATCTGCAGATAATCTTATTGAGGATCCCTTGTATATGATGAGTCACTTCTCTCTTACACTTTAAAGATTCTCTTTTTGTCTTTGGCTTCAGACAGTCTGATTATAATGTCTTGGTGTGGGTCTTTTTGAGTTATTCCTACTTGAAGTTTGCTGAGCTTCTTGGATGTTTATATTCATGTCTTTTATCAAACTTGGGGAGT
The DNA here is from genome assembly GCF_000001405.40 of Homo sapiens. Taxonomy (NCBI): domain Eukaryota; kingdom Metazoa; phylum Chordata; class Mammalia; order Primates; family Hominidae; genus Homo; species Homo sapiens. Next base: position 23,830,647 of record NC_000016.10, read on the forward strand.
TTCTGGCCATTATTTCTTCAAATAAGCTCTCAAATAATTCTCCTTTCTCTTTCTCTTTTTCTGAAATTCCCATGGTACGCTGTTGGTTTGCTTGATTGTGTCCCACAAGTGTTTCAGGCTTTGTTCACTTTTTTCAATCATTTTTCTTTTCGTTCTTCAGACTCAATAATTTCAATTGTCCTATATTTAAATTTGTGCATTCTTTTTTCTGCTTGCTTAAATCTGCCTTTGAAACCATTTAGTGATTTTTAAATTTCATTTATTGTATTTTCACCTCTAGAATTTCTTTTTGGTTTCTTTTTGGGTTTTCTATTTTTTTATTGACATTTCTGTTATGTTTATGCATTTTTTTAACTTTCTCCATGTCTTCCTTTAGTTCTTTGAGCATCTTCAATATAGTTGCTTTAAAGCCATTGTCTAGTAGGCTCACCTTCTGATCATTCTCTGGGACAGTTTCTGTTGGTTTATTTTTTCCCTTTGAAGGGGCCATACTCCCCTCTCTCCCTTCCTCTCTCCCTGCCTTCCTGCCTTCCTTCCCCTCTATCTCTTTCCTTCTTTCTCCCCCTGTCTCTCTTCCTGTCTTTCTTTTTTGAGATAAGGTCTCACTCTGTCACCCAAACTGGAGTGTGGTGGCACAATCATGGCTCACTGCAACCCCCAACTCTCAGGTTCAAATGATCCTCCTGCCTCAGCCTCCTGAGTAGCTGGGACTACAGGTGTGGACTACCTGTCTGGCTAATTAAAAAAAAGTTTTTGTGGAGATGGGGTCTCACTATATTGCCTCAACTGGTCTCAAACTCCTAGACTCAAGTAGTCTTCCCACCTTGGCTTCCCAAAGTGGAGGCATAAGCCTCCACCACACCTAGCCTTTTCTTGTTTCTTACTATAGGTTTTTAGTTACAATTAGTAGCAGTTCTAAGTGATCTTGAGAGTTGCCACATTTCAAATGCTCAGCAGCCACATGTGGGTACTGTGACAACTGTGTTGAAGAGTGCAGCCTTAGAACAAAGGGATTGAGGCCGAGCGCGGTGGCTCATGCCTGTAATCCCAGCACTTTGGGAGGCTGAGGCGGGTGGATCACCTGAGGTCAGAAATTTCAGACCAGCCTGGCCAACATGGTGAAACCCTGTCTCTACTAAAAATACAAAAATTAGCTGTGCACGGTGGTGCACGCCTGTAATCCCAGCTACTTGGGAGGCCGAGGCAGGAGAATGGGTTGAACCTGGGAGGCGGAAGTTGCAGTGAGCCGAGGTCGCATCACTCCACTCCAGCCTGGGTGACAGAGCAAGACTCTGTCTCAAAAAAAACCAAAACCAAAACAAAACAAAACAAAAAACAAAAGAATAAAGGGGTTGAGAGGCAAACTACTGTATCCTTGTCCTACCTTAGAGAAGAGGAAAATGAGACACAGGAGGAAGTAAGTGACTTGCCCAGGGTTATGCACTGTAGTCATTTAAATGGTAGCCCCCAAGAAGGTACATCCATGTTATAATTCCTGGAACTTGTGAATGTCATTTTATTTGGCGAAGGGGTCTTTGCAGGCATAACTATATTAAGGATTTTGAGATGAAGAGATCATCTCGGATTATCCAGTGAAGCCCTAAATCCAAGGACCAGTGTTCATATAAAAGATATACAAGGTATAGGGCCAGTGCAGTGGCTCACGCCTGTAATCCTAGCACTTTGGGAGGCTGAAGGCAGGCAGATCACCTGAGGTCAGGAGTTTGAGACCAGCCTGGCCAACATGGTGAAACCCTGTCTCTACTAAAAGTACAAAGATTAGCCGGGCATGGTGGCGGGTGCCTGTAATCCCAGCTACTTGGGAGGCTGAGGCAGGAAAATCACTTGAACCCGGGAGGCAGAGACTGCAGTGAGCCGAGACCATGCCATTTCACTCCAGCCTGGGCAACAAGAGCAAAACTCCATCTTGGAAAAAAAAAAAAAAGAAAAGAAAAAAGAGATATACAGGGGATATTAGAGAAACAGAAGGGGTGAAGATAGGCACACAGAGGAGAGGGTGATATAAAGACAGAGGAGGATGGGAGCGATGTGACCACAAGCCAGGGAAGCCAGGGAATGCTGACAGCCTCCAGAAGCCACAAAAGGCAAGGAAGCGTTCCCCTCTGAAACCTCCAGAGGGAATGTGGCCCTGCTGACACTGTGACTTATGGTTTCTGGCCTCCAGAATGATGAGAGAATAAATTTTTGTTATTTCTAGCCACCCTGTTCTGTTATAATTTTTTATGGCAGCCACAGGTCTGGAGCAAAGGGACCTTGGACTCCATTCTCAGCCACAGCAACCTGCCCCCTCACTGCCTCTGAAATCTTTCAAGTGACCAGCATTCACTCCTTCATGAGCAGAGTGGGCCTGGGGGGCTCTGGTGGCAAGGAGGACCCATGCCCAATCTACGGGGAGCTGCTGCCCTGCAGCTCCTGTTGGCACTATGCCATGTTGCCCTAATCTCTTGCCTGATCTGCTCAGTTGACCTCTTCACTGCTCTTCCTGCCTCCACCCTTTCTCCTCTAATTTCCACATAGTAGCTAGGGTAAGCTTTTAAAATGAAAACCCCATAAGTTGTATCAGGCCACTCCTCAGCTTCCAACCCTCCAATGGCTTCCATTCACTGGAGTGAAATCCAAACTCCTTATCACATTTGCAAAGCCCTTTGGGGCCCTGCTACCTCCCTGACCTCATCTCATAAGTCCTCTCTCCTCTCTGTTCATCCAACCACTGAGGCCTTCTCGCTATTTCTCCAACATACCAAGCTTGATACTCCCCTAGGCTCTTTGCATTTTCTGTTTTCTCTGTCTGGAAACTCTCGATAGTCCCCTGGCTCACCCTCTCACTTTATTCAGGCCTTACTCAGATGTCCCCATATTATAAAGGATTTCCCTGTGGTCTTTATAATAATGCTTTATTTTTATTTACAAACATTCTATTATACACCACCAGGTATGGATTCGTTAGTTGGTTAGGTTATTACTCCCCCTTCCCCATTAGACTATAAGCTCCACTAGGGCAGGGACCTTTGTCTGGTTTGTTTAACAGTATCTGGAACAGCACACAGTAGGTGCTTAATAAGCAATTTGTTGATTGAAAGAACAAATGTATGAGTGAGGGAGGAATGTAGGCTCCATTTAGCTCTATCTTTTTTCCTAGATAAGTCAGAATCTGGATATTTAAGTAAAATTCTATGACCCGTGAACTTAAAAAACAACAACAACAACAACAACCCACTGGGCTAGCTTAAAAAAAATAGAGCATCTGGAGCCACCAGTTTGAGACCCTGACCTACAGGAATCTGGGTCCAATGGGAACCACATTTCTCATCCTCACTTGGTGCAACGCCTTCAGGAACCAAGTGGCTCTTTTCCATCCACAGCCCTTGCATCCCCAGGCCCCGGCGCCATGAGGTACTGTTTGTTGTTACAGACCAAAGTCATCCAGGGCACTTCATTCAAAAGGCAGGATGTGGGCTGTGAGCTTCCAGCTCATCAGTTCAAAGGAAATCTACTTCAGCAGCAATGTCTCCTGGGATGTTTTCCCAAGCCTCCCTGGGAGGTGGTGGGGCCTCTTCAAGGACTAATAATAGACAGGCACATCCAGTTTCCCAAACATGTCAACCTTAAAAGTGAATGCTATTTTTTCCTCCTTACCTTTGAATTACTATGTAGGAGAGGGACATTCTATTATTGCAGCCCTTGCTCTCGACATGCTACCTAATAATGACTTACCACTCAGCAGCTTCCAGGCAAAATTGTCATAGTGGGACCTGAGCTCGTGCAACTCCAGCCTGCCCCCCTTCATCCACCACTACTCAGGTTCACCCCTTTGTCACCAGGATGCTTTGTAGTCAGGCCAGCCCAATCACCATTCAGCAACGGTATGACTGTGGGTGTATCTTAATCACTCTGAACCTCCCCATCCTTATCCATAATGAAAGTTACCAGATCTACATAGGGTTGTTGCGGGGGCTAAATAAGACAGCACAAGTACCTGATGCCCAGCAATCACTTGATATTTATTATTAAACACCTACTGGGTGTGAGTGGGGGTAAGAAGTGCCGACCTTTAAGTCTTCATTCATTCACTTGTTCATCCATGCCCTCACTCAATCAACCAATATTTACTGGGGTCTTGGGAGGTGTCAGGCACTGAGCTTGGTGCTGGGCGACATGGTGGTGAACAGCCCCCCTGCTCTCACAGAGCCTAGGTCTGGTGAAGGAGCTCACAGCCTAATGAAGCTCTGCGTTCCCAGAGTGGGGGACATGGTGGCAGTGGGTATCTTTAGGCCTTGTGCATGAACAGGGCGCTAAATAACATTGAATTACACATTGTAGACAATTATTACCCTTTCAGTTACCTTCAGATCACATCAAGGAGAGAGTCCTGGTTGGATAGTAATGTCTTTAACACCCCTCTAGCATTTATTAATTTCCTCTCTTAACAAATAAAAGATGACTTCAGTCGAAGATGCTTAGGACAGATGACGGCACCTGGAGATATTTTAATAATGTAGATACCTCTTGCTGTTCAAACTCAGACCAAAAGAGATAGGCTTTTTTTCCCCCAGAGGGTGCACAAATACGACCAGAATTTGTGAAGACGAGTCAGAAATGAATGAAATTTGGAAAAATATTGATCTACTGAAATCCTTCCTCCCCACACTATTAGCCCTATGTTACAGTTGGGGAAACGGAGTCGTTTTGCAGAGGGGATGGACAGAAGGTAGGGAGTTCTCTTCCAAACGTGCAGGAGGCAAGCAAAGCCAAGAATCTTCTCTGTGGTGGAGTTAGAGACATATAAAATAAAGATCGCTCCTCCCCTACCTCTGCAGAACGTGTGTGTGTATGTGTGTGTAAGTGTGTGCGGCCACAAGCCTTTCCGAATGAGTGACAGCGGGAGCCCATCCCTCCAGGAGACGCGTGCAGAATGACCAATGGGATGGATGGGGGTGGATGGGTACCAGTCTCCGCAGAGGCCGGGGTGGAATTCGCTGCGCCCCACCCCTTCCACCCGCTCCCCTTCGCCCCGTAGGTCTTTCCACTCTCGCTCCTCCCCTGGGCACATCTCCTGAACGCAGCCCCGGGGGCCGAGGACGGGGTGGGGTGGGGGGCGAGGCTCGGGTCCGACGACCCCGGGCTGCGGTCCCGGCGCTGCAGAGCTGCGGCTGTGCACGCTTAGCCGCGAGGCCCGCGGTAGCCCGGGCGCCGATATGTAAAGCAGCTGGCAGCGCTGGGCGGGGCCTGGGCGCGATGCAAATGAGGAGGGCGGGGCTGGCCCGGGGCTCCGCCTCCCTCCCCCGCAGCTGGGGCCAGCGGTGCCAAGCGCAGCTGGACGAGCGGCAGCAGCTGGGCGAGTGACAGCCCCGGCTCCGCGCGCCGCGGCCGCCAGAGCCGGCGCAGGGGAAGCGCCCGCGGCCCCGGGTGCAGCAGCGGCCGCCGCCTCCCGCGCCTCCCCGGCCCGCAGCCCGCGGTCCCGCGGCCCCGGGGCCGGCACCTCTCGGGCTCCGGCTCCCCGCGCGCAAGATGGCTGACCCGGCTGCGGGGCCGCCGCCGAGCGAGGGCGAGGAGAGCACCGTGCGCTTCGCCCGCAAAGGCGCCCTCCGGCAGAAGAACGTGCATGAGGTCAAGAACCACAAATTCACCGCCCGCTTCTTCAAGCAGCCCACCTTCTGCAGCCACTGCACCGACTTCATCTGGTGAGCGCGCGCGCGCAGGGCACCTTCCCGGGCCCCCGAGGGCAGCGCCGCGCCAGGGACCCCCTCTCCGCGCCCTCTGCGCCCTCCGCGCCCTCCGCACCCTGGGACCCCGCGTCTCCGGACTCCCGGCTCCGGACCCTGCTGCCCGGGACTCCCGGATGGACAGTCCTGCCGTTGCCCTGTCCCCACCCTGGTCCCAGACGGGCCGCCGCGGGGCGCCTCCTGCCCTCTCCTGCTCTCAGGCGCCTCTAGAGCGCCCAGGGGCGGCGTCGCGGGAGCCTTTGCTCCACCTGACTAGGAGCGCGCGGGGTCTGTGCCTGCCCTGGAGGGCAGCGCCTCGGGTGCTCTCCGACCCGGGGTTCCCTATCTCTCCGCCTGCTTCCGGGCGCGAGGAGCCCTCGCCCCCCACCCCTTGTTTCCGGGGGGGGCGGCGCCCTGGGTGTCCTTCTCTATCTCCCTGCGGGCATGGGACATCCTTTCTCACTCCTCTGTGCCTCCGGGCAGCGCCCTGTGTTATCTCCCATTGCCCCTCCCCGAGGGCCTGGGTTCCCCTTTCCACTCCTCGGTCACATCACTGCGGGCCCCTTTCTTCCCCAGTCCCTCCAGTAGTGGGGCATCCTTTCCTCCTTCCCAGTCCCCCTCCCAGAGGACACCACCGCCGCGGGGTCACTCTCGCCCTCCCTCTGAATGCGTCTTTATCTCTTCTCTTTTCCCGAGGGTGCTCGGGGCATCTATGGGTACATCTGTCGCCTGCCTTCAGCCCCTACCCCGACGGAAACGCTCCCCACTATCCCGCCACCTGGTGGTCGCAGCCTCCTCTCTTCTGCAGGAGTGAAGGCAGATGGGGGTTACAGCCGAGCTCCCACCTACCCCCACAAAGGCGGAAGACTCTTGGGCACCCGCCTGTGGCTGGGAGTTTGCACCTGGGGTACAGAGGCAGGGAGGAAGGCGGGTGACTCTGTGGGTAACTAGCTGGAGGCTGGGCCCCCCGGGCTGCCTGACATACACCTCCTTCTGCTTTTGCAGGGGCTTCGGGAAGCAGGGATTCCAGTGCCAAGGTAGGCTCTGGGGCTTTGGGGATGCTATTTGTGGGAAGAGAGGGTGAAAAATACTTTATAGAAGAAGTTACTGAGTTAGGCAGAGAGTGAAAGAATCACGTTGGTCGGAGTGACCTCCCAGGCTAGGAATTCTTCACCACAACAGGGTCCTTTCAAGGGGTGTGTGTGTGACTGGGGCCGATGGCGCTTGGGAGTCTTACATGCCAAGGAAGTTCACCTACCCTTCCTGCCTTCCCGGCTCTGGAAGAGTCAAAGCGGTCTCCTGAAGCAATCCTGGCATGGTCAGTTCCGCTGGGGGAGAAAGTGTTTTCCCGGGACGTTTCTGGGAGAACCTGTCCTCCTTAGTTCCCCTTTCTCTGCCCATGTCCCTTCCTTATCTCACCCAGGGAGGTTCTGCCTCTCCCTGCCTTGCAGAGGTCTCTGCAGGTGGCTGCCGCTCCTCTGCAGATGGTGCATCCCCTAGAAAGGCGACTGTGTTTGTCGCCTGGGCCTCCTCTCTCTCTGAAAGAAGTATTTCCAGAGGGAGTGTTTCTCAGATCCTGGTTTAAATCACCCTATCTTCTGGGTTGAAACAGAAAGGTCTCCAGGGCACTGGTTACCTGAGTTCTTGCATCTGGCTTGAGATCCTGGACTCTAACCAGGGGTATCAAACCTGCTGGTGGTGAGTTGATCACGTGTAAAGTGTCCCCCTCCCCCGTCTTTGGGGCTCATGTCTAAAAGACAGATTGCAAATTGGCTCTCCAGGACCAAAAGTTACCCGCAGCTCTGTGTAGCCCTTAGGGTGTCTTACTTGTGAATTTGATGTGAACGTTTTAGAACTGGGAGATTTCACATACACATCCTAATTTCCAACTTTAACTTTGCTGAGAAATGGTCTCACTTTCGCTTGAAAACAATCGTTTGGAGCTGAGAGCCGTCGTCGTAGATGGGGAACAGCCTTACCATTTTGTCTCAGTTGATCCCAGTGGGGAACACTTCACCCATTTCTGGCCCCTGTGGGCATTTAAGTTTGCAACCTCTCATCTGGAAAGTTTGTGTGTTATGTTTTCTTTTTAATTTAAATTTTAATTTTTCACTCTTGGGCTTGGTAAGATTGAGTTTGGTAAGAAACGGCACATTTCTGGGGTATTGTATCTTTAGGGGCAAAGTGACCACCACCCTGGTGAGCTGGGTTTAAATCAAAAGAAAGTATTTGAGTGTGGAAGAGTCTGACGTGATTTAGCACTGACTGACAGTTTTGTGGCTGCACCTCCACCCTCCAGGGAAAAGTAAAGTGATCCCTAGTGAGTGTAGGTGGCATCGTCAGTGGTGCAGAATGTTTGCTTGCTGGCAGCATGGCACTGTGCTCCTCTGAGACTCTTGCATACTCTTCTGAGATCGGGGTCCCGGTGGGCTCAGTGAGCCCTGCCAACCTACCCAGCCTGTCTTACCAAGATTTGGATCCTCTGCACCACACCAGAGGACTCCTCAAGTCTCTTTAAGTGGCAACAACTTAGGCCCTGGTGCAAACAAATTTGGATTGTTTTCTAGAACTTTGACCCCTCAAACAAAATGCCAATGGTGTCTTGGCACCGGAATGTGTAATTTCTTCTTTGAGGTTGCCTTTCACTTCCATGAATCAGTTTCAGTCTTTGTCTCTTGCTGAGATCGGGGGCGATTTTTAAACATTTTTACCACGGATCTTCTATGCCACCTGCTCTGCTGTTATTGATGGATGGGAAAGTCACTTTGGAATGTGCAAGGCATGACACATTTGAAATAGGAGATCCTTTAACTCAAAGTCTGGAAGATAATAGGAATTTTCTGATGTTAAGAGAAAAAGGCAGAATTAAAGTTTGTAATGAAATATGGGCGCTCTAGAGATAGGAGTGTCTTTTTTTTTTTTTTGACAGGGTCTCACTCTTTTGCCCCGGCTGGAGTACAGTGGTATGATCAGAGCTCACTGCAGCCTCAAACTCATGGGCTCAAGTGATCCTCCTGCATCAGCCTCCTGATTAATTGGGACTACAAGTACGCACCACCATGCCTGGCTAATTTTAAAACAACTTTTGTAGAGAAGGGGTCTTGTGATGTTGCAAGACTGGTCTTGAACTCCTGGCTTCAAGCAACCCTCCCACCTCAGCCCCCAAGTGTTGGGATTATAGGTGTGAGCCACTATGCCCCTCTGGAGTGTCTATTTTTTAAATTGCCTTTCTTTTTCTCTTCCCTGCCTCCCCACCAAGAGGCAGCGTAGAGAAGTGGGCATTTGCACAGGCTACCAGGCAAGTCCCTGTCGGTCTGAATCCTAGCTTTGAGACTTCCCAGGCATATTACTTAGCCTCTCTGTATTTCAGCCTCCTTGTCTATAAAACGGAGTCAGTAACAGTACCATAGTGTGGCTGAGCAGCTCCAACTCATTGCAATATCCAAGATTCTTGGACCAGAGCTTGACACAGAGTATGCTCAGAAAATATCTGCTCTTATGATTGTCCCCAGACTACCCCAATGGTGGGGCAGCTGGCACGAGAGAAGACTGGCTCTGCAGGGTTGCTTTGCTATGGAACTGCCTGCCAGGTAAGAGTCAAAACTCAGCCATGAACTTCTGGTCACTCTGTGTAGCTGCTTTGACAGCATATTCCATTTGGGCAGCAGTAGGGAGGAGTGAGGGGAGGGGCAGATTGGCAGTCCCTGAAATTGAGATGTTTAGAATGGGAACATATAGGAAAGAGGGAAATTTATCCCTGGTACTCAGCATTGCCTGGGACTAATTCTGGAACCACTGAGGAGTTCCTTAGTATCTGATTGTTCTTGGTATCAGATATTTCCTCTGAAAGTAAATCCACTTACGATGGAATCAACAGTTTATACAAAACACATAAGGTTTTATGATCTCACTTAAGTCAGCAATCCAGAGCCCAGGGCCTCAGGTTCCTTTGAGTTTTCTGCTCCACTATCCCTGGGGAGTGACAATTATCTCATGGTCCAAAAAGGATGCTAGACGCTGGAGTCCTCACACCCTTCTTTCAGCTAGCAGGAAGGAAGAAAGGGGTAAAGAAGGGCATATAGCACATGCTCGGTGTCACTTGTTTAAGTTGCTCAAGATCCTTCTACCTACATCCTCTTAGCTAGGGTTTAATCACATACCCACACCTTGCTGTGAGGGAGCATGTGGGAAATGTAGTGTTTATTTCAGGCAGCCACTATTTAGAGGATGTTTCCATTTCAAAAATACAAGCAGAGAGAGGATGTTGTCTCTGCCACTCTGGTAGGAGGTGTGTAGGATGATCGCAAGGCAAAGAAACCATTGAGAGTAACCTTCAGGCTCTATTACATTGTCATGGAAATTGGGGACACTGCTATGGGTTGGGAGAGGAAGGATGGAAAACTCATAAACCTTGGGAAATTATGGATTTCTGTGTGCTCAGGGGAGCTTAAGAATAGATTTTCTTGCTTTCGTATGATGATAGGACGAAACTCTAGGTTGACTGCCTCATAATTTCTCCCTTTTTGTTTCCACTCTGTCTATTTCTTATAAAACCACTCTCTGGGAGGTAATTTAAGAATGTGTTTGATGACAGGGAACTGGGGCTGAAGATCCCTATTGTAAAATTGCCTAAATTCTAGAGTAGAAGTGGAACTCCTTTGACAAGCAAGGCAGATTTCTCTCTATGGCATTTTTTTCTTTGCCTTTTATTTATTTATTTATTTATTGAGACAGAGTCTCACTCTGTTGCCCAGGCTGCAGTGCAGTGGCACCATTTCGACTCACGGTAACCTCCATCTCCTGGGGCTCAAGCGATTCTTCTGCCTCAGCCTCCCAGGTTGCTGGGATTACGGGGGCCTGCCACCACGCCTGGCTAATTTTTGTATTTTTAGTAGAGATGGGGTTTCATCATTTTGGCCAGGCTGGTCTTGAACTCCTGACCTCAGGTGATCCACCCGCCTCGGACTCCCAAAGTGTTCAGATTACAGGCATGAGCTACAGTGCTGGCTGTTTCTGTGGCATTCTTTACAGGAACTTAGGACCTGCATTTGAGCTTTAATTTTAATTAAAGTCTTCTCTAAGAAGATTTTTGGTAGAGAGAAAAACCTTCTTCTTTTATTTTAAATTTTGTTTTTAGAGACAGGGTCTCACTGTGTGGCCCAGGCTGGAGGGCAGTGACATGATCATAGCTCACTGCAGCCTCAAACTCCTGGGCTCAAGTGATTCTCCTGCCTCAGTGTCCTGAGTAGCTGGGACTGCAGGTGTGTGTCACCACGGCCCTTTTTTTTTTTTTTTTTTTTTTTTGAGACGGAGTCTTACTCTGTCATCCAGGCTGGAGTGCAGTGACGTGATCTTAGCTCACTGCAACCTCCACTTCCCAGGTTCAAGTGATTCTCGTGCCTCAGCCTCTTGAGTAGCTGGAACTACAGGCACGTGCCACCATGCCCGGCTAATTTTTATATTTTTAGTAGAGGTGGGGTTTCGCCACGTTGGTTAGGCTGGTCTCGAACTCCTGACCTCAGGTGATCTGCCCGCCTTAGCTTCCCAAAGTGCTAGGATTACAGGTGTGAGCCACTGAACCTGGCCAAATACATATTTTTTAATTTTAAAATTTTTTGTAGAGATAGTGGATCTTGCTTTGCTGCCTGTGCCTGGTCTCAAACTGCCAGCCTCAAGCCAGGAGTCTCATTCTGCTTTGGCCTCCCAAAGTGTTTGTTGTTTTTGTAAAGGAAGTGACTTTGGTAGAAATAGAGAGGCAATAAAATATAGAGATTCAGAATTCTTAGCAATGAGTTGGAGTCCAGTAGAATTGGGTATGTATCTCTGATGGAGCCGCTTACTCCCTGTGTGACCTTGGGCAAGTCGTCCCCCAGCAGCAACTTTGGTCTCCTCATCTGTAAAATGGGGATAATAGCACCTAACTCATAGGGTTATGGTGAAGAATAATGAGGTGGTGCATGAGAAATAGCCACAGCAAGTATCAATGACTCTAAGTGAGACCATCAGTATTACTTGATTAGCTGTAGGAAACTGTGTCAAAGTGGGACGGAGTTCATTCTGGAACTTGTTAAATGACTAGGCCTCTTTCATGTACTTAGATAGTTTCTCTTCTTGGGTATATTTCTTCCTGGGTATTGGGTAACACCAGTGAGTGCTCAGTTCAGTGTCTGGGCCCAGAAACCCATGCCTGGTTAGCATTGTCTTTTCTTCTGAGAAAGATCTGAACTTGCCATGGACTCTCTAGAAAAACCCCAGTGTACAAATTTTCTATGAAAAGCTAGAATTGATGATTATAATGAGTAAGTTGGCTCTTCCTTTTCCCATGTAGATTAGAAAACATGTTTTTAAATCTTCTAATTGAAATTATTCTTAAAAAACCCCAAAGTCTGACATGACTCCAACTATTGTTGTTTTCATCAATATCAATCCTATCAAATCAAAGTTTATTTTAGTGTGTAATTAACACATGTAGACTAGAAAAGTTTGCACTTTTTTATATCACAAAAAAGGTTAATTTTATTTTCTATGGAAAGCTAGAATTGATGATAATGAGTAAGTCAGCTCTTCTTTTTCCCATGTAGATTAGAAAACAGGTTTTTAAATCTTGTAGTTGAAATTATTCTTAAAAAACCCCAAATCATGACATGAATCCAACCATTCTTGTTTTTATCAATATTCACCCTATCAAATATAAAGTTTATTTTAGTGGGTAATTAACATGTGTAGATTAGCATAGCATATGTGTATTTATATAACAAAAAATGAATCAAAAGTTAATTTTATTTTGGGCAGTGTTCCCTAGAAACTTATAATATGGCCCCATGCACTTCAGGTTGAATTTTCTTAGTAAAATCATAAAGAGGTCCATTTTTTCAAAAAATCACCAAGTCAGGCTGCAAGTTTAGAGGTTACTTCTATTGTTTCACTTCTCTTTCTTCCCAGAAGCAGACCCCAGAGACCTGTGAGCCAAACTCCACTCACCTTTTAGCTTATTCTAAATGTGTCCTGCGGGCTTCTCTGTGAATAAAAGGCAGAGGCTTTTTGACTTCGTGTTTGATGATTTGGCTTTTTTCTTTTTTTTACCACCTGACGGGGGATTTCAGGCTCAATGTCCCAATCGAAATAAGAATCTTTGAGTGGGTTAACATTGAGTCTTAAAAAGGAGGGCTGATTTGTTGGAGAGGCAACAACGAATTCATTTTTCACTGTAGAGCACTCAGGAGGAGTCTGAAGCTTTGTCACTGGGCAACAGAATGCCTTTCTAAGTAAATATGGAAAATATGACCTTTGAAAATCTAGCTGATATGATATATAGATTCTTAGGATATAATTTTTAAAAAATATATTATTTCCAAGCACTAATGATACTCCAGAGATACTGCCCACAACCAGATGCAGCATGTTTATAGTGTATCTAGGCCAAAAAAAAAAAAAAAAAAAAAAAAAAATAGAAGATACAGAAGAAGGCAATTGGTCAAAAGATTAACTGAAGGTTTGAAAATAATTTTATACACATTTGTACTGTTGGGGTCTCTCTTCTCTCTGTCTCTGCTTATCCTTCTGTCTCTGTCTCTTTGTTTCCATCACACATGCACACACACACACGTGTATACACACACATATATGTAAGTAGATCAATATGTTATAATTTTCACAATACGCATCTTCTTTTGCTACTTTTCAGATACAGGTCATTAAATTACTAAGTATAATTTAAAATATATGGTCTGGCCTTTTAACTCTGCAGTTCAATTAATTCTTGGGTAGATAGGGGGATCTGCTGAAAAGTTTGTCTCTGACGCCTTCAAAGGTAAGTCCCTTATGTTCTGGCATTTGCTCTAATAACATGAATTCTTTGACTTCATTCATCCAATCTCTTCATTGAAATTGTGTGAAATTCCATAGATAGAATGTTAGCCTTTTTACAGAGAATACAACATCCACAGTGTTTACATATGGCATTTGGAGGTGTGATGGCTGCTTGAAAATCCAGTAGGAAATTTGTCTATTCACCACATACATTCATTTATTCATCCATCCATCCCTCCATTTATCCACCCACCTCTCTATTCATCATCCGTTTTTCTGTTTATCTATTTGTCCATCCATGCATCCATCCCTTCACTCCATTCTCCTTCTAAAAGTTCTTTTTTTTGAGACGGAGTCTTGCTCTGTCGCCCAGGCTGGAGTGCAGTGGTGCAATCTTTGGCTAACTGCAAGCTCCACCTCCCAGGTTCACGCCATTCTCCTGCCTCAGCCTCCCGAGTAGCTGGGACTACAGGCGCCCACCACCTCGCCCGGCTAATTTTTTGTATTTTTAGTAGAGATGGGGTTTCACCATGTTAGCCAGGATGGTATCGATCTCCTGACATTGTGATCCTCCTGCCTCGGTCTCCCAAAGTGCTGAGATTATAGGCGTGAGCCACCGCGCCCAGTCTCTTTTTTTTGTTTAGACAAACTCTCACTCTTTCGCCCAGGCTGGAGTGCAGTAGTACGATCTTGGTTCACTGTAACCTCCGCCTCCCAGGTTCAAGTGATTCTCCTGCCTCAGCCTCCCAAGTAGCTGCGATTACAGGTGCCCACCACCTCGCCCAGCTAATTTTTGTATTTTTAGTAGAGACAGGGTTTCACCATGCTGGCCAGGCTGGTCTCTAACTCCTGACCTCAAGTGATCTGCCCACCTCAACCTCCCAAAGTGCTGGGATTACAGGAGTGAGCCACCACACCTGGCCTCACTGATTAAGTTCTATGTGTCAAGTTCTATTTGTCAGGAACTATTTTAGGTGACAGAATACAATGGTGAATGAAACTGAGAAAATTTCTGTTGTCATGGAGCTTATGATGTAGCGGGGGGAGATAAGACATTCTACAGATCATTTCACTCATATTTAACCTCATTTTTATTAGGTACTTTGAAGAAAATGGACTGGGTACCGGGAGAATATATAATGGGAAGCTAACCTATGTAATGGCTGGGGATGCAGTCAGTGGTCTGGGAATTAAAAAAAAAAAGCCCAACTTCTCATTCTCATTTTCTGAGGTAACTGGAGAAAGTCTGAGTTGTCAAGGAACTAGAGCTAAAAATCTGTATTGTAAAACTGCCCATATCCTGGATAATATATGCAACAGGGCTGAAGGCAGTGGCTCATGTCTGTAATCACAGCACTCCGGAAGGCCAAGGCAAGAGGATTGCTTGAGGCCAGGAGTTCGAGACCAGCCTGGGCAACATAACAAGACCCTATCTCAATTAAAAACAAAACAAAATATGTGCAGGAGACTTATCTTTGTGACATTCTATGGAGAAACCGTAAATATTTATTTGTATCATGGCTGCAAGTAAGATGAGTAAGTATTTGGTAGAACTAGCCTGTTACCTTGAGATGGCTTCTTTCCCAGTTTGACAGAGAACTTCATCTCCTCTTAGTTAATAACTCAGATAATGAGCTGACTTCCTTTTTGTTTAGGGTTTACAGTTTGAGGTGGCTGTTCTAAAGAAGAAAAATCAGACAATTTCAGAGGTGGAGGAGCAAGTCTGGGCCAATAGATTGAAAATAAATAAAAAGAGAGAGCACGGCATTTCAGTGAGAGGCATTTTGAGCTGAAAGTCAGTTTTCAGGGAGCACAAGATTACTCACATTGCCTGCCAAATACCTTCCTCACCCTGTGTCCATCTCTGATATATTACAACTCTTCATTCCTTTGGCTTAGGCAGTATTTTCTCTTGTTCAGAAGATACTTTTTAAGTAGTTTAACAATAAACAGTGTTGACTCACTTATAGAGAAAGGACTTTTGTCAAGTCTGTCTTTCTGATTTCATTAAGGAGAAAGTCTCAGTTGGTGTTAATATATCTTTAACAACCCTCTAACACAAATCTGGGCACTTAGTAGATATCTGTTGAATATTCTTTTTTTTTAATTATAAAGGAACTACAGGGAATTATGAGAATGTAAAACTATGGGCTGGGTATGGTGGCTCATGCCTGTAATCCCAGCACTTTGGGAGGCTGAGGTGGGTGGATCATCTGAGGTCAGGAATTCGAGACCAGCCTGGCCAACATGGTGAAACTCCTTCACTACTAAAAATACAAAAATTAGCCAGGTGTGGTGGCATGTGCTTGTAGTCCCAGCTTCTCGGGAGGCTGAGGCAGGAGAATCGCTTGAACCCGGGAGGCAGAGGTTGCAGTGAGCCAAGATTGCGCCACTGCACTCCAGCCTGGCGACAGAGCGAGACTCCGTCTCAAAAAAAAAAAAAAAAAAAAAAAAGTTAGTTTCTACCTATAAACCAACTTTTTTTTGAGTCAGCGAGGGTACACTTTTACCTAATGTTGAGCCTGGTTCTGTTCTACCCTGAGCTTGATTCTGTACTGGCTATTCCTCCTTGTGAACAGAGAAGGGAAGTTCAGTGTCTTTCCTGGAAATTTTTGGTGTTGTAAGGATGCTCAGTGTTCCTGAAGGTTGAGAGGAACAGCAAGGACAGGATCTGGTAGAGATGTCGCTTTTATTCAGAAGTGCTAAGCTGTTAATCATTACCATGGTTGTTATTACCTTTTAATTGCCATTTGTCCTGCTTGTTTGTGGTCTCCTGGGCATCTCCTTCCCCCTCAGCCCACAAGCAGAAAGTTGCCCTACAGAGTCAGGAGGAGAACTCAAACCCAGACCAGAGAGCTCTGATCCACTCCTATGGGTCTTGGAACTGGCTAAGTAGATGGAAATTAACTGATTCAAGATATGCAACACCATTAGTTCAACCATAGCTGTGTTCCTGGGGTGAATTCTAGCTTTCTTTTTTCTTTCATCTTGCTACTTCCCAGAGACCAGACTTTGGGCCTCTAGGGAAGGAGTATCAAATTGGGCTTGAGAGTTCAAGCTCAAAACAGACCTGATTTTAAATCTTGGTTCTGCTTCTCCATATCTTCATGACCTTTGGGTGGGTAAAATATGATCCTGCCTCTATCTATCTATCTATCTATCTATCTATCTATCTATCTATCTATCTATCTATCTATCTGTCCATCTATCTATCTATCCATCCATCCACCTATCCACCAATACATCCATCCGTCTGTCCATCCATCCATCCATCCATCCATCCATCCATCCATCCATCCACCCAGCTATTCTTCCATTCATTCATCCAAACATCCACCCATCCACCCAGCTATTCTTCCATTCATCCATCCAACCATCCATCCATCCATCCATCCATCCGTCTGGCTATCCAACCGTTTTTCCATTCATTTAATATATATTTATTGGATGCCTACCACATATCAGGTACTGTTCTAGGCATTGGAACTAGAACAGTGAACAGAACAGCATCGCTGGCTTCATGGAATTTACATTCTAGTAGAATAACAGTAATAAGTGAATAACATAGAACGAATATATTGTATAATGTCAGGTTGCCATATGGGCTTTGAAGAGAAGTAAGACACTGTCCTCACCCTTAAAGATCTTCCTGGTCTTTTAAAAGGAGAACAGCACATGGCCAATTAGTTCTGAGACATAATGTAAAGTGCTACACCAAGAATGTAAAAACACTTTGGATGGCATCCCTACTCCTCCTCGGACCGGTGAAGATTCCACAGAGGAGGTGACATTTGGGAACAGTCTTACAGCAGGAGTGGGAGTTCCCGGATTGACAAGGGGATGAGGGCAGGGGAGGGTGTTTCAGGCACAGGACAGGACAACGCAGTTGAGATAGTGAGGAGAGAGAATAGGGCACATGCAGGGAACAGGAAGAAGAGGGTGTGAGGGAGGGAGGAGCAGGTGGGAGGTGAACGTCATATCAGAGGGGTTGGCCCCTGTGAAGGCAGTGTAGTGACTAGGAAGTGGTTGTTGTCACTGTTTTAAAGTGGGATGTGTGGGGGTGAGTGAAATGGCCAAATGTTTGAAAAAGAGGAGCATGAGATGCCTTTGGCAACAATACTTGCCATGACTCAAATCCTGAAATTCTAGGCCTGCAGTGATGGAAGTCAGGCAGGAGAAACTGAAATGGCCATTTAGAAGCAGTGGGGGTGCCTTACCGGAGCACCTCGTGGCTGTTGCTATTTTTCACACCCTAAAGAGACATTTGGAATTTCATGTCAGTCATATTGTTGATTGTTCTATTTTGAGGGTGGTTACTAGTTATTTTTATGGTTCTAACAATAGGGACATCTCTCTTCACTGTATCCTTAGACGCGGAGGGCCGTAGAAATGAATTTTCCTCTGAAAGGCATCCTCCCACTCCCTCTCCCTCTCCACTGCTGTCACCCAGTGGGTACGTGTTTATTGAGCACATGCTGCACATGGTGGTGAAGAGTTGGTGTTTTGGAGAAAGAAAGGCTTCGATTTAAATCTTGACTTCTTGCTGTGGGACCTTAAGCAAGTTACTTAACCTCTTCGAGCTTCTGTTTTTTCATAGCTAAAAGGATATAATAATAAAACCTACTTTATGTGAAGTGTTTCTTAGCACCCTACCTGACATATATACAGTAAGCACTTGATAAATGGTAGCTATTTCTGTTCTTCCTAGGACTGGGCACTGTCCTTGTCCTTACTGAGTTTATAATCCTGTTGGGGAGGCAAGATGAATGCTCTTGAATCAAGGAGACGACGCAAGAATGGATGTGCTTACATGTCGTGGTCAATAGCATTAGCTGCACCTTACAGTGGATCTTAGAGAGAAATGCTTGGTTGGGGCCGGAGAGGTGATTTGAGTGTGAGTGAGCACAGTGCTTTCTGAGAAACCCTTTCCTGGCCTGCAACACTTTAATTTGTGGGAAACCTCAGGAAGTAGAATTGCAATCTGTGATCGCCCCATCGGCTGACCTCACTTCAAAAATGTATTGGTAGCATTTCAACTTTAAATAGATTTGTGACCATTTCACCCTTCTAAATTTGGGTTCCCTTCACCCTTTGGGTGGAGTGTTTATATCCCTTTTCGGTTGAAGAAGCTGACAGATAGTGTAGGTGAAGGTGGAGGGTGAAGTCTGAAGGACGGTCGCTTGTCTCATTGGGATAGTCAGGGCAGTGATTTTTGTGGGATGGCCCTATATTGAAGATCTTCTTTCCCTCCCTAAAGGTAGAGACCATTCTTTAGAGTTTAGTGAGTGCTGCAAATGAAGATTTGATCGTTATTTGGATTTTTTTGCATGTGTATGTGTGGATTTTTTTTGGTAGTTATCCAGATACATTTTGTGGCAAAATTTATGGCTGAGGGTATTGATAATTGTTTCTGAGACAAACAGTGCACTTAGGGAAACAGGATTGACATATAGAGTAGAGAAGGACTTCTTTTTATTTCAGTTGGATATTCATCTTTTGGTGGCTAGCTTTTTTTAAAAAAACTATTAATATTATTTTTGATTGACAAATCATAATTGATGGGGTACAATGTGATGTTTTGATACATATATACAATGTGTCATGGTTAATTCAAACTAATTAATATAACCATCAGCTTGTTTACTTATTTTTTATGGTGAGACATTTGAAATTTACTTAGTTATTTGAAATATATGATACACTTATTATTGACTATGTTACCCTGCTGTGCAATAGATCTCCAAACCTATTCCCCTTGTCTATCTGAAACTTTGTATCCTTTGATCAACAACTCCTTCCCTCATCCCAGATTCTGGTAACCATCCTCCTACTCTCTACTTCTATGACTACGACTTTATTAGATTCCACATATACGTGAGATCATGCTGTATTTGTCTCTGTGTTTCTGGCTTATTTTACTTAGCATAATGTCCTCCAGATTCATGTATATTGTCACAAATGATATAATTTCTCTCTTTTTTTTAAAGTCTGGGTAGGATTCTATTGTGTGTATACACCATACTTTCTTTATTCATTCATCCTCTGTTGAACACTTAGGTTGATTCCCTATCTTTGCTATTGTAAGTAGTACTGCAACAAACATGGGAATGCACATATTCTTTGACATATTGATTTCAGTTGCTTTAAATATATGCCCAGAAGTGGGATTACTTAAAAAAAATTTAATTTAATTTTTTTTAATTTGAGACTGAGTTTTGCTCTTGTTGCCCAGGCTGGAGTACAATGGTGCGATCTCAGCTCACTGCAACCTCCACCTCTCAGGTTCAAGACATTCTCCTGCCTCGGCCTCCCAAGCAGCTGGGATTACGGGCATGCACCACCACGCCTGGCTAATTTTGTATTTTTGCTAGAGACGGGGTTTCACTGTGTTGGTGAGGCTGGTCTCAAACTCCTGACCTCAGGTGATCCACCTGCCTTGGCCTTCCAAAGTGCTGGAATTACAGGTGTCAGCCACCATGCTCGGTGGTAGTTCACTTTTTTGTTTTTTTGAGAAACTTTTAGTACTGTTTTTCATAAGGCTATACTAACTTACATTCCCACCAACAGTGTATGGGTCCCCTTTTCTCTACATCTTCTCCAACATGTTATTTTTTATCTTTTTGATAAAAGCCATTCTAACAGGTGTGAGGTGATATCTCACTGTGGTTTTAATTTGCATTTCCCTAGTGCTTAGTGTGCTGAACATTTTTTCAAGTACCTATTGGCCATTTGTGTGTCTTCTTTTGAGTAATTTCTGTTCAGATCCCATTTTTAAATCAGGTTATTTGTTTACTTGCTATTGAGTTGTTTGAGTTCTTTGTATATTTTGGATATTAACTTCTTATCAGATACAGCATTTGCAAATATTTTTCCCATTCTGTGGGCTGTCTCTTCACTTTGTTAATTGTTTCCTTTGCTGTGAGGAAGCTTTCAGTTTGATGCCCTCCCATTTGTCTCCTTTTGCTTTTGCTTAATCATTGCCCAAACCAATGTTGTGGAGTTTTTCCCTTATGTTTTTCTCTAGCAGTTTTATAGTTTCAGGTTTTAAGTCTTTAATCAATTTTGAGTTGATTGTGTATGTGGTTTGTAAGATAAAGGTCTAATTGCATTCTTCTACATGTGGATATCCAGTTTTCCCAACACCATTTACTGAAGAGACTGTCCTTTCCCTCATTGTGTGTTTTTGGCACCTTTATCAAAAATCAGTTGGCTATAAATGTGCAGGTTTATATCTGGGCTTTCTATCCTGTTCCATTGGTTGATGCATCTGTTTTTATGCTAGTACCGTGCTGTTTTGATTACAATTGCTTTATAATGTATTTTGAAATTAAGTCGTGTGATTCCTCCAGCTTTGTTCTTTTTGCTCAATGTTGTCTTGGCTATTTGGGGTCTTTTGTGGTCCCATATGAACTTAGGGATTGTTTTTTCTATTTCTGTGAAAAATGACATTGGAATTTTGATAAGAATTGCACTGAATCTGTAGATTGCTTTGGCTAGTATGGACATTTTCACAATATTAATTTGTCTAGTCCATGAACACGGAATATCTTTTCATTTATTTGTGTTTTCCTCAGTTTCTTTCATCAGTGTTGTATAGTTTTCAGTATACAGATAGTTTGCTTCCTTGGATACATTTACACCTAAGTAATTTTTTTTTTGCTGCTATTGTAAATTAGTTTGTTTTCTTAATTTTCTGGTCTGGTAGTTTGTTATTAGATAAGCTAGTATATAAAATTAGAATAATTAGATAATCTAATATAGAAACACTACTGATTGTATGTTGGTTTTGCATCCTGCAGTTTTATTGAATTTGTTGATCAGTTCTAACAGCTTTTTTAGTGGATTCTTTAGGGTTTTCTGTATATAAAATCACCTTGTCAACAAATAGAGACAAGTTCACTTCTTCCCTTCCTATTAGGATGCCTTTTATTTCTTTCTCTTTCCTAATTACTCTGGCTGGGACTTCCAGTACTCTATTGAAAAGAAAGGGTGAGAGTGGGCGTCCTGATCTTAGAGGAAAGGCTTTCAACTTTTCAGTGCTGAGAAGGATGTTAGCTACGGGTTTGTCATAATAGAGCCCATAGTGTTTATTGTGTTGAGTGCATTTCCTTTATACCTTATTGCTGAGTACTTTTTTCATGAAAGAATGTTAATTTTTTTCAAGTGCTTTTTTTTCCTGCATCTATTGAGATGATCATATGATTTTTATCCTTTATTTTGTTAACATGGGTATCACATTTATTGATTTCTATGTGTTGAACCATCCTTGCATCCCAGGGAGAAATCCCACTTGATCATGGTGAATAAAATTCTTTTAATGTGTTCTTCAATTTGGTTTGCTAATATTTTGTTGAGGATTTTTCCATCTATGTTCATCAGGGATATTGGTTTATAGTTTTCTTCTCTTGTGTTTTTGTTTGGCTTTGGTATGATAGTCTTGGATAATGAGTTTAGAAATACTCCCTTAATTTTTTGGAAGAGTTTAAGAAGAATTGATTGACATCCAGATCAAGAAACAGAACATGCTGGTACCCTAGAAGCATCATCTCACAATCCCTATCAACCGTATCCTTCAGGAGTAATCACTATCCTAACCTCTATCACCTATGATTACTTTCATCTGTTCCTGAACTTATGCCCACTTTTCTGTTATGCAACTCCATTGACTTATGCCCATTTTTCTGTTAAAAAATTTAAAAAGTGCAGAGCTTTAAGTTACTGAGGCTGAGCCTGAGAAATGTTAGCTGGGACTTTTTTAGTTTTGCATAGAGGAAGTGAAATCCGTATGGGAGACAGGCACCTTCTGGAATCACCCATTGGGGAATGGTGCCGTTTGCCTTCTTTGGGGAACATCTGCTTCCTGTTTCAATGTTGCCCATCGGTTCCAGACTGTTCAACAAGGAAGCCAGGGCATTCTGACAGTTTTTCCACACAATAATTTAGCTCTGTAAATACTAGGAAAACTTGAGCTCACAAACTATTTTTAGGGCTTAACATTTCAAAAATTCTGTATTAGTAAGAATCTATTAAAGCTGCTGTAACAGACAAACCTTGAAGTCTCTGTGGCTTGACAGAAGGGAGTTTATTTCTTACTCATGTCACTAACCAGTGCAGGTGGTCCTGGTCAGGACATCTTCCACAGAGTCACACAGGACCCCAGGGTCCTCCCCATTGGGCCAGTGGAAGGGGAAAGGGAAATTGAGAAAGCACACTCATTTCACAACAACTTCAGCTGGGGAAGGAAGTCACATCACTTCTGCTCACATTCTATTTGCCAGAACCCAGGCAAAGAGGCAACCAACGGAAGGGGGTCCTGGGACATGTCGACTAGCTCTATGTCCAGGAGGAAAAGAAAACAGGTTTTGATGAACTCAGTAAATCTCACTCCAGTCTCCAAAGCCATAATTTCCTTTGTCTTTCTTTGCGGTGATGTATCTAGTTTTATCTCTCACTTGACTGGTAAAACTAAGATGCAAAACTCTGGACGTCTTTATCTTATCAAACATAGCAGGGAAAGAGTGAGTTCTATTTGTGTTCCTAAAAGTGAAATAAAGAAGCACTTTTCTTGTTTTTAGTTATTAGAACAATCTGGCTCTTGTCAGACTTTCTAGTTTTTCAATCAGTCAGAATTCTTGCCTCTCTGGTTGCCTGTTGTATTAATCCATTCTCATGCTGCTAATAAAGGCATAACTGAGACTGGGTAATTTATAAAGGAAAGAGGTTTAATTGACTCACAATTCAGCATGGCTGGGGAGGCCTCACAATCATGGCAGAAGGCAAAGGAAGGTCAAGGCACTTCTTACATGGCAGCAGGCAAGAGAGCGTGCACAGGGGAACTGCCCTTTATAAAACCATCAGATCTCGTGAGACTTATTCACTATCACGAGAACAGCATTAGAAAACCCACCCCCATGATTCCATTACCTTCCGCCAGGTCCTTCTCATGACACATGGGGATTATGAGAGCTACAATTCAAGATGAGATTTGGGTGGGGACACAGCCAAACCATATCACCTGTGGACATCCCAAGCAGATCTCTTTGAGGCCGGGTTAGTTCTCTTCTAAGCTGACTTGTTATATAGAAGAATCCTTTGTTGGTTCTACTTCCAGATATTTGACTGGACACCCAACAAATCAATTATCTATTGCTGGATAGCACATAACCTCAAGGCTTAGTGGCTTAAAGTAGCCACTGTTTTATTTAGTTTTAGTTTCTGTGGGTCAGTAATTTGGGCTGGGCTCAGCTGGGTGGTCTGTCTGATCTGGGCAGGGATTGGCTGTTCTTGGCTGGGCTCATTTACCTTCCTGGGGCCTCAGCAGGGATGTCTAGGACAACTGGGGCCTCTCTTCAGGTCTTTCATCTTCCAGTGGGCTATCCTGAGCATGGTCATATGCTGATGGGTGCATTCTCTGGGCATGAGCAAGGGCTGCAGGGCTTCTTGAAGCCAAGGCTCAGAACATGCATAACATCACTTCTGCCATATTCCCTGGTCAAAGCAAATCACAAGCCCACCCCAGAAGTAAAGGAGGAAATAGAGAAGAGAATAGAGATGCCTCCTCTTGATGGGAGAAGCTGCAAATAATTTGTGATATTTTTTGGAACCCACCACACTAATTTCAGTGTGGTCCTCGCAATTGCTTGGCTGTCTAAAAACATACTCCAGTCTAGTGTGCATTTCTGAAAATGAACTTGATCAAAGGCAGGCCCCAAATGAGTGCTCAACATTTACACCTGATAATAATACTACCTACCTCCTAGGGAAATGGTAGGGCCAGATGAGATGCTGTATGCAAAGGATACGGCCAGGACTTAGTGCACACGCAACACTGAATACTACCACCATGACTACTGAATACTGCCATCAAATACTACCGTTACTACCACTTGGCACTCCCTAAAAGCTTGAGATTCAGAGAAAGGAAGACAAAGCCCCTGTACTTGAGGAGGGAGAGAATAAAGAGAGCCGGCGGGGGAGGGGGTGGCAGGAGAGAGAGAGAGAGAGAGGCGTGTGAGTGAGTTCTTGCAACACAGTGTGGTCAGTGTGATCACAGAGCTGTGATGGAGTGCGGATGAGGTCTGATGACTTACTGGTCAAGAGCATGGGTTCAGGCCTCAGTTCCTCCCCAATCACATGTGGGGTCTTAGGCATCTTTCTTTTTAATCTTCAGTTTCTTTGTCTGTGAAATGAAGATAATGGCACAGAGCCTACCTCCCAGAGTTCTATGTGGATTAAATGAGACAGGCAAACAACAACAAAAACCACAAACAAACAAAAAACAAAAATGAAAACAAAAATCATGTGATTGCTTATTAAATGTTAGTTATAGAAAAAAATATAAGTTCTTAAATGTGCCCTTGTAAAAATGTCCTAAAGACCTCATCTTTATTTAGTTCTTCTGCAACTCTGGCTAGCATCATTGATAAATTGTCTTAAAAGATGAAGATTTGTATGCAGGTGGTTTATTGGGGATGTAGCTCTTGGGAACAACATCTATAAGGGATAGAGGGAAGCAGGGAAGAGGTAGTTGAACTGTGGTGCAATAGTTGTAATAGAGGCCAAAGCCAATTCCATGGCTGGAGCTGAGACGGCCCTTCAGAACTGGGACAAGCCAATGCATCAAGTGGGCATTGATTGTGGGCTGCTCTTTGGAAGGCAGCATTACCTTGGGCAAAGCAGCTCCCTTCTTCAGGGGAGGAGTCCCAGGGAGGACACAGCTGTGAGCAATTGGTTTTCCCAGCAGCTGGGGGAATGAGTGCCTTGTCCCTATAGATGGTTTTGAGGGGGCTGCATTTGGGGGAATGCCTTCTGGGGTTCACTGCGTGCTTCTATGTCTTTCTTAGAGGTTCATTTCAAACTATACCTTGGTTCATTCACAGTACTGATTTAGTTACTATCCAGATTCATAGACTGTACTTGCTGGCACTGGAATATCATGGACAGAGAGTCCTAATCTGACTAGGCCTAGGGAATGACATGGGAATAGCTTGTCCTGGGTCATCCAGCTACCAGAGAGGAGAGCTGGGATTCATATCCAACCAACGATACTTTATACCTCACATTACTTCTGTTATGCTACACACTCCTGAGTCACAGGAGATTCCAACTTGTATTTCAAGCCCAGACTGCATGACTTCAATGTCCTGTTGCCCTTAACCCCTGTATCAGATTGCAGCCCCACTCTGGAAAGTTTTCTTGAATTCTTCTATGTATGTTTTTTAAACTGTGGGTCATCACTCATTAGAAGTTCATGAAGTCAATATAATAGGTCAAGAATACCATGAAGAAAGCAGAACAGAAAATATCACAGTGCATCACTCTCAGGAAGGGTAGATATTGTTTCACGAAACTTTTTTTTTTTTTGAGACAGGGTCTTTGTCTGTCGCACAGGCTGGAGTGCAGTGGTACAATCATAGCTGACTGTATCCTCAACCTCCCAGGCCCAAGAGATCCTCCCACCTCATTCTCATGAGTAGCTGGGACTTGAGGCACATGCCATCATGCCTGGCTAATTTCTAAAACTTTTTGTAGAGATAGGGTCTCCCTATGTTGCTCGGGCTGGTCTCAAACTCCTGAGCTCAAACAGTCCTCCTACCTTGGCTTCCCAAAGTACTGGGATTATAGGCATGAGCCACTACTCCTGGCCTCATACAATTTTTATTTGATATAAACATATATAGCCATGAGTGAACTGGGTCAAAATGTAAAATGTGTCTCTTACTGCAGGTAACTGTCAATGTAGTTCGAATATCACTGTGAAATATATAGAGAAGAGGCTCTGGGGGCTCATGAACTTGGCCCATGGACTGTTGAGGCTTTTTTTTTAATCTTTAGAGATGATATAAATGTAGTGCTTTGAATTCTTTATAATTAGAAGTTTTATTCTTACCCCATCACCATGTCCCAAGATAATTTTTATTATCATCTTTCAGCTTTAACATATCACAGACAAAAGTTATTTTTCCAAATAGAATTTTAAGTATGGTATAAGAGGTTTTTAGAAATGGAATGATTGGTTTTGGCGGAACTGCCTGGCCTGACCTGTCACTCGGGTGAAGTGTCAGAGAGCTGTGTCGAATGCTGGCGGAGAACTGTCCCTCTCCTGCAGAGAGAAGGAGCTGCTTATCCTGGGGGATAATGTGGGTTGAGAAAGAAGTGTTTTATGAGCAGAATCAGCACAGAGGGAGGGAGGAGGAGGTGTTTAGGGGCTGCAGAGAGCCGCCAGAAGATGTGGGAACAGTATGCCAGCACGGAGGTGGGTCAGATCCCCATGGTGGGACTCTGCTGAGGGTTGCCTCCAGCCGAGACTTCCAAGGGCTGGGATTCAGTGTGTGTTTATGTTCTCTGGTGTGCCTGATAGGTGGGGGCCCACATGACAGCTGGCCTCTCTGTGTTTCCCTTCTGGCCGTCTCTGATTTGGGGCCCAAGGGCCATAGGGGGGCCAGGGCACTCCAGATGGGACGAAAAGTCAAGTCCAAGAAAAAAATGAAATCCGGGCTAGGCTTGTCCCTGCTTGAGGATGTGAGAGAGAGAGAGAGAGTGTGTGTGTGTGTGTGGGTGTGTGCGCACGTGCGTCTGCAGTCCCTAGAAGGATCTCTATTCATTGGACAGAGAGGCCAAGGGAATTTTCCATTTCCTGGATGTCTTCAAAGATTTCAAATGCCATTAACTTGAGCTGACATTTATTGAGTACTCACTCGGTGACTGGCACTGTTCTAAGTACTTTACATGTATTAACTTATTTAATCCTCACAACAGCCCTGTGTGGCTGCTACTGTTATTGTTGCCATTTTATGCTGAGAAAACAGCACAAAGAATTGAGAAATTTTTCCAAAGTTACAGTTAGGATTCAAAAATAGACTTGGTTTTAGGATTGTGTAACTTCAGAATTGATGGTGACAATGACGTTGATGATGAGGATGATGATGATGATGATGAAGGCAGCTAATATTTCAGTGTCTGCAATGAGCTGGGCATTTTCACAAACTTTATCCCTTTGAATCTTTACCTTCCACTAAGATTTGCTGCTATTCTTATCCCTTTTGTAGATAAGAAAGCAAGCTTAGAGAAGATAAAACATTTGCTTAAGTAACTGCAGAGCGTAGATTGAATTCAGGTCCATTCGAGTCAGACTGTCTGTTCACCAAGGTGAAGGGCTCCGGGGGTCACAGAGGAGCACCATGGTGAGGAAGGCCCCGTAAGAGTGTGGCAGAATGGCAACCAGGAAGGATCTGGTATACGGGATGGTGATAAGGCCCATCTCTCATGGCCAGGAAAGTGTGCCTGCCACAGCAATGAATGAAACTGGCAACATTTGACAGGAAGGGGAAATTCTCTAGTGGGAGGAATACTTCCATCAAACTGTTTTTTTTTTTTCCCAGTGGGGGAGTTTGCACATGTGTAGATTTTTTTAGCCATAGCCTTGAATAAGGAATTCAGAAAGTGGCTTCTAGTTTGAGGACTTTCATTGGCCACGTGATCACAGTAGGCTGATTTCTTCATGCCTAAGTTACCAGGCTGGGAGGACAGGCTGAGAACTATGCAAGCTGTTGAGTCACTTGGAAGGAAGAGGGTTACATACAGCAGGCACTTTCATGGAATAATACTTCCCTGAAGAGCTGCACTAATTTATTGAGGCACTGAGCTGGATGCTTCACACACATGATCTCATTGAATGTCCACAGCACCCTAGGAGGTTGATCTCATTATTAACTTCATGAAGTGACTGAGGCTTAGAGATATTAAATAGCTTCCAGCCTGGGAAACATAGTGAAACCCCATCTCTGCAAAGAATAAAAAAAAATGAGCTAGGTGTGGTGGCTCGTGCTTATATTCACAGCTACTTAGGAGGCTGAGGTGGGAGGATCCCTTGAGCTTGTGAGGGTTGAGGCTGTAGTGAGCTTTGATGGCACCACTGCACTCCAGTCTGGGTGACAGAGTGAGACCCTCTCTCTAAACAAACAAATCCCAGGAGACATTAATTAACTTGCCACTGGTCTCTAAGCTAAGTAGTTGAAGAGGGCAACAAACCCAGGTGGTCTGACTCCTAGGCTTGAAGGTCCAGGTTCAGCTACTCCACCAGTATCCCTGGTCAGTCTTTGGCCAGGGCACAGAAGGTGGCATATCAAGTTGTGGGGTCTGATTTGGAAAGTGTGAGATCCCTCCTTTGTATCTTTTCCAAAGTCCACTCAGAAGAGAGTAGTGTAAAAGGAGTGATAGCACAGCGTGGTCTGGCTGGCATAGTCAGCCGCCCTGTGATGGGCAGGGGGAAGCTGCTTTCTGTCCTCAAGCAGCCCCTAAACTTGTAGGCCAGACTCATAAATCACACATTGATAACTCAGTGTGATGTGTGCTGTAATGGTGGAGAGGGGGGAGAAATGCCAGGAGCAGCTCACCTCCCAGGGTCCTGGGGAGGCTGCACAGAGGAGCCTGAGTTCTCAGTTGGGTTTTGAGGCAGAGGAAGCAGTGAAAGAGAGAGGAAGAATGTCAGTGAGGTGCGGGGAGAAGCAAGAGAGAGAAGACACTTGGCAGGAAGAAGTAGTTGAAGTACCCGGGGATGTTTAGCTTGAAGAATAGAAAATTTGGAGGAGGCAGAGAAAAGGCAGGAAACTTTAAAAGCAGGAGAGAAAGACCTCCAGGTTCCCAAAGGGAGCATGGCACTTCTCAAGGGGGTGAGGTTGACAGCATTAGGAGAGAGAGAGAGAGAAAGAGAGAGAGAGAAAGAGAGAGAGCGAGAGAGTTGTCAAGGAAGGGAAGGACCCATGGAGGGGAGAGCACAGGTGAAAATGAGAAGTGATGGGAAAATGGGTGGGAAATAAATGAAGTTTTGAGGCCAGTTGAGAAATCTTGCTTGGTGGTTTCTATTTTCTTTGTGAAGCAGAAAAAAAGAGGAATTAGACAGACCTGCATTCAAATCTCATGACCCCAGGCAAATTTCTTATCCTTAGCTTCTTCATTTTGAAAAAGGGGTGAATGATAATAGGACCTACCTAATAAGAGTTGTCAGGATCAAATATGTTAGTGCTTGTGTAAGATGCAGTGGCACCCTGGCACTTAGTACCAAAAAAAAGTACTATAAATGTTGTCACCTATTGAGGGAGTCCGGGTTTGGGTGCTTGATACATAGAAATATCATGAATAGCAGCAGAGAATACAAGAAGAAGAGAAAGCTTGGGGGAGAAGATAGAGAATTATGCGTTGGGTATGTTGAGGATGAGGTGCCTGTGCCATATCCGGGTGTAGGTGCCCAAAGGCAACTGGAAGTCATGAGAAGTCAGGGATAGAGGTAAATGTTTGGGAGTTGTTAATACAGGGGTGCATTTTTAAAATATCTGAAGTATGTTACTGGTGGCACTCAAAGATTTTTAATGATGTAAGGTATTCAACAACATGGAACTACGTAGTTTTAAAAGAAATTCTCTTGTAGGCCGCGTGTGGTGGCTCACACCTGTAATCCCAGCACTTTGAGAGGCCAAGGTGGGTGGATCACTTGAGGTCAGGAATTCCAGACCAGCCTGGTGAACATGGTGAAACCCCATCTCTACTAAAAAAAAAAAGAAACAAAACAAATCAAAACAAAAAAACCGGGCATGGTGGTGTGTGCCTGTACTCCCAGCTACTCGGGAGGCTGAGGCAGGAGAATTGCTTGGACCCGGAGTCAGAGGTTGCAGTGAGCCAAGATCGCGCTACTGTACTCTAGCCTAGGCAACAGAATGAGACTCAGTATAAAAAAGAAAAAAATGTTTTTTTCTTTTAATTCTTCGGGTTAAGGAGAGTGTCTTAGTTTGGTGCTATCATGTCCTAAACATCTTTCTAATGCATGCAAATCTCCCTTTTAAGCTAAAAGAATGAAGCAATCTCAGACTCAGAGCTATGTACCTGCTAGAATTTAATAATTTAAATTTTCATTGTGTTCTTCATACTCACCTTCTATTTATAGCAAGTGTTACTAGCTCTCCAATTCTGGAGGTTGTTTCAGATAGGATGCATTAGTTCTTTTTTTTTTTTTGAGACAAGGTCTTGCTCTGTCACCCAGGCTGGAGTGCAGTGGCACAAACACAGCTCACTGCAGCCTCAACCTCCCAGGCTCAAGCAAACCTCCCACTTCAGCCTCCCAGGTAGCTGGGACTACAGGCATGTCCCACCATTCCTAGCTAATTATTTTATTTTTTATAGAAACAGGGTCTCACTGTGTTTCCCAGGCTGGTCTTGAATTTGGGCTCAAGCAATCCTCACACCTCCGCCTCCTAAAGTGCTGGGATTACAGGCATGAGCCACCATGCCTGACCTGCTTTGGTTCTTAAAAACAGAATATCTGGCGAGCCTAACAAGGAGGCTGGTGGTTCCAGGGTTGGTTTAATCAAAGACTTAACACTGTCATCAAGCGCCTCTCAGTTATTTGCTCTGCCATCCTCAAAATGTGATCAGTGTCTCCCTTCTTGGTCCCAGGAAGGCTGTGATAGCTCCCAGAATCACATACTCACAGGGCAAAGCAGGAAGGAAGGGGACATAGGACAAAGGATTTGTGTTTAAGTATTTCATGTCACATTTGCATGTGGTGCTTGGAGCTGTGGCAGCTATGTTTTGACCATGAGGGACAAGGTTGGCAAGCTGTAAATGGCAGTGTAAAAAGAGGGAGAGGATCTGTCTCCTTCACAATATCCTTGAGCCCCTGAATTCACTAATCTTGATATAGCTCTATCTCTTGAAATTTTGTTTTGTTAGATAATTCTCTTACTGCTTAAAACGTCTTAAGATGGGTTTTCTGTTCTTTCCAGTAGAATGCATTGTATCTCACACAATTTGAGGTTATTGCCTCAACCTACTCTGAATCATTGCTCCTCCCCCTTTTTTCCTGGTTGATTAGCTTCTCTTGAGATTGTGTCTTATCTTCCTGGTTTTTTGTATGTCGGGTAATTTTGGATTGTATCCTGGACACTGTAAGTGTTGTGCTGTGGAGACTCTGGATTCATTCGTATTTCTCTGAAAAGCATTGATGTTTTTGTTTTAGTAGGCCATTGACTTGGTTGGACAGTAGACTGTCTCTGGGACACCAGCTCAGATGTCAGTTCTGTTTTTTATTTTATCCTTGAGTCTTCTTTGGGACTGCCCCATGCATGCATGGTTCAAGAGTCAGCCAGACATTTGGGTGGGGTTTAGACACAGAATTTGGGGCTCTTCTCTCTTGGCTGTCTCTATTATGGAATTCCTTCCTCACTTTCCAGAAGCCGTGAGTGACCTGAAACCTGTCCTCTGGTTCTGTACACCAGAAAGACTTGAGGCTTCATGTTGAAGTTTTAGCTGACAGCAGCTTGCGTTCAGGGGAAAAGCTGTAAAATGACCATTCCCTTCTTCCAAGTTTCAACCTCTCTGCAGAATCTGCTTTCTTTTGTTCACTTTCGAGTAATTTCAGGAAAAAATTTTTTTTTCGTTGAGAGTTTTTACTTGTTACCTATGGAAAGGTTGGGTCTAGCTGAAGCTTGCTTGCCCATAACAGAAACGAGACTCTTTTCTGTCTAACACATGGGAAAACTAACGCCCAGAGAGGTGAAGTCATTTCCCCAATTGTCAGAGGCACTTGAGCCAGAGTGACTCCATCTTGAGTAAGGGCTAGGAAAATAAGACCGGGACTTGCTGGGCTGCATTCCCAGAAAGAAAGGTATTCCTAGCCTCTAGATGTCTACAGTTAAGGGAACAGATTGATAATGTTTACTAAACAGAGCCAGGCTTGGCAGTGTCCAGCTATCCCGATATCTTGAGAACAAAGGCATTCCTAATTTTGCTTTAAGGATAATAATATTGATTATTGCAAAACAGAGTAATTAAGAAAATTAATCCTTTATCACAAACCCTTGTAGCAGAACACATCTCTCCATGATTTTTAAAATCATATATATATGATTTATATATATGATTATATAATATATAACATATATGATCATATAATCATATATATGCATGTGTATGTGTATATATATACACATGCATATATATGTATATATGTGTATACATACATACGTATATATGTGTATATATACATACATATATATGTGTATATATATACATATATATACACATACACACACACACACACACACACACACACACGAATATTTTACCTAGGGTGGACGTGCTCCTTCTCTTACTTTTAGGAACCCCCTACTCTGTCTATGGAGTAACTGTTCTTTCACCACTTTACTTTCTTAATAAACTTGCTTTTGCTTTGCACTGTGGACTCACCCTGAATTCTTTCTTGTGCAAGATCCAAGAACCCTTTCTTGGGGTCTGGATCAGGACTCCTTTCCTGTAATACAATGTCACAGAGCTCTTAAGTGGCAGAGCTTGGGGCCAAACTTAGGCTGCTGCACCCGATGTCCCAGCTCCTCTGCCCTATCTAGCTGTGGATTTGTGCCTCGAAATAGAATTGCATTTTGAATGCAGTTTCATTTTCGTATGGAAAGTGTCTATCCTGTAAATGTAACTGTAGCAGCCCCAAAGCTGAGCTGGGCAGTTTTATGGCAGCCTGGAGTCAGTCTTGTCCGCTTCCAATCAGGGTTCCTGGACTGGCTCCTATATTAAAATTGGTATTAGTAGACAATGTTCCAGGCAGAGTTTTGGATAGAAACTATCCATCAGCACCAAGAATGTGCCTGATTTGGTAATCTTTTTACCAAAGTAAAAGTCAGTAGTAAGTTGTGGTTAAAAGAGAGGAAGTTCAGAGTTCAGTACGTTATTTCTCTCTCTCTCTCTCTTTGTTTAAATAAAAGAGGAAGTTACTGCTCTTATTTTTGTACCAGCCCGTCAGTAATGGGTACAGAGTAAAATCTTAGCTAAGCTGAGGTCAAACTTCAAAACTTAGTAATAAGGATCTCCCTTGTTCCTTTGTAGGGCGACTAACATGAAGGTTCTGACTCTTAACCCATAGAGCCACAAAAAATAGTCCTAGGAAAATCATATGATTTTATTTATTTTAGGAACAGAAATGGTCCCTTCCGAAGTAGAGGCATTTCTACTTCTTTCCTAAACACCATCTCTGCTCAGTGAGCTCTCCCACCCTCAGGTACTGTGTTTCAGGCTTATTGCTGTATTGCTAGAAGTATCCTCACCTTCGAGATTAAGAAAAGATATTTATTGCCGGGCACAGTGGCTCACGCCTGCAATCCCAGTCTTTTGGGAAGCTGAGACGGGAGGATCACTTGAGCCCAGGATCTTGAGACCAGCCAGGGCAGTATAGTGAGAACTCATCTTGAAAAGAAAAATTTATTGAGCTCCTACTGTATACTGGGGATACAGCAATAGGCAAGATAGCCCTTGCTCCTCATGTAACCTACAGATAATAAACAAGATTACAAACAAACAAAATAAGAGGTCGTTCTAGATTATGATAAGTGATGGAAAAGAAAAAACCTGTATCTACTTCTTATAGCAGAGACCTGCATTGGGAGTTGCTGTGATCAAACAGGAAACGGAAGGTGGAGTTTGCTTCTGTATCCCTCCATCCCTGAGTGGAGGCTGGGTGCTTCTCACGACCAGGGCCTCTGAGATTTCTTTTTTTGTTTTTTTTAAATTATTTTAGATTAAGGGAGTACATGTGCAGTTTCGTTACGTGGTTATGGAGCGTGATGCTAAGGTTAGGGTTTCTATTGGTCGCGCCACTCACATAGTGAACCTAGCATCTGATAGGTAGTTTTTTGACCCCCTTCCCCTATGCCCTCTCCCTCTTGGGGTCCCTAGTGTCGGTTGTTTCCATCTTTATGCCCCTGTGTACCCAATGTTTAGTTCCCACTTCGAAGTGAGAACATGTGGTATTTGGTTTTCTGTTTCTGCATTAATTTGCTTAGGATAATGGCCTCCAGCTGCATCCATGTTGCTGCAAAGGACACAATCCAAATAAGCACAATCAGAAATGACCAAGCTGACATTATGACTGATCCCACAGAAACACAGGAGATCCTCAGGGATGACTATGAACACCTCTATGCACACAAGTTAGAAAACCTAGAGGAAATGGGTAAATTTCCTTTGCACACAACCTCACAAGATTGAACGAGGAAGAAATAGAAATCAAGATTTATTTTCTGTTTTGTTTGTGTGTGTGTGTGTGTGTGTGTGTGTGTGGTTTTTTGTTTGTTTGTTTGTTTTTTGGACAGGATCTCATTCTGTCACTCAGACTGAGGTACAGTAGCACAATCACACCTCACTGCAACCCTGACCTCCTGGGCTCAGGTGATCCTCCCACCTCAGCCTCCAGGGCAGCTGGAACTACAGGCATGTACAACAATGCCCGGCATATATATATATATATATATATATATATATATATATATATATATATATATATGTGTGTGTGTGTGTGTGTGTGTGTGTGTGTGTGTGTGTGTGTGTGTGTGTGTATATGTATATTTAAATTTTTATATATAAATATATATCTATCTTTGTAGAAATGGGGTTTTGCCATGTTGTGCAGGCTGAAATTGAGATTTCCTAATGTAAGAAACAGAGCCCCAAGGGGCTCTTCTTGGGCTGGTCGCTGTATTTCATCAGGTGCCTCTGTGTTGGACACTTACTTCCCTCCATTGCATAGATTGGATCCTTTATGCTTAGCCTAGACTCTGCCCTTTGGGATGCAAGGAGCTGAGTGAAGGTTCTGGGAGAGTAGGCTTAAGCCCAGAAGAGGGAGGCCTCTCTCTGGATGTCATGCTAGAGCCTGCCTTTTAGTCTTTGTGTTTCCACTCTCCATCCTCCTCTTCTGGAGTTCAGAACCCCTTCCTGGTCAAATTGCCCCCGGGCTCTATGGGATCCTGTGGGATTCTATCCTTTGAGTCTACCCCACCCTTCAAGTACTTCCTGTCTTTTCACACCTAAGTGAAAGAAAGTAGGATAAGAACAGCAGTTGTTAACTTGATTGATTGTAAATTGCCTTCATTAGAAAATGTTAATTATCGCCCCTGGGAAGGGATTAATCCTTTAGGTCTCTAGGTTACTAGACTGGCAAAAGCCAAGTGTGCCTTGGTTGACTGTTTCTTTCTGAGAGTAAAGAGAAAACATCAGGGGAGGTAGAAACCTCAGTCATGGGGTAATCATTATGGCCATGTTTATCCCCATACACGTATCTTCTGCTGATTCTGGAGTCAGCTAGATTTTGTGACCCAGCATAGATGATATAGTGACATTGTCCTGCTGTGTTAAAAAATTTAAGTTCATAAGAAATGCATAAGTACAATCTCATCAGGATAAATTACACAACATAGATAAGATTGAAGACCTTTTAACTCTTTTGACGTCTCAATTTAGTCCCCTCTACCTTCCCCAGAAGCCTATTGTTTGTAAATTTGGTGTCTCTTATAGAACTCTGTAGCATTCCAAAGTCTGAACTTTCTCCCATGCATATGGCCACTTCCCTGTTGATGAACATTTAGATTCTTTTTTGGAGGGGTTGTGTCTATTACAAACAGCATGGCAATGAGCATCTTTCTACACATCTCATCAATATGCAAGTGTTTCTCGTGTTCCTCGGAAGTATAATGGCTTAGCCCTGGGGTATACACGATTCAGCTTTTAATAGGTTTTGCCAAATGTTCTCCAGAATAGCTGGACCACTGTATACTCCCACCAGCAGTGTGTGTTTCCGTCTCACTGCATCTTTCCCAGACCATGATATTATCAGGCCTTAACACTTTTGCCAATCTGATGGGAGAAAAATGGCATTTAATTTTAATGATCCTTTCCTGTCCCCTTCTCTTCTCTTCTCTTCCCTTCCCTTCCCCTTCCTTTCTTCCTTCCCTTCCTTCCCTTCCTTCCCTTCCTTCCCTTCCTTCCCTTCCTTCCTTCCTTCCTTCCTTCCTTCCTTCCTTCCTTCCTTCCTTCCTTCCTTCTCTCTCTCTCTCTTTCTTTCTTTCTCTTTCTTTCTTTCTCTTTCTTTCTTTCTTTTCTTTCTTCATTTCCTTTCCTTTCTTTCCTTTCTTACTTTCCGAGTCTCACTCTGTCGCCCAGGCTGGAATGCCGTGGCATGATCTCAGCTCACTGCAACCTCCGCCTCCCAGGTTCAAGCGATTCTCCTGCCTTAGCCTCCTTAGTAGCTGGGATTACTGCCACCTCACCTGGCTGATTTTTTTTGTATTTTTAGTAGAGACGGGGTTTCGCCATGTTGGCCAGGTGGGTCTTGAACTCCTGACCTCAGGTGATCCACCGGCCTCGGCCTCCCAAAGTGCTGGGATTACAGGCGTGAGCCGCTACTCCCAGCCACCTCTTCTTACTAGTGAGACTGAACATCTTTTTACATATTTATTGGACAATTGTATTTCATCTTCTATGAATGTCTCCCTCCCCACTTTTTTATAATTTCATATTGATTTGTAATAATTTTTATTTCAATCTACTAGACACTGATCCTTTGCTCGTTGTTTGTGTTTGTGTTGTCTATTTTCATCAAGTCCTGGGTCCTGTGTCACTTTAGTGCCATAAGGGAATGACAGACTCCCTTATTATTGGTTTAGCTCTTGAAGCCTAACAAAGTGTTTCCAAACAGTTCATTATTCCCACTTTAAGGATGTGAAGACTGAGGCTCAGGGTCACAACTTGTGCAATCTTGGGTAGACTTTGAATCTCTGAGCAGACTTAGAAGTAGACCAAACTGCTGTGAGCCACAGGGAGATTATTATTGCTAACTTTTCCCTGTTAGCCAAACACTTCTGCTTGGTCCCTCTAGAGAGAAGTCTTTAATTATTCATCTCTTTCCAAGTAATTGGCGACAAGTCCTGCAGCTGGGAGTTGGAATAAACTTGGTTGCTAAAAGCATCCATCACACATAAAACAGGGGAGATCTGGCTCCAAAGAATGGTAGATGTAGATCTTCCCCTACGGATTTGTTTTCTGAAGATCTCCTTATACACTGACCTCAGCCTTTTGCTGACCTATCCTTGTGAACTGAAGGCTGAAAAAACCAATGTAGCCATGGTCCACATCCATTTATCACTTTCAGAAATGGCCCCTGCACTTTATATTTCTTCAGGTCCTGCAAAAAATATTGAAAATCCTTTACAAATAGAGGCAAGGTCAGGCCATCCCTGTGGGATTTCCAGGGAGCAGTGCACTGACCCGTTTTGCAGAATGGGAAGCAAAAAATAAAACTCAGACTTAGACAGCTGGCATAAGCAAGGACTTCCCTATTCTGAGTGCCAAATGTCAATTTGAAATACTTGAACTTTTATTCTCTGGGACATGTACTGGCATTAGTAAGAATTTCTATTTATTGAGCATTTATTTGGGGCAGGCAGATGATAAGTTATACACATTAATTATCTTATTTGATTTTCACAATGACCTATCAGTTACATAATTGATTGTCTGCATTTTATGGATAAATAACCTGAGGCTCAGTTATTTGACTTGCTCAAGGTGATGTAACAAGTAAATGGCAGAGCCATGATTTAAATAACAAAACGCATGCTCTTAATCACCACATTAATGTCTTGATATCAATTAATAGAACCATTTCCCCTCCATTTTCTCTTTAGTTTCAGAACTGGTAAGAGTTTGTCTAATAAGATTTTTATAAAGTGGTGACATGAATGGCTTGTGGGGATGGAGACTGGGGCCGGCTGCCAAGGGTACCCATCTCACACGAAGCATCAGGTCCACTTGGGTTTGTTTTTGGCTGATTACAATCTTGAATCAAACTTTTCAGTACAGCTGGTCTCCCAAGAACTTTCTAATGTTGATTTGAGCTTCCCTGAATGAATCTCAGAAAATAAGAAAGGGAGAGAGAATGCCTGTGTATTGAGCTTGACCCATTTCACAGATGCCGAAATAGAAGTGAGGCGACTTGCCCAGGGTCCCTGTGGTGGATTGTGTTGTTGTCTCAATTATTTGCTCCCACCTCATACAAGGATTATACATTTCACACATGGCTATGTGACATACATGTCTACTTGCAGAAGGGACACACTTTCCTTCCCACTGATGTGGAGCATTGGCCAATGGAACGTGAGCAGACACAATCTACTCTACATTTAAACAGAGGCTTTGAGAAGCTATTGTGTGGTTTAGCCATTGTTCTTCCCACCTCTGCCACAAGACCAAGAAAGGGCTGTTGCCTCAGCTGCGTCCTGGGATGGAAAAGACACAGGAAGTAGAATCACAGAGCCACAGACAACTGCAGTGACACGTAGCACGAGTAAGAGCTAAACTTCGAATATTGTAAGTCACTAGAATTTTGGGGTTGCTTATTATTGCACTTACCTACCAAAAGCTGACTAATACAGTCATATAGCCAGTAACTTGACTAAGCTGGAGCTTGAGCCAGGTCGAACTCCCAATCCTATCCATGGTCTTTTTCTTATTTCAGTCTTCCCTAATATTCCATTCTAACTTACATCATATTTTCTGTGTCTGTGTGCTGTCTGTCCTTTTTTCTTTTAAATAAATCTTTTTCTACCAAAGATATAGAACAGGAAATAATATTTTTCTTTAAAGAGTCTGTTTTTTCATTTCAACCCATTTATTTTGAAGGAAATTTTATCATCGTATAAATAGAAAAACAGTGTCATCACAAATAATTCATAACTATAAGCAGTGGCTCACGCCTGTAATCCCAGCACTTTGGGAGGCTGAGGTGGGCGGATCACCTGGGGTCAGGAGTTTGAGACCAGCCTGACCAACATGGTGACACTCCATCTCTACTAAAAATACAAAAATTAGCCAGGCATGCTGGCAGAGGCCTGTAATCCCAGCTACTCAGGAGGCTGAAGCAGGAGAATCGCTTAAACCTGGGAGGCGGAGGTTGCGGTGAGCCGAGATCGCGCCATTGCACTCTAGCCTGGGCGACAGAGTGAGACTCCATCTGAAAAAAAAAAAAAGGGTAATTTAAACAATATTATGAAGTTCTAGCTAGGTACTGTTGGCAGACAAGAATCTGATTTTGAAATATCGTCTCTCTATGTTCCAAAAA
This sequence comes from Homo sapiens, assembly GCF_000001405.40. Lineage (NCBI taxonomy): Eukaryota > Metazoa > Chordata > Mammalia > Primates > Hominidae > Homo > Homo sapiens. Next base: position 23,870,127 of record NC_000016.10, read on the forward strand.
GGAGTTTGGCAAATATTAGAATGGTGTTCAAAACATACAAGCACCAAACTGATACTTTCTCCTTTGATAAATCAGGAAGATTAAAAAAGAATCAGAAGAACAATTTCTTCCTAGTATGGCTTGGTGTGATGAGTGTCATCTGTATTCCATATAAAATTCTTTCAGATATCACCAATGAGTGATATGTTCATTACAATGGGGGGTGTCCCTTTCTTTGGTTCATGTATAATAACTGGAAACATGTATATAGCATGTGGTATGTGCCAGGTACTCTTCAAGATACTTTAGTTATTTAATCTATTGTCAGATAAGGAAACAGAGGCTTGGAGAGGCTAAACAACTTATCCTAGCTAGAAAGAGGCAGAATTGGGGCTTCAAGTCAGGTCTGTTTGATTCCAGAGGCAACATCCTAAAGCAAAGTTTCCTTCTAACTGCTCACTTGGGACTTTTAAACGAAGCCATTAGGTGCTTCACTTTCTTGTGGCATGCCAGAGTGGTAGCTGCTTCAGGGCATCAGCCTGGGGCCACATCAGGACCTACCTGCACGTAGGTTGATCAGGACCCTGGCAGGGCTGTCAGGTACAGCCACAAAGCAAGCTGTTTCTGACTGTGTTCCCACACTTTCTCAGGCATCCACCCTGGTGTATGAATTTGCTTCTTCTTTATAACAAACTACCTCTAAACTGCACTCTAGTCTACAGATCAGCTGGGCAATGCTGTTGATCTCGGCTGGGCTTGCTCGTGTGTCTTTGGTCAGCTAGCAGGTTATCTGGGGCCTGATTGGTCTAGGATGGCTTCACTTGCACATCTGGCACTTAGATGTGTGTTAGCTGGAGCAATAGGGGGCCTGGACCCCGTGGGTCTCCTTTTCCAGCAGGCCACTTGGGCTTGTTCACAGGGCAGATGGGCCCAGTTCAAAGGGTCTGAGAACACAACGGTACTGCAGGATGAGCTTTGGAACTGCTGCACCGTCTCTTCCACTGCATTCTGCATACGGGCCCTAAACAAGTCCCAAGCCTTCTCAGATTCAAGACATGGGGGATGGGCTGTATCTCTTATGGAGAGAGTCACATAGCAAGGGTGTGGCTCTAGGGAGGAATGAAGAGTGGTCAAGTGCAGCCTGCCATGCTGGCTCCTTCACCAGCCTGTCAGTTATATGAGCCAATGGGCTGAATCATAGTCATCTTTCTCTCCACATGCCTGGCCCGTGAAGGATTTGCCTGCCCAGCAGAGACCGTGGAATGAATGTGTGCTCCAGGCACTCTGCCTTCTCTCTCTTCTTTGACTTCTCTAAGCTCGTTCCTGCCCCTGTCCCCCTCTGTCTCTCTTCCCCAGGATCATGGCATTAGTCGGATCCTTCCCATCATTTTCATTTTAGCTCCAGTATCACCTCTTTGAGCCTTCCCTGACTACCCTTCCAGCATTCTCTAATCCCATCACCTTGTTTTTTTTATCTTTTCTTTTTTTTTGAGACGGAGTCTCACTGTGTTGCCCAGGATGAAGTGCAGGGGCACAATCTCGGCTCACTGCAACCTGTGCCTCCTGGGTTCAGGTGATTCTCTGGTTTCAGCCACCCGAGTAGTTGTGATTACAGGCATGTGCCACCATGCCTGGCTAATTTTTGTATTTTTAGTAGAGACAGGGTTTCATCATGTTGGTCTGGCTGGTTTCGAACTCCTGACCTCAGGCAATCTGCCCAACTCAGCCTCTCAGCCTCCCAAAGTTATACAGGTTTTTTTTTTTTTTTTTTTTTTAAATCTTTTCATAGCATCTGTAACTGTTTAAAATATTAGTTTGACTTCCTTTTCTAGAATGTAAGCTTTGGGAGAGCGGGGTCCTTGCCTGTCTTGTTCTCTGTTACTTCTCCAGCTCCCAGAATGGTGGCTGGCACTCAGGGGGTGCTCAACACACATAATTGTCAAGAACATGCTACATCAAGGCCTGAGTGGCTTTGCCACGGCTCTTCTTGTGACTGCAGGCCTTGGTGCCAGCAGCCACCCCAGTTCCAAGAAATGGTCTCTTGCTGGCCAACTTAGCAGGAAGAACTGGCAGCGTTCCTGTTACAGCACTTCCAGGTGGCTGCTTTTCCCTGAGTCCATGTGGCTTCTCCATGTCTCTCTGTTGGAGTCACAAGTTGTGGAAATTCACTTAGGCCAACTTAGACCAAGAAGTGGAATAGTTAATAGTTAAATGTCAGTCTGGGCAACATAGCAAGACTTCGTCTTTACAAAAAATTTTTAAAAATATTAGCTGGTGCGGTCGTGTGCACCTGTAGTCCTACCTACTCGGGGGGCTGTGGTGGGAGGATCGCTTGAGCTCAGGAGTTGGAAGCTGCAGTGAACTATGATTGTGCCACTGCACTCCAGCCTGGATGACAGAGCAAGACCCTTTATCTAAAAAACAAGAAAAAATTAATAAATAAAAGTTAAATATAAGGTCTCTGGAGGTATCCTGTTTGGGTTCAGATTCTGGCTCTGCCACTTCCTAGTTGGGTCACTTTTGGGAAGTTACTTAACCTCTTTGTGCCTCAGTTTTTCACCTACAAAAATAGAGCAAAGTGTAAAAATATGAACTACCTCACAGGGTTGTCAGGAAAACTAAATTTTGTGTATGGAAAGCACTGATTGCTGAGCAGATGGTGAGCATCTCTGAGTAGGAGCTCCTGCTGCCATTATTATTATTATTATTATTGGAGGTTATCATGTGTGATTGAAGAGCAGGAACTTCAGCTGGGCTTCAGGAGCAACTGGTTAGAAAAACGGAAGACTTGGCCCGGCGTGGTGTCTCATGCCTGTAATCCCAGCACTTTGGGAGGTCGAGGCGGGCAGATCATCTGAGGTTAGGAGTTCAAGACCAGCCTGACCAACATGGTGAAACCCCGACTCTACTAAAAATAAAATAAAAAATAAAAAAAAAATTAGCTGGGTGTGGTAGCGGATGCCTGTAATCCCAGCATTTTGGGAGGTCGAGGTGGGTGGATCAACTGAGGTCAGGAGTCCAAGACCAGGCTGGCCAACGTGGCTAAACCCCGTCTCTACTAAAAACACACACACACACACACACAAAAAAAAAAAAAAAAAAAAGAAAAAAAAAGTTAGCTGAGTGTGGTGGTGGGCGCCTGTAATCCCAGCTACTTGGGAGGAGACTGAGGCAGGAGAATTGCTTGAGCCTGGGAGGTGGAGGTTGCAGTGAGCCGAAATCGTGCCATTGCACTCCAGCCTGGGCGATGGAGTGAAACTCTGTCAAAAAAAAAAAAGAGAGAAAAAAGAAAAAAAGAAAAATGGAAGACTTATCGGGAATGCAGGCAGCTGTGCGATTTCAGCTTCTCTTTGTTTTTGGACCATGGGTTTTCTGGTTCTTCTTTGGTTCCTGCAGGTCTGACTTTCTCCTTTTTCTGTTGATGGTCTTTCTTGGCCTGTGTTTGCAATGGGTCAACCATGTGCTTTCTGGCCATACTTCACACTTACTTCCCAACTGGGACAGATAGCATTTCTTAAGTCTAATTCCAAACTTCTGGGATAATCTGATTGCCCTTCATTGAGTCAGAAGCCAGTGGATAGGGACATGGAAGATGCTATAGCTGGGCTCCACCCTTGCAGGTGAGAGGAGCAGTTTCAGGAAAGTCTGCCAGGCATGAGCTGAGACCTTAAGAGATGTCAGCTAGAATTAGCCACTGTCAGTATATCTGCTTCTGGGTCCCACTCTTCATCCTGCTTTTCAAGGTTTTCAAATATACACTCCTACTCAGTCTCATGAAAATTATTATTTTTAAAATACCCTTTAGCACATTTACCTCTAATGATACTAGATTCTTGCCTCCTGCCTCTGTAAATCACTCGGTCACTTCCCGATCTTATATTTGGCTGTCAAGAATGTGGAAATCTCACAGAACCCTTGAATTTCAAAGTTGGAAGGGAAAATTGCTTGTCTATGCTTATAAAAAATACACACCTACACCCACGTACACATGTATTTACTAAAATAGTATTAGGCTAAATATTCAGTTGTACAGCTTTCTGATTTCATTAACAATGTCTGTCTTTCCGTGTCAGAAGAGATAGACATTTGAAAAAACGGCAGCGTAGGATTTTGTTCTATGGATGAGCTAAAAGTTCTTTCACCTGTCCACAAACTTCCACCTAGTCCGTGTGCCTTATAAAACACAAATTCTGAAATCCCATGTAACGTGTCAGCTAGATTCTGCCTATCACTGAGTAGAGATGAACCATCACATCTCATGTTCTAGATTTGGGGTTACAAATTCAAATTCCTACAGGGGCCAGGCAACTGTCTTAGATGTGTGAAACGTCCTAGATATAAGAAATGCCTGTAAATGAAACCTTAAGAGTTTTTATAAGCATACAAATAAGTATGTAATATTTTGAAACATACTTATTTTTTGGTGTACCCACACAGGCCTAGCATCACCAGATTCTTCTCTCTTTTTTTTTTTTTTTGTTTTGCCCCAAGAGAGGCAGGAAATGAGTATATTTATGGGAGCTTTCCTAATTGTGAAGTGTTGGTAAGTTCATTATTTTTAAAAAACTAAAAACCAACTTGCAGGCCAAACAAAATGTGGGCCACCAATGTGTAATCACTGATGTAGATAATGCACTTCAATTAATCTAAAATCATCAACTATTTTGGCAGCCCTCTCAGACTGCTGACTCACTGAGCTTTTCATCTGATGAAATCCTTAAGTGATTCACAAATACTTAATCTGAAAACCTCTTAATCTAACTTGTGTTCCTGGACTTGTAAATTGGGTTTCTGGACCTTAATACTTGCTCATGTTAAATCCATTCTGTTACTTATGTTTAAGGTCCTACATCTGTCTTCCAGCCTGATCACCCATCTTTTCAGCCATGTGTTGTTTTTGAATTCAACTCATTTGATCCTTTCTCTATGTCCTTTTTTTTTTTTTTTTTGAGACGGGGTCTTGCTCTGTTGCCCAGGCTGGAGTGTGGTAGCACGATCAGGACTCAATGCAACCTCGACTTCCTGGGCTTAAGCGATCCTCCTGCCTCAGCCCCCACAAGTGGTTGGGACTACAAGCACGTGCCACCACACCTGGCTAATTTTTTTGAATTTTAGTAGAGATGAGGTCTCACTATGTTGCCCAGGCTGGTCTTGAACTCCTGAGCTCAAGTAATCCTCCCAGCTCAGTCTCCCAAAGTGCTGGGATTACAAGCGTGAACCACCATGCCCAGCCTCTCTGTGTCTTATGATAAAAAAAATACTGGATGAGACAAGACTGAGGAGGAAGACCCAGGGACCCTTTTTAGCAGAGCTTACCAGCGGGTGTCCAAGGATTGAATTTCCCTTCCTAGACATGTTTTGCTTCAACTAAAAAGATATATATATATATATATATATATATGATGTATATCACACACATATGTGTATATCACACACATATGTATGTATATCACACACATGTGTATATCAAACACATATGTATATCACACACATATGTATGTATATCACACACATATATGTATGTATATCACACATATATGTATGTATATCACACATATATATGTATGTATATCACACACATATATGTATGTATATCACACATATATATGTATGTATATCACACATATATATGTATGTATATCACACATATATGTATGTATATCACACATATATGTGTGTATATCACACATATATGTGTGTATATCATATATATATATGCATGACCCATATTTAAAAGTAGGATATTTCATAACGAAATACCAGTATTAGGTATCTTTTGAAAAAGTGTCGTAACTGACAGCCCAAGTCTGCATTCCTTCATGGCACCAGGGCTAGAACTGAGAAGTAGCTGACTTTTTGGGGTGGATATGGGCTCCCCTAGTCATGCTATATGCCTCATTTTATGTGACTGGCCGGGCCCCATAGGCGTTTATGTTTGCCACTCTTTTAGAGGTCCCTTTAAGGTTGACATATATTCATTGATTGATCAACTCATTTACACACGCATGCAGTCATTTTTTGGACCCCTGTCTATGTGCTCTGCACAATGCGAGGTGTGGGATATAATGGTGACCAAGACAGATTCCAACCACTCACTCACAGATCCCACAGCCTACCAGGGAAGCCAGATATGGAACAATTATATACGTAATTTTACTTGTAAGTGCCACAAAGACAAATTGTATTAAGTAGTACCATGTGGCTGTGGAAGTTTAACTTGTCACTAATCCACCAAACTCTGAGAAGACAGCATATTTTCCGTCATTCCCAAAAGACTATCACAGGCAACATTGAGGAATGCTTTGTTAAACTCCAGGGATATATTCCACATCACACTTCCCCCGTCCACCAGATTAGCAACTGTCCAAGGACAAAACAAAACACACACTAAAAAGGAAATGGGGTTAGTCCGATATGTCTCCATCTCCTTATGCTGGTTCTTTTGTCTGCAGAAGCCACGGTTTCTTTTTCTTTTTGAAAAAAAAAAATGACATTTGCGTACCTCTCTGCGTTTCTCTTTCTCCAGGATTCTTCTGGGATCCTAGGCAGTGTGGTTTGGTGATCTCACTGGTGAGATCTCTTGGAGCCCTGGAATGCAATTCATCTGGGCCAGAAGAGTTGAACTAATTTAAGGACATCTGAGTGCTTCACTGATGTATTTGTTCTGCTCTGTCCCTTCAAAATACCACTACTCAAAACAATGTTCAGCTGGAGAAAGTGGTTAACACTGGAATTTTCTTTTTTTCTGAGACCTAAGTGACAGGGAAGGGTGGATGAAGGAAACATATCCTTTGAAAATCCTTTAGTTAGAATCCTTTGGTTGCAAGTAACATAAATGAACTCTGATTAATGTAAGCAAAAAAGAATTTGTTAGAAGGATATGGGGGGGGAGGGATGGACAGAGATGTGAAGGAAAAGATGAAGAACCAGGCTTTAGAAAGTCCTGAAACCAAATGAATTCTAGGGATCTAGGAAGCAGGGACTAATGACTGTTTCCTTCAGGACACCAGAGATGGGGTGAATAACTCTGTAAAAGATGCAAATTTCCCACCTGGGTAACATAGTGAGACCCTGTCCTTAAAAAAAAACAGTAGCCAGGCACAGTGCCTGTAGTCCCAGCTATGTGGAGGCTGAGGCAGAAGGATCACTTAAGCCCAGGAGCTCAAGACTGCAGTGAGCTATGATGGCACTGCTGCACCCCAGCCTGGGCAGCAGAGGGAGACCCTGTCTCTTAAAAAACAAATGCTAAATTTTAGAGAGAATAGAGAGAATCTTTTCTTAAAAAGGTGCTAAGTCTGGGGAAGGAGCTTCTGATTGTCCTGCCTTGAGTCACACGACCATCTCTGACTTGTTGACCCCTCTACAATCCCATATAAGACTCCCCAAGAGTAGATTCTGAGCAGGTAAAGCCCATGGGTGTTCCCAAAAGTCGGCCTCAACCTGAAGCCACTTATTCACTCTGAGCTCATCACCAATGGCATGCCGCACTGTCAAAACTCTCTTTCTGTGCATTTGTCTGGGCCACTCAACTCAGGAAAGTTAGTTGTTCTGTGTGAGTCCCCATGTTCTCACTGATTTCATTTCAGTCTTTAAGCTAAAAATCTGTGTAAATGGTAATGGAGAATGGCTACATCACACTTAGTATGTGTCAAAGCAGTATCCTAAGTGCCTTAGTGGTATCAGCTTATTTAAGACTGACAGTACTCTGAGGTGCAGTCACTTCTTTTTTTTTTTTTCCTTTTTTTCAAAACAGAGTCTCACTCCGTCATCCACACTGGAGTGCAGTGGCATGATCTCGGCTCACCGCAACCTCCGCCTCCCAGGGTCAGGTGATTCTCATGCCTCAGCCTCCTGAGTAGTTGGGACTACAGGCATGCACCACCACTCCTGGCTAATTTTTGCATTTTTAGTAGAGATGGGGTTTCACCACGTTGGCCAGGCCGGTCTTGAACTCCTGACCTCAGGTGATCCACCCACCTGGGCCTCCCAAAGTGCTGTAATTACAGGCGTGAGCCACCGCACCCGGCCTGTCACTTCTTGTCATTCACAGTAGTTATGTTCTGTAAAGTCACTGCAAACACTGAATTAATAAACACTGAACCATTGTTCCTAGGTGAAATACAAAGTTGGGTTCCTGTGAGCCTTTGGTCACAGCATTTTCATCCACTGATCAACCCGTAAGCTTATTCTGTGTGTGTTTCTGTTTAAAGACACCTTAATATATATTGTTGACTCATTAACATCTAACTCACTGCCAACAGCACTCCAACTCGTGCCTGATCAAAGCTTATATAACACACGCATGACACATCTCGGACTCCTTGCACTTAGGAACACCAGATAGCACTTCACCATTACCCTATGGGACCATTTTACAGCAACGTCACCCTCAAAAAGCAGAAAAATGGGAAAAAGCATGCTGCTAATATACCACAGAGAGAATGCTTGTTTACAGCATGAGAGCTGAAGTCTGAAGGTAGAACATGGTTTTGTTCATCCTCAGCTGGGAACACATGTTGGCTGACTCAAATATTTTGCCACTCCGTACATGTCCGTGAGTGATCATGAAAGAACCTTGAGTATGGATTTGGCGGTTATAAATAAATTTTAGCAAGAGGTGAATTTGCAAATAATGAGGATTGACTATAACCCCTGTTATTAGCTCTAGTTAACAGATGGGGGAATGGAGGTAAACAGCTCTCTGCAGGTCTTGCAGCCAGGGAGTGTAGAGGAGGCTTTGTCATTCTGGGTGCACAGCCTGCGTCCTTAAGAGGCAATGTAGTGTTGGCTGGGTGTGGTGGTGGTTCATGCTGTAATCCTAGCACTTTGGGAGGCTGGGGTGGGTGGATTACTTGAGGTTAGGAGTTCAAGACCAGGCTGGCCAACATGGTGAAACCCCGTCTCTACTAAAAATACAAAAAAATCAGTGGGGCGTGGTGGCACGCGCCTGTAATCCCAGCTACTCAGGAGGTTGAGGCAGGAGAATCACTTGAACTTGGGACGCGGAGGTTGCAGTGAGCTGAGAGCGTGTCACTGCACTCCAGCCTGGGCGACAGAATGAGACTCCATCTCAAAAAAAAAAAGAGGCAGTGTAGTGGTTGAGTGCAGTGTAGCTCCTGCTGAGAGCTGGTTTTCATGTTTTGTGGGCACACAGGAAGTAGAGAATGCTGAGAGCTGGGCACTGAAGCAGTAGGAGATATGGGAGTGGGAAAGTGGTTTTCTTTAGTAAGTCTGGGCTGTTTTCATAGCCTAGGATGAAGTTCAGCAATACTCAACCTTGAGGTTTTCCAGGCACCTTCTCCTTGACATGAATCTCCTGCAAACAGATGTCATAGTAATCTGGGAATAAACCTTTGTTGTTGGTCCTTTAGCTATCCTTTTTTTTTTTTTTTTTTTTTTTTTTTTTTTTTTTTGAGACGGAGCCCCACTGTTGCCAGGAGTGCAGAAGCATGATCTCAGCTCACTGCAACCTCCGCCTCCCCAGTTCAAGTGATTCTCCAGCCTAGGCCTCCCGAGTAGCTGGGATTACAGGCATGCACCACCATGCCTGGCTAAGTTTTGTATTTTTAGTAGAGACGGGGTTTCACCATGTTGGCTAGGCTGGTCTCGAGCTCCTGACCTCAAGTGATCCGCCCGCCTCGACCTTTCAAAGTGTTGGGATTATAGGCGTGAGCCACTGAGCCCGGTGCCCTGGTCCTTTAGCTTTCTAAGACAGCAGCATAGTAGTTCAGAGCATAGGCTCTTGGGCCATAGCTTCCTGAGTTCGAATCCTAGCTCTGCTGTTTTTTAAACTCTGTGACCTTGGGCAAGTCTTAACCTCTCTGTGCCTCAGTTTTCTTGTCTGCAAAATGGGATTAATAAAAACACCGATCTCATAGGATTGTTGTGAAAATCGAGTGAGTATGTTTATAGTGTTTAGGAAAGTTCCTGGTACACAAGACATGCTCTGAAAGTGTATTAATATTATTTGTCCTTAGACTCAGTAGTACTCTGGGGGAATCGAATCCCCACCCCTAAGCCAGGCAGCATGGTAGAAGCTAGGTCAGCTGGCAGGCTCCTGGGTCTTTTCCATTCTGCTGCAGGAGATGCCTGACTCACCTCTTGTGCTCACACAGATGACAGCTAAATAGAAGGGCTCTTTCCTCCTAGTATTAGCTTAATTATAGGGGCTCCCTAGAACAGTGGGGAAAATGAGCTTTGAGAATCCCCCCACCACACACACAAGGCCCACACTAGCACCTGAAAGAGGAGTGAACATTGCTTCCTGCCTCCTTCTCCCCCTCCTTCTCACATATGCCTTTGTCTCTGTGATTCTGCACGTTTAATTTTTAATCCCGGGATGGGTTCTATTAGTTTTTGTGTATTTTCTCTGCCCTGGTTTGAGCTCCAAAAGGTCTGTTTGGGTCTCTGTGGGTGTCTGACAGCCTCTGCAGGCCTTTCTGAATTATATAACTCAAGCTTTGTATTTTCTATTTGTTACTGGGGGTTCTTTCTGTGCTATAATTTTACTCTTAGAAAATGAAGTAGGGTACTAGAATTTTCTCTGGGATCCCCTAGGGTTTCCTTCTGAATATTTTTTCCTGCCATATTTTCTTCGCTAAAACATTTTTTTTTCTTATTTCAGAAGCAATACATCTTCATTATAGAACATTACAACAAGATGCAGAGAAAGAAAATAATCTTATCAAGCAGAAATGTTAATACCTTGCTATCTACCCATGTCTCTCTGTCTCTGTCTCCTCAAACACACACAAATGGGGTCAAGATGACATAAGAGACTATCTGCTTTTCAATTCACATTTTACGATCTTTTTTTTTGTATGGTTCTGTAGTCTCCACTGCTTGGCTTGACGATCTTTAACAGGTGCCCTCCGGATGGTCATGGGGGTATTTTCCATTTCTCACTGTTACAAGCAGTGCTCTGATGAAACACCTTTTGCTGGCATTCCTAATTATGTCCTGAGAGCAGACTTCTAGAAGTTTTCAGCAGTGAGGTTAAAGGGAATGTTTGCCTCTCCTCTTCACTCTGTGATGCTCCTGGGGGCCCAGGCCCATGAGTCTCTGTGTCCATCTTCCCAAGATGAAAGACAAAGAATGGGCAGAGCATTGACAGGGCCCTGTGTTGACTCCTTTTCTCTCTTTTCCCAGTTTTTTTTTTTTTTTTTGAGACAGAGTCTCGCTCTGTTGCCCAGGCTGAAGTGCGGTGGCGCGGTCTTGGTTCACTGCTACATTTGCCTCCCAGGTTCAAGCAATTCTCCCGCCTCAGCCTCCCAAGTAGTTGGGATTACAGGCACTCACCACCACACCCAGCTAATTTTGTATTTTTAGGAGAGACGGGGTTTCATCATGTTGCCCAGGCTGGTCTTGAACTCCTAGCCTCAAGTGATCCACTCACCTTGGCCTCCCAAAGTGCTGGGATTACAGGCGTGAGCCACTGCACCCTGGCCCATTCCCGTTTTTTAAAAAAATATTTTATTCCTTTTAGACTATTTAGCCACAGTTTTCCATTCTATTCCTTGGGATAAGTGAAAACTTGATTTTTAAAAAATAATTACAAAATTTTAAAATCATGGTAAAAAACACATAACATAAAATTTACCATCTTAACTATTTTTTTAAGTGTACAGTATCATTTTAAGTACATTTACATTGTTGTGCAACAGTTAGGACTTTTCATCTCGTAAAACTGAAACTCTATACCCACTGGCAATAACTTCCCATTTCTTCCTCCCCACCGAGCCTCTGGTAACCACCATTCTGCTTCCTGTTTCTATGAGTTTGGCTATTTTAGATGCCTCATGTAAGTGGACTCTTGCAGTATTTGTCTTTTCATGGCTGGTTTCTTCCTTTTTTTCTTTTCCTTTCTTTCTTTCTTTCTTTCTTTCTTTCTTTCTTTCTTTCTTTCTTTCTTTCTTTCTTCCTTCCTTCCTTCCTTCCTTCCTTCCTTCCTTCTTCCTTTCCTTTCTTTCTTTCCTTTTTTTTTTTTTTTGACAGGGTCTCCCTGTTTCTCGCAGGCCAGGCTGGAGTGCAGTGGGGCAATCACAGCTCATGGCAGCCTTGACCTCCTGTGCTCAAGGGATCCTCCCATCTCAGCCTCCTGAGTAACTGGGACTTCAGGCACACACTACCATGCCCGGTTAATTTTTTTCTTGATTTTTAATAGAGACAAGGTCTTGCTATGTTGCCCAGGGTTGTCTCAAACTCCTGGCCTCAAGAGATCCTCCCATCTCAGCCTCCTGAGTAGCTGGGATTACAGGTGCACACTACCATGCCCAGTTAATTTTTTTTCTTGATTTTTAATAGAGACAAGGTTCTTGCTATGTTGCCCAGGCTGGTCTCAAACTCCTGGCCTCAAGTGATCCTCCCACCTCAGCCTCTCAAGGTGAAGGGATGAGCCTCCCAAAGTGAAGGCGTGAGCCATTGCTCCTGGGATGACTGGTTTATTTCACTTAGTGTAATGCCCTCAGAGTTCATTCATGTTGTAGCATATGTCAGAATTTTCTTCCTCTTTAAGGTTGATTAATATTCCATTGTATGAATAGGCAACATTTTGCTTATATATTAATCGGTCAATGGACATTTGAGTTGCTTTCACCTCTTGGCTATTGTGAATAATGCTGTTGTGAACATGGGTATACAAATATCTTTTTTTTTTTTTTTTTTGTAGAGATGGGGTCTCCCTATGTTGGCCAGGCTTGTCTCAAACTCCTTGGCCCAAGCAATCCTCCTACCTCAGCCTCCCAAAGTGCTGAGATTACAGGTGTGAACTACTGCACCTGGCTGAGACTCCACTTCCAATTCTTTTGGATATAGATCCTGAAGTGGAATTGCTGATGGTAGAAACTGTCTCGGGAAGATTTTTCTGGGGATTTGGCTTCTAACTGCACCACAGCTCCAGTGGAAACATCTATTCATTAAACTGGCATTTATTGAGGACCAGCTTTGTTCCAGTCACTGAACAAGGCTGGGGGCATAGCGTGGCTTACATAGGTCCCCACCCTCCATGGAGCTGATATTCAGCAAGAAGCCAGACAATACACAGGTAAGCAAATTGAAAAAAACAGGATGAGATCCACTGGCGATAAATGTCATGATACTGAATCAGGATTTGACAACAGAGTGATGTGGTGAGTGGCTACTTTAGATCAGAAAGGCCTTCCTAACTGGGTGACAGGTGACCTGAGAACTACAAGGTGGGGAGGAGCTAGCCACACAGAATTTGGGAAAATACCATTCTGGGCCCTGGGATGAGCAATGGAAAGGTCTTGAGGAGGAAAGTGGCTAGGCGTGATCCTTGTTGCTGGGGCGTGGTGGGTGTGGGGCCAGATCATAAGGGGCCCCACAGGATGAGCCTCTGTGCTAAGTGCAGTGGGAAGCCACTGGAGAGTTTTAGGTAGGCGAGATGCAAAGGATCAGATTTGTATTTAACACACCTTCCATTGGCTGCCAAGTAGAGAATGGATTGTTGGGGACTGGAGCAGAAGTGGGAGGATGAGTCAGGAGTCAATTGCAGATTTCTAGGTGAGAGATGGTGTCTTTGTCTGCACGGGCAGCAGTGCAGAGGGAGAGACACAGGCAGATTTGGGAGGTAAAAGGACTTACTGGTAAATGGGATATGAATTGGAAGAGGGAAGCAAATGCACAGCTGGGCACCTGGTACACTTTACATATGACGTCTTTGAACTTCGTAGCAATCCCATAACCACATTTTGTAGATCTGTGTTGTCCAGTAGAAATATAACATGAGCCATAAACCTGAGCTGTGTATGTAATTTAAAATGTTCTTAGCAATCACATTAAAATGGTCAAAGGAAACAGGTGAAATGAACTGTGAGAATGTTTTCTTTAACTCAGCATATTCCAAATATTCCCATATCAACATGTAATCAATATAAAATTATTAATGAGATATTTTACTTCCCCGCATAGCAAGTCTTCAACATTTGATATGTATTTTACACGTACAGCACATCTCAATTCAACCACACTTCAAGTACTCAGTAGCCACATATGGCTAGTGGTTACCATATTGGTAGCACAGTTATAGATGAGGAAAGAGAGTCTCAGAGAGTATAAGTTCTTATGCAAGCTTATAGAATTAGGACTTGAACCCTAATTTGACTCTGGCACCCGTGTTGTGCTCAAAGCACTGCATCCACCCCCAATGATGAAGACATTTTCAATGTAAGCAAAAGTCCTGGAGATTTCCCCACATCATATACATGGGGACATAGGAACTAACATTTGTCATATATTTATATTTTCCTTTCCAAAGCAGATCAACCCCAAGTTACCTTCCCTTAGCTCTCGTTTTCTGCCTCTCTTTGCAAATATCACTTCATTAAAAATTGTGAACATTCTCTTTGCCTTCCCTTATGGGCTTCCTGTTTGAACACCACATCCAGGGCACCCTGGGAACTGAACCATCTCCTTTTCTTTTTCTTTTTGAGTCAGGGTTTCACTCTGTCGCCTAGACTGGAATGCAGTGGTGTGACCGTAGCTCACTGCAGCTTCAATCTCTTGGCCTAAAACAATCCTCCCACCTCAGCCTCCTAAGTAGCTGGGACTACAGGAACACACCACCATGCCTGGCTAATTTTTTTATTTTTATTTTTTGTAGCTGCAAGGTCTCACTGTGTTGCCCAGACTGGTCTCAAACTCCTGGACTCAAGCAGTCCTCCCACCTCAGCCTCCCAAAGTGCTAGGATGACAGGTGTGAGCCACAATGCCTAGCCCATATCTCCTTTTCTTTTGTGGCATTCTAGTAGCCCTTTGGTTCATGCGATCATTTAGTTGTTCAGCAAATATGGATGATTGAATGGATATAATAGGTGCAGGGCACTCCCAGGTTCTCAAGATGGATGATCTTGGGCAAGTTATTTAATTTCTCTGGATTTTAGTTTCCTTGCCAGCAAACTCAAGATAATAGTAATGCCTACTTTTAAGTAGTTATTGTGAAGATTATAAGGAATTAACAATAACGATAATAATAAGTAATAATGATACATGTTGTTTATTAGAGCCTGCTATATGCCAGACACTAACTCTATGATTTAACCTTCTCCTGCTACCCTTTACTCTTATTATTTCTTTAGGAGTGAAATTCACTAATCATTAAGCTTTTTAACTAACTGAATCAATTCTGTTTCTTAAGCAGATGGGAGATCCTGTGGCTTTTTACCACTATCCACAGCTCTTTTTTTCTTTTTCTTTTCTTTTTTGAGACGGAGTCTTGCTCTGTCACCCAGGCTGGAGTGCAGTGGCATGATCTCGGCTCACTGCAGTCTCCGCCTCCCTAGTTCAAGCCATTCTCCTGCCTCAGCCTCCCGAGTAGCTGAGGTTATAGGCGCCCGCCACCACGCCCAGCTAATTTTTGTATTTTTAGTAGAGATGGGGTTTCACCATCTTGGCCAGGCTGGTCTCAAACTCCTGACCTAGTGATCTACCTGCCTTGGCCTCCCAAAGTGCTGGGATTACAGGCATGAGCCACTGTGCCTGGCCTATCCACAGCTGGTTTCCCCTCTTTGCCCCCTTTTCTGGCATTCTCTTCTGATTCACTCTCAACTCTGATTTCCAAGCTACCCAGCTCCTTCCCCTAGTGTGAATCTGTATTTGCACTGGATTTATTTTTAAATGGGAAATGAAAGCCACTGTGTGCTGGAAAATATATATTTCAGACACGAGGAAGCTGGCGGGGAAATATTTTTTGGATGTCTTTCTAGATCTCTTAAAAATCCTGTGAGCCATCACCAGGTTGATCTTGTAGTAAGGTGGCCTTGGCCTTAGTGTATTTCTTTTTGACTCGATATTGGGCGGCAGGAGGTTTGAGGATTGTGATACTAACAACATTAACAACAACAAACTTTCATTGATTGATTGCCATGTGCTGGAAATGTGCTAATAAATTACATTTATTTTCTCTTTGAATCCTCAAACCAACTCTTTGAGACAAGTGTGTTGTATTACAGCTGTAGAAACTGAGGTCCTAAGAGGTCAGTAGATTTGCTGAAGGTCACAGAGCTGAGATCCAAATCTAAGCATCACAGCAAGAAGTATCCTTAACCATCATCTTTGCTGTTGGTTGGCATTAGTCTGGCTGTGCTAAGAAAGTTTCCTTTGACTTGCAGATGGATCAAGGCTTTTCTTGAGAGAGGCTTCTCTTGCCTGGTTCTCCTTGATTCTTTTACTCTAGGAGACTCAGTTCTTCTCAAATCCCTGTCTGTGGGACTTTGGGCAAAACATTCAACGTCATCTTTACCTCTTAGAGTCACTGCGAGGGTTGGACTATGGTGTGTTAGGTGTTTTTTTTTTTTTTTTTTTTTTTTTTGATGAAGTCTCACTCTGTCGCCCAGGCTGGAGTGCAATGGCATGATCTTGGCTCACTGCAACCTCCGCCTCCTGGGTTCAACCGATTCTTCTGCCTCAGCCTCCTGAGTAGCTGGGATTACAGGCACGCACCACCACGCCTGACTAATTTTTGTATTTTTAGTAGAGACGAGGTTTCACTATGTTGGCCAGGCTGGTCTCGAACTCCTGACCTCAAGTGATCGGCCTGCCTTGGCCTCCCGAAGTGCTGGGATTACAGGCGTGAGCCACCGTGCCCAGCCGTGTTATGAGTTGAACAGATTTCTTGGCTTCAGCAGGGGCTCAGTATGGGCCTATCATCATTTTCATTTATCTCCTTTTATGCCTCATGCTCTATCTGTCCCCTTCATCTCTGCCTGTAGCAGCCACAGACCCTCTCTTTCCTTGGTGCATGTCCCTCCTTCCCACTTTCCTAATTTCAGCCTGACTTAGTTCTCTACCTGTCAGCTTGGACTTAAGGAAAGGAAGTTCTCTTTTCTTGGGGGGTCACTGGGGCCATGGGCGTCTTTCCACTCCATTTCTTTTCCAAAGCTGCCTCTGGAACGAATCTGTAAATCCCAGGGCATTGCATGAGTTTTCTTTTCTTTCTTTCCTTCTTTCTTTCTCTCTCTTTCTTTCCTTCTTGCTTTCTTGCTTTCTTTCTTGCTTTCTTGCTTTCTGTCACTGAAAGCAAATATTGTAGACAGATATGCTTGTAGGATAGAAATAAAATGCCCCATTCTTTGAAACATATTTTGTTTTTTATTTTAGATTCATGGAGTATGTGTGCAAGTTTGTCACATGGGTATATTGCGTGATGCTGAGGTTTAGGCAATGAACTTGTTACCCAAATAGTGAGCATAGTACCCAGTAGGTAGTTTTTAAACCGTTACCCCCTTCTCTCCCTCCTTTCCGAGTTCCCAGTGTCTGTTGTTTCCATATTTGTGTCTGTGTATACCCCTTGTTTAGCTTCCACTATAGGTGAGAACATGTGGTATTTGGTTTTCTGTTTTTCTGTGATAATTCACTTAGGATAATGGCCTTCAGCTGCATCCATGTTGCTGCAAAGGACATGATTTCATTTTTTTTATGGCTGTGTAGTATTCCATAGTGTATATGCACCACATTTTCTTTATCCAATCCATTGTTGATGGGCACCTAGGTGGATTCCATGTTTTTGCTGTTATGGACAGTGATGCAATAAACATGAGAGTGAAGGTGTCTTTTTGGTGGAATGATGTGTTTTCCTTTGGGTATATACCCAGTAATGGGAATGCTGGATTGAATGGCAATTCTATTTTTAGTTCTTTGAGAAGTCTCTAAACTGCTTCCCAGAGGGGCTGAACTAATTTACAATTTCACCAACAGTGTAAGAGCGTCCTTTTTTCTCCGTAATCTCACCAAGGCACTGCATAAGCTATCTGAGTGGCCAGCAGGCAGAATGCTTGAAGGATTCTCCAGCTGGGGGTGCTGGGCCCAAAGGCTGGCAGCTGTATGGTCCTGGCCTTTTTCTCTCCAGCAGGGTCCCCATGATCTTCCCAGGTCTAGTTTTTTCTTGAGCACACCTGCATCTGACAGTTAATTGCAAGAATCTGACTTGCTGAACTCTCATTTCTCCCTCCTCCTTTAGCGCATCAAGTCCCCTTCTTTGTTTTCCCAGCTTGGTTCTTGCAAGGACTACCTAGAGGAGGACTTCAGGCAATCCCTTTCTCCCTGGTGGGCTGCTGTGTTCTCACCAATAAATCAATGCTCTCTCTAGTTTCAGGCTGCCTCTTAGGACAGATGCTGATACCAAGTGACTTTTGAGGTTGTTGAGTTGAGACACTTGGACCAAACAGCGGAAGGCACAGCTTGGCTCAGCTAAAGGAAGCTCCGTGAAAGCTCTCTGAGTGGGCCTATTGGCTCCATGAGTTGGCAGGCTGGCCCTCCTCTAGGAGATGGTGGGTCCTCATGGGCTGTAGCAGGGCCAGGCCACAGGAGCAGACTGCTGGAGGAGAACATTTAGGGCCATCTTCCTTGCTGCCTTTCTGTGATCTCTTCACCCAGGAAGCTGAATGCTGTTGGCAAGCAAAAGGGTGCTTGGTAACCATTTCTTTTTTAAGTGTGTGCTGGTGCCAGGGAGGGAGAAATCCTCAAAACCCATTGTGTCTGACTCAGGCACCACTGGTTTGGCCATAACCGCTAGTTTATCCTCCCTCCCTCTGCCACCCTCGTCATGTTTCTCGACCACAACCTGTCTGGACCTTCCCTGGGTTGGCCAGGGCTTGATAATCTTTTTCTGTAAGGAGTTATCCCTTCCTCATCTGCCAGGATGGGGCTACTGTGCAGGGACTGGGTAACAGGCTTGAAGTTGCAAGAGGGCTGGAAGGGTCTCACTAGCAAGCACACATTATGTCTTATATAGGTCCCTGGCCTTGTGCTTCAGACCCTATCACAGCTTTTCCACAGCTGGGGCTGTTGAGAATGTAAGTGGTGACATAGCTGGATGGCTAAGATGGGGGGAGTATGAGACCTGCAAGCGTGTGAGTCTCCTTTTGCTAGCAGAGTGTGAATGAAATGTATTTATTTTCCCAATAAATTCGACATGACTGATCATTCATCCACCCACTTACCCACCCATCTACTCACTAACCCACCCACTCAGTCATCTACACAGCTGTTCACTCGTCCATCCATCCATCCATCCATCCATCCATCCATCCATCCATCCATCCATCCATCCGTCCATCCACATTCAATGTAGTGTAATGATTAAGAGCATAGAGTTTGGAGTTATCCTGCTTAGGTTTGAATCCCAGCTCTGCCACTCACCAAGCATGTGATCTTGGTTCAGTTTTAAAACCTCTCCTTGTCTCAGTCTCCTCAGCTATAAAATGAGATTGATGTTGAAATTAATAACAGAGCCTACCTTACGGCATTATAAAGGTTATGTGAGTCAGTATGTGTAAGGTGCTTTCAGTAGTGCCTGGGTCATAGCAGTGCTATCTAAGTGTTAGCTATTAGCATTATGGCATCTACTCACCTGTTTATCATCTATAATAGTCATTAAAGGTCTTCAATAAATATTTCTGGTCTTTGGCCTTGCAGGCCAATGGTAGGATTGCACTGCTTGCCTCCCTTGTGGGTAGGTGGGGCCGTATGAGTAGCTCTGACCAGTGAGTTGTGATCCAAAGTGATGTATGTTCACTTTTATGCTGGGACATGTAATTGCTGGTTCTAGATTATCCAGAAAAAATCTTTGAGTTATGGCTGCTCTATCAACTTGCTCCTGGAGACATAGAACTTCTTCCTTAGCTGATCAGGCATGAGGCTGTAGTATGTGAGAAAAACAAACTTTTACCTATTTTGAGGGTTATTACTGCAGGATAACCCAGTTCTATCTCTGTCTCTCTCATCTATCATCTATCTATTTACAATAATTCCAGTCTCATTTTATTTCCCTTCCCTTTTCTTTTTGGCACCTATTACTAGCTGGCATTTTCTTATATTTTTTGGAGTTTCCTCCCAAAATTTATTTGTTATTAATTATAAGAATATGTTTTCCATGAGAAAAAGGACTTATTCACTTATCTAATTCCAATAGTTAGAATGGTACTTTACACATAGTAGACACTCAGCACATATTTTTAAAACAATAAATCAGTTAATGAATGGATCTACTTGACTTTTAGTAGGTCCTATTGAACACTGCATTCCACAGCTCCTTGAAAATCCTTACTGAGGCAGCTAATATTTAAGAAGGAACACCCTGACCTTTCACTGTCCAGTTTTATTGCCTGAATCAAGAAAAATATCCCTGAGATAGACCTCACTGCCTCTCTGCAAACCTCTTAATACCCTTAGTCAATTGTAAGAAGCTGCTTGGAACCCTGTAAGATGGTCTTTGGCCAGATCAAGTCTTGCTCCTCTTCCTCTGAATCTTGTAGGGGCCTTTAATCTTTCTGTAACTGTGATTCCCCAGAACAGGATGCCTTTGTTAGCCTAGCATCTTTTCTGTTACTTCTATGAAACAAGGAGAGACGCTCCCTGGGACCCTTAACTATTTCTGGAAGCAAAATGACCCTTGCCCCACTGAAGACTTAGGAGCCTGGTCACTTCCAACCGGGCTTTTCATCTTTGTGACTCCCAGTCATGGGCAAGAGGCTAGCTAGCTCCAATCCTAATGCCCGTGCCATCAACTGCTTCATTTCTGGTTTCTTCCTTGCTTTTGTGATACCCTCATTGACTCTTTCCACTGTACCCTGTGGACTTGCCTCTATGGGACACTTCCTCCCCATCCTGCCTGAAGAGGAAAGAGCCTGCCTTTCTTCTGGGAACATCATCCCATTCAGAAACAACAACCTTTCTGGAGTCAGGAGTTTGCTTTCCTCTTGTTCTTTATTGCTGCTTCCTGGAGATTGCATTCTTGTTTAAAAGCTCACCTGTAAGACTCTGATCAAATGTCCATTCTTCCCTCTCACTTCATCCCTGAAGATGAATGGGACATTTATCTTTATATATGTATGTATGCCTAGGGGAAAAAACTGAAGGAACATTATGTATATATATAATGCGTGTGTGTGTGTGTGTGTGTATATATATAATGTGTGTGTATATATATATATAATTTTTTTTGAGACAGGGTCTTGCTAGACTGGAGTGCAGTGGAGTGATCATGGCTCACTGCAGCCTCGACCTCCTGGGCTTAAGTGAGCCTCCCAACTCAGCCTCCCTAGTAGCTAGGACTACAGGCATGTGCCACCATACCCAGCTAATTTTAAAATTTGTATTTATTATTATTTTTGGTAGAGATGGGGTCTCACTATGCTGCCTGCGCTGTTCTTGAACTCCTGGGCTCAAGCAATCCTCCTGTCTCAGCCTCCCAAAGTGCTGGAAATACAGGCATGAGACACTGCATCCAGTCTATGATATTCTTATGTTTTTACAATGTGCTTATTATTGAGTAGGGAAATTATGAGTGATGTGTGTGTATGTATGTGTGTGTATACAGATGTATGCATCTGTGTTCAATTTTTCCTGTTGAGAGTGAGTAAACAAATATTTTTGAAAATAATAAAATACATAAATGAGGGGCAGGGGCTCTCTTGGACACTTCCAAAAGTACTTTGCTCAATTTTCTATGTTAGGCCTATCTGCAAGAAGCATAAGGGTTTGTCAGGAGCTATTATGATTATTTATTCTACAAATCCCAGTTCAACAAAGAAGGGTGAGGCTTGAGTGTTCAATTAGAGAAGCTGGCCAGTTGTGGTATCATATCAGCTCTACATCCAATGCTCAGTTTTCAAGGGGTCATGTTGCTCTGAAAGGCCTGGTGAGGTTGATGAGTGTCTTAATGAAGCCACTTGTGAAAGATAATGTGACATGTTTGTCCATCACATTGACGCAGGAAAGGAGCTTTCACAAAAGACAGCACAGAAATTTTGCAGGCTCGGACCAGAAGGGAATTTGTCAGTGTTTAGCTTGGCTGACATCCCACACCCTACCTTCTTGTGCAGTTAGAATCCCTTCTAGTGTAATGTGTGAAAAACCATAGGCCCCCTGCCCACACCCTCCTAGAGCTGTATCACCAACAGCTTTCAAGTGTGTGCAAATTGGGAGACGGCTGGATCCCACATCTCTGGGTGACATTTGCTGAAACAAATGCCTGTTAATAAGTGGCACGATTCCCTTGGTCTCAGTGATAAAGATGTACCTGTTACTGGGAGCCCTTGAGAGAAATCTTTGGTGAAGGCCTTCACACTCATTTTAATTGGTGATAGACAGATGTGTTGAGAAAACTTACATTTTTTTTCTCCATCCGTCTCAATTAGAATGTTATGAAATAGCACCCCCTTTGCTCTTCGTGCTTTATGCCCTAGACTTTAAAGACTGACAACGAGTGGTTAAAAAATCTCCATTGCTTCAGGATGCAGTATCAGCTGATTTGGTGGATTAAATCGTTTTAAGGTCCTGAGCTTTAATTCTTACTTCAGTGATTCTCAAACCTTGTTTTGCAAAACCCCAGAGCTTTAATCTTAAGGGATGAGCCTGCTATTTCCAAGACAACAAAATTATTTCTACTTCATATTAATACAAAACATTAAAATATACATTGTCTTTGTAATATAGTTTATTAATTCAAAGCACTTGCATTCCCATTTATCTGGTCTTCATACAAAACCATGTATGAGTGAGTAGGCAGATGGTCTTATTTATTACTTCGTTCAATATATAGATTTTTGAGTGCCTACCGGTATACAGCACTGAACGAAAGAGAAAAATACTAGTTTGGATGGGAGCTCAACACAATCTGAGGGGATATATTGGACCCATTTTGCAGAGGAAGAAACTTTGGTTCAGGAAGGGAAAGTGAACTCTGAAGTTTGACATAAAGTTAGCTTCAGAACTAGAATATCTGCCTTCTGATCTCAGCCTATCACCTATCTCAGGTTCTGTCTCCACGATACCATGTGATTGGAACTGGCTCATTAACCTGGGGATGGATCAATCAGCATCTTTTTTTTTTTTTTAACAGGATTGGATGGAAATCTGCATTCCTTGATCACTCAGTCTATAGGGTGAACTTACAATGGCCCTCATGCTTAATCTTGAAATACAGGGATGGTCTGATGGAGTGTGCTGGAGACCCTGCTGAGATCTTTGGACAACTCCTCTCCAGTCCACTACCTGAATCCTTTCTCTTCTCCTCAAAAAAATCTGAGACTATCCAAATGAAGAGTAAATAAAGGGAGAAGTAAGAAGGAAACATGAGACAGAGAGGCAGCAGGAGCAGAATGAAACTTGGGGAGCAGAGGGAGAAGCCAAGAAAACTTACTGGACTTGGAGCCAATAAATTGGCCATGGCATGAAGGTTTCTGCCAGCAATATGGCAGCCCATTCCAGCTCTTTCCATTTTCTTTTCCCAGCTGTGCTGCCAAGCACCATGCTTAGGCTGGTTTAACAGAGATTATGCTAGGAGGATTTTCTAACATTCATGTCCTGATTACCCCTTATCTGATTCCTTAGCAGTAGCCTTCAGTGGCCTCAGAGAATTCCAGGTTCAGCTGTCTGAACAGTTCAATGACTGTTTGTAAGTTCTGACTTACGATCAAGGCAGGAAATGTGAAAAGCATTTTTAAAAAGGAAAAAAACCATCCGGCGTTGTTAACATTTTTGTTATTCCAGTATTTTCCCATGCATATAAATATGTGTACTTCTTTTATTTTTCACAAGAGTACTCTCACACCATAATATTGTTTTATAACCCTCTTTTCCACTGTGCTCTAGTGTAAACATTTTACTGTACCAAATCTTTTTCCACAAAAGGATTTTTAATTACTGCATAGATTTCTATTGAACGGATGTACTAAAATTTACCTAAACAGCTCTTATTATTCAACATGATTCAACCATTGTTACAAATAATATAGTTGTATATTTATCTTTATGGAAAGCTATTTCTGAATACTCCTAAGGATAAGTTCATGTATTAGTTAGGTTTTGCTGTGTAACAAATCATCGCACAACTTAGTGGTGTCAAACAATGACTATTTACTTACCTCTGCAGGTCTGCATTTTGGGCCAGGTAGTTCTGCTGGACTAGGCTGGAATCAGTGGACATAGGCTCTGGTTACTTATGCATTTGCAATCAGCTGGGGGACTGCATGGGATGATGGTGGTATGTCATCTTCCAGCAGGCCAGGTTGTTTCCATAGCAGTTAGAGTTGCAAGAGCAGCAAGGAGGCAAACCCTGATGCACAAACTTTTTTTCAAGTTTTGGTTGCATCACATTTGCTTCTGTCCCATAGGCCAAAGCATGTGACATGGCCAAGCCCGGAGACAGTTTGAGAAGACATTACCAAAGGCATGGCTACAAAAGGCATGAAAGTCTCAGGACCATTGTTGTAATCAACTCATCACAGTCCCCAAAATGGGAGTTTCTGGGTCAAAAAGTGTGGCCATTTAAAGGTTTTCATTGTCACATTGCTCTCCAGAGAAATTGTAACTAATTTACACACCACCTAGAGTACATGCATTTCCAAATTCACTTGATCACTGGATATAATCATTGGTTTAATTTCCCCCCAGAAAATAATATTATTGCTTTTGAAGAGTACATGCTTTGTGAGGGAAGCTGTCTTGAATGTCCAGCTTCCAGGTGCAAGCGCCTGCATGTGTGCACAGGTGACACCATGTAGAACCGAAGAACCACCTGGCTGAGTCTAGCCAACCCAGAGAATTGTGAGGGAAAAGAATATTTTTTTAAGGCAGAAGAAAAATGTATGTTCATTGTAAAAACCTGAAGCAATGTGGTACCTTTATCATCAATATCTTCCCCAGTATTTGATTCATTCTGACATTATGTTGTTGGGTTACATTTATTTCTATTACATTTAGGACCTTTGAGTCTATATTCATTAGTGAAATTTGTCTGCCATTTACTCTTTTTTTTTGGTTTGCTGTCTTTGACAAGTTTTTGCTATTTTCATCAAAACATCTGGGAAGTCTTCCATCTTTTCTTGTTTTTTAATGCTTAGGAAGAGCATAAATGGCAAAGGATTTAGAATATTTTTTAGAAGTTTGAGTGGATTTACCATACCCCCAAAGCAAAACAATTTCTGGGCCTGGTGCCTTTTCCAAGATTAGTTATTTGATAATTTTTTCTGGTGTATTTCATGATCATTTTTGGTATACTTTCAAATGTGTTATGTTTTTTTAAGAATAAGCATTTAATTGAGTCTCTAATTTATTAGCATAAAACTATATATATTGTCCTGTAATGATGTGAAAAATTGCCTTGCCATCTGCAATTCTCTTTTCTCATTCTTACTGAGTTCCTATTTTTAGTTTTTGAAAATTTTCTTATGAGCTTTGCCAGAGTGTCACTGTTTTATTTTTCCCCTCAAACAACCACCTCTTAAATTTATTCTTCAGTTCAACTTTTTTCTGTTTCCAGATGCATTAATTTCTGCTTTTTAATTATTTCCTCAGTTTTATCACTCTTCCTAGTTTCTTGAGCTAAATGTCCCTATGTACTTTCAATTATATCTACTGATTTGTCAAAAATTGGATAGTATGCTCGTCTCCTACTATGATAGTGATTTTTCAACACCTTTGTATTTTTTTAAACAAATTTTGTTTTGTACATTTCTAATGTACTTTTATGTTATAGGAGTTAGAGTTTCATGATTCTCCAGTCTTATTGTGAAGTTACTCAGATCTGAGTTCAAATTCTCCTGTGCTGCCTACCAAATGATGAACCAGTTTTAGATTCTCCTAAAAGCTTGGTGATAATAATGCCAGTGTTGCTTATTTTTAATACTTAAATTAAATGATATAATTGATGTTAAGTGCTCATCATAGTGCCAGGCACATGGAACACACACTGCTATTGGTTATATTGTTATTATTGATGTACTCTTTATGAATACAAAATATCCATCTTTGTCCTATGTAATATTTTTATGCTTTACATTTTATTTGTCTGATAATTAATATTTCTGCTCATGGCAGCTTTTCCCACCTTTTCATTTTCATTTTGGATCATTTTATTTTCAGCAAGTCTCATGGGAACCATGTATATTTGAATTCTATTTTTTCTTTAAATTATGAATCTTTGTCCTTTAATGGGATAATTCAATCCATTCACATTTTTTTTTTTTGCAAGACACAGCATTTGGCAAGTGTTTACTTCTTTCTTCTCCCAATCCACTTTCCTGCCTTTGAAGATTTTAGAACCAGAATTTATGAAAAAAAATAAATATATTTGATTTCCCATGAATTGCTATTGACACATGCATTATTTCATGCAATTCAAGACTTTTTTAAAGATGTGACTCTCAAACTTACTTCATTACTCACTTTTTATGTTTTTTGGACCCATTTCCCTCTTATTGAATTAATTGATTGATTCATTAATTCAATCAACAAATATTTATTGAAAACATACTGTATGCAGACACTGTGCTAGGGTCTGAGAGAAACGTATTTGATGTAAACCTGGTCTGTGTCTTCACTGAATCTACATTTAGATTCACAAAATTAGAGACACAAAAATAGATGACAAATTAAAGCAGATATAAAGGAAACCAATAAGGGTCTCAAGGAGAGATTAGTGAACGTGCATGTGAGTATCTATTTAGCAAGTTTAATGAGGGGATGCTTTTTGTGAAGGTGACATTTATGCTGGCAGCTTAAGAAGTGGCATTAGCTGTGTGAAGAGAGGAAGGAAGAAAGGCATTCCAGGCAGAAGGACTAGCATATGCAAAGGGCTTGAAAGGGGAAAGAGCCTTATCCTAATGTTTTCATAGAAATTATTTTTAAATACTCAACAATTAGCTTTTGAATTAAAGGAATGCACACAAGTGAAGTTAATCTCTTATAGGCAAAACCAAATGAAGGATTGGAAAATGCCTCTGAAGAGTCAGCTGGAAGGCTCTTCATCCATCCATCCAACCATCCATCCATCCATCCATCCATCCATCCATCCATCCATCCACTCATCCATCCATTCATCCATCCATCCACCCACCCATCTACCCACCCATCCATCCATCCATTCACCCACCCACTCATCCATCTATCCATTCATCCATCCATCCAATAAGCAGTCATTGAGTGCCTACTGTGTGCCAGACCCTGTGCCAGGTGTTGATCACAAATAATACAAGCACCTCCTGGAGAGTAGAGCCTAGTTGTGTACATGGGATGGAGGGCCCATGATAATAAAGCTGGTACTTCTCATGGAGTGGGATGGGCCAGGGGCATGGGGAAGGCACACGTGCTGTGCTCTGTAGAGCTCTGAGCAGGGAGGGACGCAGTGGGAAAGAGCTGAGAACAATTCCTGCCAGATGGCTTTATTCTTTCCCCTGAAGGAAGTGGGGACTTCGTGCTGTGACATGATACACAAGAACAGTGTTTCCTGTGGGTTTGCAAGGGCATTTTGAATATAAACACTACAGCTCGCTGATGTGTGAAAAAATTATTTTTTTTGCTTTTTCAGACTTTGTGAAGGGATAATCAGATCAATTTTATAAGTCTGGAAAACAGGTATTTGGGGTGAATTTTAATGCACACATTATAGTGGCTGGAACCCTAACCAAAGGCAGCTGTCACCTGTTGGTGGGTTCTCTTAGGCACGTTGTTTGTTCATCTAGCTGTCACCTGGCAGCTTATGCCCTCCAGTTCCTGGAACTGACCAGTTATCTGCAACTGACTAAGTTCTGGTACTGGATCCTGTGTGATTTGACTCTAACCTCCAAGAACCTTACTGTCTTTAGCTGTGAAATGCGGAGAAGACTGGACTACTTGATCTCTCAACACTCTATATATCTTTAAAGTTAAATCATTTGTTCAGTCATTTGCCCTTTCTTCTGCCATTTCTCTTTCCCTCTCTCCCATCCATCCATCCATCCACCCATCCACCCACCCATCCATATATCTATTTAATATTTATATTATTTATGTTATTTATTTATTTATTTATTTTGCAATGGAGTCTTGCTCTGTTGTCCAGGCTGGAGTGCAATGGCGTGATCTCGGCTCACTGCAACCTCCGCCTCCCAGGCTCAAGCGATTCTTCTGCCTCAGCTTCCTGAGTAGCTGGGATTACAGGCACATGCACCACCATGCCCGGCTAATTTTTTTTTTTTTTTTGAGACAGAGTCTTGCTCTGTCGCCCAGGCCAGAGTGCAGTGGTGCGATCTCGGTTCACTGCAAGCTCCGCCTCCCAGGTTCACGCCATTCTCCTGCCTCAGCCTCCCGAGTAGCTGGAACTACAGGCGCCCACCACCACACCTCGCTAATTTTTTGTATTTTTAGTAGAGACAGGGTTTCACCTTGTTAGCCAGGATGGTCTTGATCTCCTGACCTCCAGTGATCCGCCCATCTCGGCCTCCCAAAGTGCTGGGATTATAGGCGTGAGCCACCGCACTGGACCCTGTCTAATATTTAATTGAGTGCCTGTTGTGTGCTAAGTACTGTGCTGGGTTCTCATCCAGTGGCCAGTAAATTAGACAATCCTCCCATCATAGAGCTTGCCATCTAGTAGGGAGACAGACAAGCAAATAATTACACAGGTAATAATACAATTACAGTTATGATAAGTATTACAAATGAGAAGAATGGGGTAGGTGAGCATGTGTATTAAGGCTATCGGTCTCATTTTGAGGGCCAGAGAACTCTTTCTTGACAAAATGAAGTTTAAACAAAAACTAGGTGAAGATTGGCAGAAAAGCATCCCAGGCAGAGGGCACAGCCAGTGTGAAGGCCTTGGGATAGGAAGGGGCATGGCCACATCAAGGGAGGTAAAAATACATAACAAAATAATAATATGAGTAACAATGGCAACTACTACTGAAGGAGGACCGCCTATTTGCCAGGGACCATGCGATCCTTAACTGTGTGGTTTTGATCAAATCATCTAAACTCCTTGCACCTTGGTCTATGCATCTATAAAATGGGGTGATAGTGATCGTGTATACTTCATCAGGTTCTTCTGAGGCGCCAATGAAGTAACGTCTGGGAAATCCTTAGGTCTATGCCTGGACCATAGGAAGTGTTTAAGAGACAGCCGTTGTGACTGTTATTTTTATGAATGGTATTGGGTGAGAAAAAGTTCGTGTTGCATCTCAGGGCTTGCCTTGGACCCTGTTGATGATTTCTATGTTGAGGTCACTCTTGGAGTTTCTGCAGAAGTAGAACTCTTGGAAGTCTGCTATTCAGCAGATGAGTGAAACAAGTGCTTCTCCCTCCGCTCCCACAGAAAGAGGGGCAGAGATGCCAGCCACAGCTTGGCTTTCAGGCAGCAGGCACATTGGGATCAGTGATTGGCATTTGCAACATTGGTTGGCATCACAGAGAGCATGGAAGGTCAAGGTAATAATTATCAAGGACAGTTTAAGGGAAACAGTACATTCCATTCCTTATCCATTGTAAGACCAGTACATTCCCTGTTCTTTAACTCTTGGGAAGACATCTCCCCCAGATCTCTCTGCTGAGGATCAGGGCCATTTCTCTGTTAAAAATGTCAAACAGCAACTTACCAGAGGAAACAGAATGGTGGAAATGCCATCTCAGCATTCAAGAAGCCCCAGTACCAAACTTTGCATGTATATACGTTTGAAACAAGCTTTGTAAATTACTTTTGTTCATTTGTAATTACTTATCCATAAGAACTCTCTCTCTCTCTCTCTCTCTCTCTCTCTCTCTCTCTCTCTGTGTGTGTGTGTGTGTGTGTGTGGTTTGTTGTCACCTGGGCTGGAGTGCAGTGATGCGACCATGGCTCACTATAT
The DNA here is from genome assembly GCF_000001405.40 of Homo sapiens. NCBI lineage: Eukaryota > Metazoa > Chordata > Mammalia > Primates > Hominidae > Homo > Homo sapiens. The sequence continues at coordinate 23,899,721 of NC_000016.10, forward strand.
TCAAAATCCTGGGCTCATGCGATCCTCCCACCTCAGCCTTCTGAGGAGCTGGGACCGTAGGCACGTGCCACCAGGCCCAGCAAATAAAATTTATTTATTTATTTATTTATTTATTTATTTATTTATTTATTTATTTATTTATTTATTGTAGAGATAGGGCCTTGCTATGTTGCTCAGGCTGGTCTCGAACTCCTGGCCTCAAGTGATCCTCCTGTCTCAGCCTCCCAAAGTGCAGGGATTACAGTTAGGTATGGAGAGAGAAGGAAATAAGGAAGACACAGTTATTACTCTTTAGGACCCATAATTTAACTCAAGTGATTTTGCCCCCAGGTGGTATTTGGCAATGTCTGGAGACATTTTGTTTGTCACAACTTGGGGTGGTGGGGGTTGCTACTGGAATCTAGTGGGTAGAGGCCAGGGATGCTACTGAACAAAATATACAAGACAGCCTCACAACAAAGAATTGACCAGTCCACAGTGTCCACAGTGCCATGGTTGAGAAACCTTGATCTAACTGCTTATGACATACCACTTCCATAAAGCCGAGAGATATCAATTCTTATGCAGTTATCACTGTGTACAGGAAATTGTGTGTTTGTACATGTGTGTGCATGAATGTGTAGATATAAAGGGATAAAACCTTTATCTTCCTTTCCTAGGTATTTTTACCTCTGTATTATCAATTGAAATAATTTGTTTTTGAATATACAATGCAAAGTTTGAAATCCTACAGGTACAACAAGGTATACAGTGAATAAAGAATCTCCCCATTCCACTTCTGTCCTCAAGTCTTCAGTTCTCTGGAGGAGTACTACTGTCATTAGTCTCCTATATATTAGTAGAGAGACATTCCGCATATGAACCTTATACCCTTAGTAGCACCTCACACATATTTTTTTCCTTGTTGCCTTTTTTTTTCCTATGTGATGACGTATCTTAGAGATATTTTCATATCAGCGCATATAGAGCAGCCTCATTCATTTTAACAGCTGCACAGGTTTTTTTTTTTTTTTTTTTTTTTTTTTTTTTTGTGGCTGTCCCATACGGTCTTCTGTTGATGGGCATAGGTTATTTCTAGTCTTTTGCATAACAAACAGTGCTGGAGTGGATCTCCTTGTACCTAACTGTGGACACACATGTGCAAGTACGTCTGTAATCCAAAATCCTGCAAGAGGAATTTCTAGGTTAAGATGGCATGTGCATTTTAAATTTGGCTAGAGATTTCTGCAGTGATGTCTGATCCTGTGCACCGTGCATTCATCATGTGACCCATTTCTAGTCCTTCTTGACCGCCCCCTCTCCTATGGGGATCCTGAGCTGATAGGGTCACTTCTGTCTCTCCCCCACACTGGAACAGCTCTCTCTAATCTACAAGATTAATTTTTTTTCCTAATCAAAACACAATTGCCAAGGATAGTTTGAAAAATATTAATTGTGTCTGTCATCCTGGGGCTCTGAGCACGTGAGCGTTTGGGATATAATCTTTGCAAATTGCCTATAGTTCATACAGCACAGCAAGAGCCTCTCTCTCTGCAGCCAGTCCTTTATGATCGATCATACCCACCCCCTCTCCCAATGGGCTGTATCCTAAGGGTAAGTAGACAGCATGGGTTCTCTTGCTTAAAAAAAATCGTTAACTCAACGGGGGCGCCTGCTGCTTGATTGGGAGTATGTCGGCATTTAGAGCCTGCTGGCTGCAATCTCACTACGCAGACTGGAAGTTGTGGGGTGTTTTTATCAGCAGGAAACAGCTTTGAGAGCGGAAGGGGAGTGAGAGTAGATGGATAGATGAGGGAATTCGAAGAGGAGGAAGCCGTGGGAGAAATGTCTTCTTTTAAAGACAGACAAGGCAGATTTCTCCAGCCCATCTCTCTGGAATGTCAAGTAGGAATGAAATGGGAAGTTGGGTTAATTCTACCAGGCCTGCCCAGCAACCAGCCTGTTCAGGTTCCCCAGGAGTTGCAGCCTGTTGTCTGAGACTGTGAGGTTCTCTTCCCTGAAGTGTCTTGTGGGAATTGGCTGGTGGCAGCATTTTCTCTGAGGTCCCAAAAATTCGAGTGGTCAAGAAGACACCCTGCAATGATCATTCCCCAACATTGGAGGCCATAAAAGTCAGTCTGGGTTTGCAAATACACACTGGAAGTCTCAGAGCTGGTGCAGACATCTCAGAGCTGGTGCAGACAGACACTGTGGCTGAGTGTGTGTGCCTTGTTCGTTATGGTTTCACTGCTACTGGATTGGTACCTGGTACACAGTAGGCACTGAAAAAATATTCACTGAAAGAAAGAGAAAACTTGATGGCAGTTGTAGGTCTGGGTCTGTTGGAATTTTTACCCCCAGGAAGAGATTTGATTTTAACTCAAAGCCAGTTGATAAACAGCCTCACCCAGCAGACAGAGGGCAGCTTGGGGGAAACTGGAGGGTATGTAGGGTGGGGTGGGGCTCTTATCTGTATGGACAATGCCATATATTTTCTGAAACTTGGATTTTTCTCCTTATAAGGGAGAAGATCCAAGAAGACAATGAAAAAACATTTGCCCCTGCCTTTAGAAAAAATAACCTTTTAATTTTTGGAATAATTTCAGATTTTTAGAAAAGTTGCAAAACATTTACAGAGAGTTCCACTGCATACCCCTCACCCAAAGTTTCCCCCTAATGCTAACATCTTATGCAACTGTGATGCCTTTGCCCCTACCATTTTGAGGTTAACAATTAAGTTAGTATAATACTTATTCTGTACCGAGCTCTATTCTATATCATTTTCCTGCAGTTGTTTATTTGACCCTTTCAGCATCCTTTGAGGAATAAGCACTGTTATAGCAGTCCCCATTTTACAGACGGGGAAGCTGAGGCTCAGCTAGACTCTAGCTAGTGTTCGAAACCTAAGTTGTCTGGCTCCAGTCTCTCACCCCTCACCATTATTATCTGCACAGTAATGATGGTAACTGTCATCTCTTGATGATAATGCGTTCAGGAACTGAGCTCAAAAGTTTTTCCCTCCCTCCCTTCCTCCCTTCCTTCCTTCCTTCCTTCCTTCCTTCCTTCCTTCCTTCCTTCCTTCCTCCCTCCCTCCCTCCCTTCCTTCCTTCCTTCCTTTTTTTGAGATAGGGTCTCACTCTGTCACCCAGTCTGGAGTGCAGTGTCACGATCGTAGTTCACTGTAACCTTGAACTACTGGGCTCAAGCCATCCTCCCACCTCAACTTCTTGAGTAGCTTTGACTACAGGCATAAGCCATCATGTCTACCTAATTTTTAGTTTTTTCTTTTCTTTTTTTTTTTTTTTCCTTTTTCTGTAGAGACAAAGTCTTGCTATGTTGCATGGCTGGTCTCAAACTCCTGGCCTCAGGAGCCCTCCTGCTTCAGCCTCCCCAAGTTCTGGGATTACAGGTGTGAGCTGCCACGCCCAGCCTACTTATGTTATTTCTAAACCCTCCCCTGACTCAGAGCTGTGGTAAAGAGCCCCGCTTTTGTTGTCCTGCTCAGGACAAAAATACATGGCCCCAGGCTTTTGTGAGTAGGATCCGGAAGGGAACTTAAGTGTGTGTGTGTGTGTGTGTGTGTGTGCACCCACGTGTGTGTGGGGGAGTGATAGAGATTCTCCTGGTTTCTGTCCTAGTTTTTTCTAAGCGTATGGAGACAGGTCTGCTCCGTACATCTGGGGATTGGTATTACCACATCATTTCCCCCCTAACAGCAGCAAAGATTCTCAAAGCTTCATCAGAGCATGAACAATCAGAAATGCCTTAATTTTGTTAGTCACAATAAATAATACTTTGATTAATTAGCAAGCACATGCCTTGGGAATATGAGAAAGTAAATGATTTCTACCCTAGATCTTTCAGATAGCTGGGAGGGAAGAGAGTATTAAAATACGCTTTTAACTATGGGTTTTGGATGGAGAAGAGGAGAATGCCGGAGAGGGGAAAGCAGCAGTGGAATTGTTCTTGGAGATAGGAGAAACTGAAACTCTTTCCACCCAGGGTCTTTGCAGAAAGTGGTTCCCACTGCCTGGAATACTTTTTCTTCTCTTTACATGGTGAGCTCTCACTCTAGTCTCAACTTAAATGTCTCCCCCTTTGACAGGCCCTTGCTAACATCCTGTTTCAAGTTCCTTCTGGATATTGATTAGGATGGTAAGCTTCATGAGGTTAAGGATCTCTGTTTCATCCACTGCTCCATCCTCTGGTGTCTGCAACGACGCTGGCACACCATAGGCCCTTATTAAATATGTGTCGACTAAATGAATATGTGGTCTTATTAAATATGTGTCGACTAAATGAATATGTGGTCTATTTCAAGTCCTCGTTTGTGTCTGCCCTAGAACTTAGCACTGTTTGCCATTAGCTTGTCTATTTCCTTGTGAATAGCTAGATTCCCTCATGAGCTATAAGGGCCACGATGGCAGGGGGTGTGTCTACCTTGTTCACCAAGGGTACCCAGGATGAACCTGGCCTGCAGCTAAGGGGGTGGGCTCTAGGGTCAGATTACTTGGGCTCAAATCCCAGATTTCCTATGTTCCAGCTGTGTGATTTCTGCTAATTGTCAAGCCACTCTGTGCCTCATTTTCCACATAGGTGCAAGAGGGGTGATAATAGCATCTATCTCTTGGGGTTGTTGAAAGAATTAAATATGTCAGTATTGGCTAAAACACTTAGAGGAAGCTGGGCGTGGTGGCTCATGTCTGTAATCCCAGCACTTTGGGAGGCTGAGGCAGGTGGATTGCTTGAGGCCAGGAGTTCAAGACCAGCCTGGCCAACATGGCGAAACCCCATCTCTACTAAAAATACAAAAATTAGCCAGACATGGTTGTGGGTGCCTGTGATTTCAGCTACTTGGGAGGCTGAGGCAGAAGAATCGCTTGAACCCGGGAAGTGAAGGTTGCAGTGAGCTGAGATCGCACTACTGCACTCCAGCCTGGGTGACAGAGCGAGTCTTCATCTCAAAAGAACAACAACAACAACAACAAAAAACCACAACACTTAGAAGAGTATCTAGCATATAGTAAGTGCTTCAGTGCTTTATACATGTCAGTTATTGGTAGTACTCAAAATATTTGGGATTTAAAAGTTGGGGGATTTTTACATAAAAGGCACTTTTCCTCTTTGAGTGGTAAAATCTCCCCTAAGAAAGAGGCAAGGACAGATGGAGATGATCTGAGAGGCCCAAGAGATCCTTAAAACCAGGCTTTTTAAGAAATCTGATGTTTTATTTCTCCGTATTGTCATGGAAAAGGCCAGCTTTTAGCATGCCTGGTGTTTCTGGTGTTTTCTTCTCTTCACTGTTTTCTACATTTCTTTCTTTGCATTGGTCCTTTTTTTTTCTTTTTTTTTTTTTTAATAAAAAAAAAATAGCACAGCTCGGAGTCTTGCTTGCTGACTTACTGCTAGAGTGTGGGATCCATTGCTTCCATTTAGAGAAGCAGCCGGCCCTGGAATGTGGCCGCAGGGCTGCCAGGCTGACTCTGTGAGCTGAGCTGGCGAGGAATGCACTTTGCAGCTTGCACTGAGTTTGGCCTTACGTCTGTGGAATTTCTTCTCTCTTCTTACTCATTCGTGTCGTTAAATAAATAACAACACAAGCAGTGCATCCTCCCGGTTATAATGGCAAACAGTACAATGTGTTACAACACACAGTAGCTTGAAGAGGATATCTCTCTCCTGTGGTAGATGCTTCATTCCCCAGAACTTCACTCCTCACCCCCAGAATAGGTTGCCCAGTTAACAGGATGCCTGGTTCAGTCTGCATTTTGGGTAAACAAGGAACACCTTTTTAGTATAAGTATGTCCCAAATATTGCATAGCACCAACTTATCCTAAAACACTATTTGTTGTTTATGTGCTATTCAGGTTTAACTGGGCATTCTGTAGTTTTATTTGCTAAATCTGACAACTCCAGAGAGTCTCCTAGAACCAGTTTCCTGTATTTTCTTCCAGTAATTTTCCAAGCATGTGCAACCTATGGATATCTTGGCAGACTTACTCCTGGTAGAATTCCCATCACCTAGAACAGTGCTTAGGACATTGTAGGTGCTTAATAAATATGGGTTGAATGAGTGATTGACTCTGTACCCACCCCATTTTTCTTCACATAAGTGGAAATATATTATAGTGTTGTTTCATATGTAGCTTTTCCTTTTAATAATGTCTCATGGGGATTGATACATAGAGCTGCCTCATACTCCTCTAAGGGTTTCCTAGCATTCCCTTTTATGATGCATAATGTATTTAACCAGTCCCCTGATGATCGACATTGGTGCTGTTGAGAGTCTTTAGCTATTATAAACAATAAGGTAGTGAGCATTCCTATATATGTTTACCTCTGTGGGTTTGACGACGTGCAAGGATAGGTGTCGCATTGGAATCATGAGGACGGAGGATATGTGCTTTAAAATGTGGATTGATGTTGCTGAATTGCTTTCTGTACAGGATCTGTTCACACTTCCCTCAGACAGCTTGTTCCCCATCTCCTTACCAACATAGAATATTATCAAACTTTTTCATTTTGCCAATCTGATCAGTGAAAAACTAGTATCTCGCTATCATCTTAATTTACATCTCTTTGCTTATGAGAACATTTTTATGTTTGAAAGCTCTATTTCTTTTTCTGTGAACTGCTTCTTCTTTTTTGCCTATTTTTTTCTACTTATTGATTTTTAACCGGTTTTTGTTTGTGAAAGAACATGTCTGTTAGCCTGGCATATGTTTTATATATAATGTAATTTATAAAATTGGTGTTTAACTTTGAAAAAGTGATTTATTATGGATTTTTTAAACTCTGTAGACATTAAAAAATTCCTCAGTAGTCAATTTATGAGTCTTTTCTTCCACATATTCTACATTTTGTGTCTTGCTTAGAAAGGCCTCTTACTCAATGAGATTATAGAGGAATTCTCCCATATTTTCTTTTACTACTTTAACTTCTTTTTTTTTGCATTTAAATCTTTAATCCATCTGGAATTTATTTTGGTTTTAGGAGGGAGGTGAGGATCTAGCTTTATTTTTTACCAGATGGCCAGCCAGTTGTCCCAATACCATTTATTGAATAATCCATCGCTTCCCACAGAATTGAAATGCTGCCTTTATCATATATTAAATTGTGGAGGAGGGATTTTATACTCATTTTCTGACAGCCTCCAGTGCCAGCTAGGCAGCAAGGATTTTAGGGGGTTTCAGCTGACTAGAGGCAAAGATCCTGACCTGAAGGATAACCGCAATTTATTAAACCAGAAATACTCTGTGTAGGAACAGTGGGTTTCCTGGGTGGGGACAGGGTTGGGGTGGGGGAAAGTGAGTGTCCCGTGCTGGGAGGAATTTAGTTACAGCAAGATTTCTCAACCTTGGCATTATTGACATTGGGGGGTGGAATAGGTCTTTGTTGGAGCCTGTCCCATGTAGTGTAGGATGTTTAGCAGCATCCTTGGTCTCTACCCAGTATACACCAGTATTAACTTCACCCTGATTTGTAACAATCAAAAATGTCTCCAAACATTGCCCTGGGTGGCAAAATCATCTTCAGTTGAGAATTACTGCTTTATCAAGCCTGGGTCGAGCAGACCTCCCATCCATTTCTTTTAAACAGAGGCAGGGTCTTGTTCCGTTGCCCATGCAGTGCATGATGTGATCATAGCTCACTGCAGCCTCAAATTCCTGGCTCAAGCCATCCTCCTGCCTCAGCCTCTGGGGAAGCTAGGACTATACCACATGCCCAGCTAATTTTTTAGTTTTTGTAGAGACAGGGTCTTACTATGTTGCATAGGCTGGTCTCAAACTGCTGGCCACAAGCAATCCTCTTGCCTAGGCCTCCTGAAGCACTGGGATTATGGGCGTGAGCCACTGTGCCCAGCCTGAACAGACCGTTGATTAGATGCATGTGAGGCCCTTTCTTGTTCTGAGAGTCTGTCATCAGCAGTATCAATGGCTCCAGATGTCTGGGAGGCAGGAAGGGAGGTGCCTATCTATCTCAGAGACCAGAACACCCAGATTTCTGGTATGAGTGTGGGGTCTGTGGGGAAAGGGTGGAACCATACCGGTCGACTCCGGGAGGAACAGAGGTTCCCACCTAGCCCTACAGGTGAATCTTGCAAAACTCCCTAGGACCTGCCTGGGAGCCTAGCCATTCCCCCTGCTAACCACACCCCCAGACAACAAGGCCTGGCCATGGATCCAGGAACAATGACTCTGAGAACCGGAGGTGGCAGATGTTTTGTGATTTAACAGCATATCGGTTTATTGTCTTATTTTTCTTAGGAGTAAAAGAGTCCATGGGTGTATTGTTGGGGGCAGCAGGAAGCACACGTGTCTATTCGGAGATTTGGGGCAGCAGGTGGGGAGAGAAAGTCCATCTAGACGAGGGAGGTGTGGGAGTGAGATGGAAGAGGAGAGGGAAGTGGGTGGAATCCCTGGGAGCTGGGGGAAGGAGGAAAACACAGAGAGGAGCTGGCTGAGGTTTGAGCAAGGCCTCTGGAGATTGGTGAGAGCTGGGGCGGCGGGGATTCTTTATGACAGTGCTGCAGAGGGAAAAAGGATTGTTGCTGAGTTGGGTGGAGGTAGGTAGGAGTGATTTGAAGAAGGAGGTCCCCTTGGGAAGTTGCATTAGTGGGTGAATGGGGGTTTTATAGGCCAGGCAGAGAATATGGGGAGGGCAACTCCAGCAGATGAACAGCTTTTGCAAGACACCTGTGTGGAGCATGTGGCACCACCTGAGCGTCCTCCCCAGGTGCGGCTCTAACACAGGTGCAGGTTATGTTGGGAGATAGAGAGCCAGAACTCAGGAGTGCCTTGGGTGCCTTGCTGTAAGATTTGGGCTTTCCCTTTATTTCTTTTTTTTTGAGACGGATTCTCGCTCTGTCGCCCCAGGCTGGAGTGCAGTGGCGCCATCTCGGCTCACTGCAAGCTCCGCCTCCCGGGTTCATGCCATTCTCCAGCCTCCCGAGTAGCTGGGACTACAGGTGCCCACCACCGTGCCCAGCTAATTTTTTTTTTTGTATTTTTAGTAGAGACGGGGTTTCACCGTGATCTCGATCTCCTGACCTCATGATCCAGCCGCCTCAGCCTCCCAAAGTGCTGGGATTACAGGCGTGAGCCACCGCGCCCAGCCTGGGCTTTCCCTTTATTTCAAAACACTCCTCACCCACTCAATATAGAAAACCAAAAAATAGAGGTGAGCAAAAGGAAGAGAGTGAAGAACAGCGTGGTGTCACCCACCCAGTGGCCACCTCCATAAACGCTGTCCAGTTTCCTCTGCACGTCCTTAGCATGCTCCCTGCACACCCACTGGGACACCAGCTTTGTGAAGGCAGGGGTTTGTTTTGTTTTGTTTACAGAGCTAGGCGAACAGTTGGCACTCAGTAACTGTGTAATGAATGGATCTGTACTGCAAACCTGATATCACTTGCTCTTTTCACTTCGAAGTTCATGATTCGCTTCCTTGTTAGTAGATACCTTTCTGGGACAGGTTTTTAATGGGCACAAATTATTGGACTGGGTAAATAGGCCACATTTCACGGAACCAACACCCTCCTGCTTTTTATCAGTTTTCTTCCACATTCCTCTATCACAAGTGCTTTCATTTGTTTGGGCTGCTGTAACCATGGGTGGCTTAAGTGACGGAAATGTATTTTCTCACAGTTCTGGAGCTGGAGGTCTGAGGTTCTTGGCGAGACCCTCCTCTTGGCTTATAGATAACCTCTTTCTCCTTGTATTCTCACGTGGCAGAGAGCAGAGAGAGGAAATCAGCTCTCTCATGTCCCTTTTTAAAAATTCACATACATTTAAGTTCAAGTGCAGTTTTATTACATGGGTATATTGCATGGTGGTGAAGTCTGAGCTTTTTGAGTAACCATCACCCAAATAATGTACATTGTATCTACTAAGTAATTTCTCATCCCTCACCCTCTTCCCACCCTCCCAAGTCACTATCATTCCACACTCTATGTCCGTGCACACACATTATAAGCTCCCACTTGTAAGTGAGAACATGCGGTATTTGGCTTTCTGTTTCTGAGTTGTTTCAGTTAAAATATTGACCTCTAGTTCCTTCCACATTGCTGCAAAAGATGCGATTTCATTCCTTTTATGGCTGAGTAGTATTCTGTGGTGTATATAGACCACATTTGCTTCATCCATTTTGAGTCCCTTCTTATAAGGGCCTTGATCCCATTCAGAAAGTCTCCATGATCTGATCTAATCTCATGATCTAATCACCTCCCAAAGGCCCCACCTCCTAAAAGCAACACACTGGGGGGTTAGGCTTCAACCAATTAATCTGTAGAGGACAAACACGTTCAGTCCATAGCAGGAAGCAGTGCCGCCATGGGGAAGAGCATTGTCGTGAAACCTTTTGCCCCTCTTGTTGAGTTTTCTCCTCCAGCACACCCTGAACATGCTGACAGTGTCACCTTCCTCTTTACTTGTCCCTCTTCCGCTCCAAGTTGCCTCCTGGCTTCCCAGTGTCTCTGTGGGCTTGAGACCAGAGCTTGTCATAAGAGATAGATGACGTCACTTGATGGAAAGAGTCAAGTGCAGTGACCAGCACATAGAAGGCGGCCATCAACATTGGTTTCATCCTTTAGAGCAAAGTTTCCCCAAGCGCCTGGTGTGCACTGGTGAGATTTGGGGACGGGGTGGTACTTAAGACCTGGCACTAATTAACACTAGATCACTGTGTGGGAAACATAGTCCCTTTTCTGTTCTCTTCAAATCCTTCTGATCGGGCTGAGGAGAAAGCCTCAGGTTGGTGCTGATGTGCTTTTTTCTCCCAGACCCCCATCCTAACAGAAACAGAGCAGGTCTCAGGCTCGGGCCGTTAGGCAATGATGTCAAGCCAGAATGAACTAACATTATTTTGTTCTCGTTGTGTTTTATTTTCATGGGAAACTTAGAGTTATATTCAGAGATATTGATTTTTTTAATCCCATTTAAAAATAATGTTTTAATTGAGATAAAATTCATATAATGTAAAATTCACATTTTAACCATTTAAAATGTACAATTCAGTGGTTTTAAACATATTTATAATGTTGTAAGCCATCACCACTATTTAATTCCAGAACATTCTCATCACCCCCGAAAGAAACCCTGAACCCCATTAGCAGTCGCTCTCCATTTTTTTTCTCTCTTCCCTGCGGCCCCTGGTAACCAACAAACTAATTCCGTTTCTGTAGATTTGCCTATCCTAGACATTTTGTATAAATAGAATCATACAATGAATGATCCTTTGTGACTGGCTTCTTAGAATAATGTTTTCAAGGCTCATCCAAGGCATGTATCAGTACCTCATTCCTCTTAATGGTTAGATCACTTTCCATTGGGTGGATGGACCATATTTTGTCTATTTATTCATCAATTAGTGAGCATTTGAGTTGTTTCCACTTTTTGGCTGTTATAAATAGCCATAAACGTATATATGCTTTTTTTTTTTTTTTTTTTTTTTTTGAGACAAGGTCACCCAGGCTGGAGCGCAGTGGCACAATCACAGCTCATTGCAGCCTTGAACTCCCAGGCTCAAGTGATCATCTTCCACCTCAGCTTCCCAGATAGCTGGGACTACAGGCATGTGCCACTATGCCCAACTGATTTGTTTATTTTTTGTAGACACAGGGTCTCACTTTATTGCCCAGGCTGTTCTTCAACTCCTGAGCTCAAGTGATCCACCCACCTCGGCCTCCCAAAGTGCTGGGATTACAGGCATGCGCTACCATGCCTGGTCCAATTTTTTGTATAAGCATGTTTTCAATTCTCTTGGGTGTCTTCCTAGGAGTGGAATTGCTGGGCCCTATAAGAGCTCTGTGTTTAACTTTTGCAGGCCATTTCCTGAGTGACTTTAAGTTGAAAAGTAAGTCAGTTTAAAGAAAACTATTAATCATATTGCAGATGGTGTGTGGACATGACAAACGTCATAAACGTGGTTTGCAGTGATGGAAGAGTAGAAATCCTGCTTGGACATGACCTCCTCCATCAACTGTTTCCCACTCACCTTTCCAGCCTGTGGTGCCTCTGTTCCCAGGAGCCTCAGTGCAGCCACGCTGGCCTCTGAACTGTCTTACATGAGATGTCCTTCTTCAAAGATACTGCCGTTTGTCTTGTCCTGGGATATGCGCGACCCACATTTTTTTTTTTTTTTTTTTTTTTTGAGATGGAGTCTCACTGTTTGCCCGGGCTGGAGTGCAGTGGCAGGATCTCGGCTCACTGCAACCTCCGCCTTCTGGGTTCAGGTGATTCTCCTGCCTCAGCCTCCCGAGTAGCTGGGATTTCAGGTGCGCACCACCATGCCCAGCTAAGTTTTGTATTTTTAGTAGAGACGGAGTTTTGCCATGTTAGCCACGCTAGTCTCGAACTCCTGACCTCAGGTGATCCACCCACCTCCGCCTCCCAAAGCGCTGGGATTACAGACATGAGCCACTGTACCTAACTGCGCCACCCCTTTATACCCTCCAGGGAGCTGGACTTTTCAGAGATCATCTTTCACTTAGAATCTACCGTTTAACCCTTAATTGCATTTCCCCTCATATTATTATACTCACTAATGATTTTGTTGGAGAATCTTTTGCCTCTGCTATAAGCCACTTGAGGGTAGCATCTATATTCAAGTAGTCCATTGTTCCTCTCATAGTGCAGCCTCACCTGATCAATGGTGAACAGCTGCTGATGAACAGAACCTTCCCTGGAGGCCCCTGTTCTACTGAATCTTGGTCAGCCCCGTGTCCTGATGCTTGCCCTGCTTGCTGTTACTTTTTGCCTGTGGTTTTACTGTTTAGTTAACTTCTTCTTTTCCTTTCTTTCTTTCTTCTTTTTTTTTTTTTTTTTTTTTTTGAGACAGAGTCTCTCTCTGTTGCCCAGGCTGGAGTGCAGTGGCGTGATCTAGGCTCACTGCAGTCTCCGCCTCCTGGGTTCCAGCGATTCTCCTGCCTCAGCCTCCAGAGTAGCTGGGATTGCAGACGTGTGCCACCTCACCCGGCTAATTTTTGTATTTTTAGTATAGATGGGGTCTCACCCTGTTGGGCAGGCTGGTCTCGAACTCCTGACCTCAGGTGATCCACCCTCTTTGGCCTCCCAAAGGGCTGGGATTACAGGTGTGAGCCACCGTGCCTGGCCTTTATTTATTTATTTATTTATTTATTTTTTGATATGGAGTCATGCTCTGTTGCCTAGGCTGGAGTGCAGTGGTGCAATCAAAGCTCACTGCAGCCTCGAACTCCTGGGCTCAAGTTGTCCTCCTGCCTCAGCCTCCCAAGTAGCTGGGACTACAGATATGTGCCACCACGCCCAGCTAATTGTTGTATTTTTTATAGAGACTGGTCTTGAACTCCTGGGCTTAAGCGATCTGCCCACCTTGACCTCTCCAAATGCTGGGATTGCAGGCAAATCAGATTGTTTCACAGACTTCAGAATGGAGGCTGAGGTTCAAGGAGGTGGACACCAGGCAGCCCTGGGAGGCCATCTTCCATCCAGTATGTAGAGTAAGGAACAGGAAAGCAGGTGTACCGAGAGGCAAGAACCATGAATATGGACAAGGAGAAGCCGAGAGAACACAAGGGGAGACCCAACTGTCTTCCAGTTCCCAGTTCTCTTCCTTTCCTTCAGCCAGACCGACCTTCCTCCTATTGGGCCCAAATCATGTCAAAAAAAAAAAATCTGACTGGCCAGGCTTAGTCAAGGAGGGGATCATAGAGTCCCAGTGCCATGGGTGAGGGAGGCAGTCAGTGTAGACATCATATCACTGGGGAGATAAGCCTTCAATGGTGCCCACTATTGGGTGAAAAGGCAGACCTGGAGCTCTGAACTTCAGCTTCCCCTTCTTCCCAAGGTTGTAGAAGTGGGAAAGCCAAGCTAGTCATTTCTGAGTGCGGGAGGAGAATAATGTGACAAAAATGGTTAACATCAGACTAGCTAGCCTTGAAAGCTTGAGTCTGAACGGTGATATCTTAGGAGAGGGGAAAAAATAAGCATGAAGCTGTGGCTCTGCTCCATTTCTGGGGAAGGAAGCTCTTCTGACTTTTCTGGCTCAGTGCAGGAAGGGTTGAAGAATCTCTTAAAATCTCCTGAGTCCTCTTTGTCCTTCATCTCAGAATTCCTGTGCAGGTGATGTTTGGCTGTATGCTCCACGAAAGGAATAGGGAACTTGGCTCCCTCCCTCCAGGGACTGTTGCTGCTCCTCTGAGTTTCCTTAGCTTAAGCTGTGCCCCCTGTGTGCCATTTGCCTTGGGACAGAGATGGCCCCCATTTTCCAATCCTGTTGTAGGGGTGGGAATGCTCCCCAGTATGTGAAAATATCCCCAAGCTGTGTTTTTTTTTTCTTTTCTTTTGGGGCAGGCTCTTGTGTTGCCCAGGCTGGAGTGCAGTAGCACAATCATAGCTCACTGCAGCCTCAAATTCCCAGGCTCAAGCAATCTTGCTTCAGCCTCCCGAGTTCCTAAGTAGCTGAGACTACAGGCATGTGCCTCCCTGCCCAGCTAATTTTCATTTTATTTTATTATTTTTGGGATGAGGTCTTGTTATGTTGCCCGGGCTCATGTCAAACTCCTGGCCTCAAGTGATCCTTCTGCCTCAGCTTCCTGAACAGCTGAAATATCCCTAGGCTTTTAAGCCTCAGTTACTTAATCAACACAGTGGGGCCAGTACAGCCCATCATTGGCATTTGTGGATTTGGCAGTGGTGGTTCCTTTTCTCATTAGCTACCCAGAAGATCCTTAGCACAGCATCATAAGTCACTGTCTTGAAACTCCACCCTGAATTGGATGCTTGGTGAGCATCTGGGAGAGGCAGAATGGTGTTGGAACCAAGATTGTGGGCTCTGGAGTGAGATTTCTCTGTAAGTCTGGACACCACCCCTTGGTTGGGTGATCTTGGGCAAATTAATTAATGTCTCTATGCCTCATTTTCCTTGCCCATAAGTGCGGATGACATAGCACCCACCTCACAAGGCTGTTGGGAGGTTTAAATGAGTTAAGACCTGCACAGCCCTTAGAACAGGGAGCTTTCAATATGTGTTGGCCACAGCTCTTGTGCCCAATCGATTTCACTCATTTGGGCAATGCCTGGGTTCTAGATGAAGGGGGAGGAGGCTGCCTGTAGTGTCTTCTTCATGGGCCAGTCCAGCTCTGCAGTGGACTGTACTGGTGATGTCCACCGTGCCTCAGCTTTTAAGCATATATTCTCCTTGAAAACTATTTAAGCAGAACACACTGGGGTCAAGCCAGTCCAAGCCAGATGTTTGGGGTCCTGGGTGCTTCTGTTTTCTCCATGTCTGTTTACCTTTAACAAGATGGATGGGGGCTGTGAAGCCCCTCTGGGCAGCCTTTTCTGGCTGTGACATGCACCAGAAACCCACTTTTGGCCTGTTTGCACTGTGTTAGAAAACAGCAGGTGCAGTTGGCAGCCTCTCCCCTACCCCTTCTCCCGTTAGCCCCTGATCTCTGGGGACTCCTTAGACTAATGCAGTTTTAATGAATACACATTACTGTTTACATGACTGAAATGAGAGGCTGGCTGCTTATTTTATGCTGAGGTTTACAGCCCTGCCTTTTAAAACCCTCTCTCCCTTGCTCTGCTTCTGGCCATGGCGATATTTTCTGGCGGCCCCTATGCTGTCCCTCCAAATAAGGAATTCACCATGAAGTCCTGCAGCAGTGTCAGAGCCATTGCCTTGCCCCGGAAGGAGTGAACTGTGTAGAACAAAAGCAGAGGCTGGGAGCTGTAGTTCACGCCTGTAACCCCAGCACTTCGGGAGGCAGAGGCAGAAGGATTGCTTGAGCCCAAGAGGTCTAGACCAGCCCTGACAACACAGTGGGACCCCAGTCTCTATAAAAAATACAAAATACAAAAATACAAAAATTGATGACCTGCACCTGTAGTCCCAGCTACTAGTGGACACTGAAGTAGGATGATTGCATGAGCCCAGGAGGTGGAGGCTGCAGTGAGCTTTGATTGCACCACTGCATTCCAGCCTGGGCAAGAGTGAGACTCTCTATCAAAAAAAAAAAAAAAAAAAAAAAGCAGAAAGATGGATTCTTTATTTTTTTAATTTAAAAATACTTTTTACAATTCTTAAATGCTTGCTTATGATAGAACAATTAGAAAATGAAGGTATACAAAGAGAAGAAAATAAAAATCACCTCTAATTCCACTACTCAGAAAAAACTCGATCGTTAACATTCCTGTTTATGTTTTAGCATATTTTAATCAATCTACATTTATATGTATTTTAAATTAAAATTAGAAACCAAACTTAATACATGTTATTCAGAAATCTGCTTTTTACCCTACCTCACAATTAATATATGATGAATGTCTTTCCGAGTTAAGAAATATAGATCTGCAGTATCTTTTCTTTAATTTTAATTTTAATTTTTTAGAGACAGGATCTTGCTCAGTTGCCCAGGCTGGAGTGCAGTGGGGTGATCACAGCTCACTGCAGCCTCAATCTCCTGGGCTCAAGCGATTCTCCCACCTCAGCCTGCCGAGTAGCTGGGACTACAGGTGCATGCCACCACATGTGGCTAATTTTTTTTTTTTTTTTTTTTTTGAGACGAGGTCTTACTATGTAGCCCAGGCTGGTCTTGAACTCCTGGCCACAAACAAGCAGTTCTCCCACCTCAGCCTTCCAAAGTGCTGGGATTACAGGCTTGAGCACCATGCTCGATATTGCAGTATCTTTTTTTATGCATCATTGTATCCTATTCTATAATTGTTTCTATGGTCTCATTTGTAGAAAGGTTAACATTAAATTTCGAATAGTTATATGTACTCACTGGTTCAAAATTAAAAAGGCACAAGAGCTTTAATACTTTTATTGAAAGATTTCTCTCCTATCCCTAGCCCTTAGGCCACTCTGTTCACCTCCTTTTTGGCACCCAATATTCAACTAATAATACCAATTTATTGTGTATACTTCTGGAAATAGTTCATAATGTACATGCACATCATATACATTTATTTTTCTCTTCCTCAAACACGTACATTCAAATGTTAGCTTACCTTGCTTTCTTCACTTCACAATATCCTGTATCTTGGTGTTTGTTCCATGTCAGTGCATATAGAACATCCTCATTCTTTTTTTTGAAACAGAGTCTGGCTTTGTCACCCAGGCTGGAGTGCAGTGGTGTGATCTTGGCTCACTGCAGCCTCTGCCTCCTGGGCTCAAGCAATCCTCCTACCTTAGCCTCCTAAGTAGCTGGGACTACAGGCACACACCACCATGACTGGCTGATTTTTGTATTTTTTTTTTTCATTGTTGTTGGTAGAGACAGGGTTTGTCCCTGTTGCCCAGGCTGGTCTTAAACTCCTGGGCTCAAGTGATAGGGTCACCTGGGCCTCCCAAAGTGTTGGGGTTACAAGAGTGAGCCACTGCACCCAATGTCTCATTCTATTTTTATTTATTTATTTTTTGAGACAGAGTCTCGCTCTGTTGCCCAGACCGGAGTGCAGTGGTCTTGGGTCACTGCAACCTCCACTTTCCAGGTTCATGTGATTCTTCCACCTCAGTTTCCTGACTAGCTGGGATTACAGGTGTGTGCTACCACACCCGGCTAATTTTTGTGTTTTTAGTAGAGATAGGGTTTTGCCATGTTGCCCGAGCTGGTCTCAAACTCCTGACTTCAGATGATCCACCTGCCTCCCAAAGGGTTGGGATTACTGGCGTGAGCCACCACGCCCGGCCACCTCATTCTGTTTTATGATTGCATCGTGGTCCATAGTATGGGCATCCCTGGGGTGTTTCCAAAATTGGGATATATTGACTCAGAAACCCTTCCTGTGGTTCTGTCCAAGCTCCTTGTTCATATGACCTGGCCTGGGGTGACTGGAGGAAGGATGTCCATTCGGAGATTAGGAGGGACTGCAGCTCTCGATTATGAATGGGATTGGCCTCCACAGGCCTGAGTGACAAGGACAAAGCAGAGCTGGTGAGCCCCATGCCAGGTGGCGGTCACTGGTGGAAGGCCATTTGTGACTTCTCTGCAGTTCTCCAGATGGACCACATTTAAAACAGAGGCACTGCCATTCATTTCTACTTGGTTGAGGAAAGGTTTCATCGCAGGCCCAGAGAGAGGATCAGATGTTTTTTGCAGTTTCTGGCAAGACATTAGTGGGTATCAGAGGGTAAGTGATCTCGTAAAGCTGACTCAAAGCAAGAGAAAATTTCGTGTCTGTCTTAGAAACACATTTGCCTCCAAAGGGAAGGCAGGGTGTGGAGGACTAATCAACGCATTTCACATTTGGTTTCTTTGTCTTTCTTGGTGATCTTACGTGACTAGCCCTGAATATTTTGCATATGTCAAGGAAACATTTCAAATTACTAAGATGAGAGGAAAATATGGGGAATGAATAAAATGGGGTTTATCAGCAAGAACAGCAAAAGACTTCTTAGAGCCGGCTGGGGATTGTTTTGTGAATCTCTAAACAAGAGGGGCAGTTTGACTTGGGGATGGGGGATGTTTTGACACTTGGAGGGATGGGAGGGAGCCAACAAAGATGTAAAGCAAAACTGGGATGGTGGTGATGGAGAAGCAGTGGGGGTTTCTATGGGAAGACATAGGAAATAATGGTCTGTCCTTCACAGAGTAGGTGAGGTCTACTAGAAGATACTTATCTTTTCCCTAAATTTCAGTCAACTTCACATGATTAAGTTTCCATTATTAAAGACTTGTTCTTTGTGTTACCTTTTTATTATTATTATTATTATTATTTTTTTTTTTTTGAAATAGAGTTTCACTCTGTCACCCAAGTTGGAGTGAATTGGCGTGATCTTGGCTCACTGCAACCTCCACCTCCTGGGCTCAAGAGATTCTCGTGCCTCAGCCACCCGAGTAGCTGGGACTACAGGCACACACCACCAGGCCTAACTAATATTTGTATTTTTAGTAGAGGTGGGGTCTTGCCATGTTGGCCAGGCTGGTCTCGAACTCCTGGGCTCAAGTAATCCACCCGCCTCGGCCTCCCAAAGTGCTGGGATTACAGGCATGAGGCACCATGCCAGGCCTTTTGTGTTACTTTTGTAAGAGATGAAATGAAACTAATATCTAATCAAATCTAAGCATCAAGCAATTAAAAATATTTTCTTAAATAACTATTGAGTTAAATAGGACTCAAAAGTACAATTGCAGAGAGGCTATAAATGAAAAAAAATAGAGTGCTATATAAAACAATGGATAAGATCAGCCAATGCTGTGCTTGCAGATAAGTTCATAGCTTTAATACTTTTATGATTAAGGATTGAGATGACTTGCTTTGAGCATAATCTGGCTATTCACTTATTCTAAGGAACTTGTCATGGCTCAAACATGTTTCTAGTATCCTCTTTAGAAATTCCGTTTAGATACAGTTTTCTTTATTAAACCTTCTAAGGTGACTATTTCAAAGATGAAACATTCATTTTGTTGTTTAAATTAACACGTATTTTTTAAAGGGTTATGTAAATGTGTTATCCATCAAGTATATCTTTGAGCCTTCATCACAGTGTGATGTAAGGGATATAAGTTGTTAAGGATCCAGCAGTAGAGAAAATTTCTGCACAAAAGTAACTATAGCTCTATTACTTTTGGAATATTCCCTAGGATACATCCAAAACCAAATCAAATTATACTACTTATAAAACACATTTGGAAAGATACTATGTGAATATGCTTTGAATACTGAGGCTTATGTTAGAACAGAGTCATGGACGAATTTGCAAAAAAAAAAAAACCTCCAAAATTTCCTGGAGTCTGACAAAAATACCGGATAGGGTTCCTGAATATATTTTCATGATCTTTGCTATATAACCAGATATCTCTATATTTTGAAATGGATCATATTTTATTAGTTTTTCTTAGTACACAAGCAACATGCTATCATTGCAGATGCCAGAAAGTAGGATCACATTGTTGTGCTATAGATCTCCAGAACTTCTTTATCTTGCAAAACTCAAAAACTCTATCATTTCTCAAACTCAAAACTCAACAATTCTCCATTCCCTCTTCCTCCACCCCATGGCCACCACCATTCTACTTTGTCTCTATGAATTTGAATACTATAGGTATCTCATATAAGTGGAATCATCCAGTATTTGTCATCTTAAGATTTCTTTCTTTGTGTAACGTTATCAAGGTTGATCCACATTGTTGCGTGTGTCAGAAGTTCCCTTCTCTTTTAAAGGCTGAATATTTCATTGCTTTATAGACTGCACTTTTTTATCCATTCATTTGTCAATGGACAGTTGGATTGCTCTCATCTTTTGGCTATTGTGAATAATGCTGCTATGAACAGGAGTGTACAAATATCTCTTCAAGGCCCTGTTTTCAATTCTTTTGGCTATGAACCCAGAAGTGGAATTGCTAGATTAAATGGTAATTCTATTTTTAATTTGTTGAGAACCACCATACTTGTTTTCATAGTGGCTGCACCATTTTGCATTCCCATCAACAGTGCACAAGGATTTTTCCACATCCTCACCAGCACATGTTATTTTCTTTTTCTTTTTTTGATAGTAGCCATTTAATGGGTATGAGGTGGTATCTCATTGTGGTTTTTGATTTGCATTTTGCTAATGAGTGATGCTGAGCATCTTTTCATGTGCTTATTGGCCATTTATGTGTCTTCTTTGGAGAAATTCTATTCAAGTTGACTTCTATGATTTTGCATTATCACATCTGTATTGATTCAAGCAAGCCAACTAGAATAAATTCTGGCATTTAAACCGATTTTGTGGTTTTTCTGCAAATAAATTCTGCCCCCAAATAACCTCCAACTTTCTGGAAGCAGTCAGCAGGAGTACAGTTCTGAAGATAACTTTCTTTAAAAAAGGAAATTCATAAAATATCATGCATCTTCCTTTTTTGACACTAATGGAACAATTTAATGTAATTTCAGAGGGAAGCAGAGCCCCTGGAAAGGCTGGTGTGATAAGGGAAGGTTACCCAGCTTTCCTGTCAGGCGGTGTGTGGGAGCAGAGAGTGGCATTCTCTGCATACTCTTGGGGAGAAGAGTGGGTGAGACAGGCTGCTCAGGGCTGGGGCAGAGCCCAGGGGAAGGGGATGGAAGGGGAAGAACAGCCCTTCAAGAGTCCTGCAGAAATTGGTGGAAGTTATTTAACAGAAGTGTTCGGCTCCACCCAGCACATTCTGTTGCCTTCTACATACAGAGTGTGTTAGTCTGTTCTCATGCTGCTAATAAAGACACACCTGAGACCAGGTAATTTATAAAGGAAAGAGGTTTAATGGACTCACAGTTCCACATGGCTGGGGAGGCCTCACGATCATGGCAGAAGGCAAATGAGGGGCAAAGTCACGTCTTACATGGTGGCAGGCAGGAGACAGCATGTGCAGGGGAACTCCCATTTATGAAACCGTCAGATCACCTGAGATTTATTCACTACCATGAGAACAGTATGGGGGAAACCACCCCCATGATTCAGTTATTTCCACCTAGCCCCACCCTTGACATGCAGGGATTATTACAATTCAAAGTGAGATTTGGGTGGGGCCACAGCCAAACCATATCACAGGGTAATGAAGAATGTGTGCCCAAGTAGTAGAGGGCTTAAGAAAACCACTCTTGGGCTCTGAGTCTCTCTAGGTCTCAGTTTCCTCATCTTTCAAATGGCAATATTAATAAGACCCACCTCATAGGGATTGTGTGGGGTTTAAATGAGAAAAGACAGGTAAGGTGCTGGTACCTTATAAGTGATTAAGTTGCCATTAAGGTATTGGGGACTTAGTGCTTGTCCTTGAAGAGCTTTCGGTCTCGTGAGGAGACAGCCTGATCGTTATAAACTATTATAGAAAATGGGAAGAAATAAGGGTTGAGGTGTGATAAAGATGTGCTAGGCCAGGCAAGATGGCTCACGTCTGTAATCCCAGCACTTTGGGATTACAGGTGGGCAGATCACTTGAGGCCAGGAGTTCAAGATCAGCCTGACCAACATGGCAAAACCCTGTTTCTACTAAAAATACAAAAGTTAGCTGGGTGTGGCGGCACCCATCTGTCATCCCAGCTACTTGGGAGGCTGAGGCAGGAGAATTGCTTGAATCTGAGAGGCAGAGGTTGCAGTGAGCCAAAATTGCACAACTGTACTCCAGCAAGACTCTGTCAAAAAAAGAAAAAATAAATAAAAAAAGATATGCTATACCCTCATATCACAATAATGCCAGGAAATAGATCATTAATTCTGAACCCTAATTCTTGGGTGGGCATCAAGGCAGGCCTCACAAGAAGAAGGCATTTGAGTTGAATCTTATAGGCTCAGCTGGGTTCCAACAGCAAAGACTTAGGGAAAGGGCAGAGCAGGCAGGGGAACAGTAAGAGCAAAGGCTTGAAGGCATGGAAGTTCATGGGTAATTACTGACTGAGATGTTTGGTGTTATGGTGCATAGAACACTATCGGATGATAATGAAAACATTGAATTCCAGCATGTTTAGAAGGACATTGGCTGATAAAAATGACGTCTTAATAGTTATCTGTGGACAAATTTGTAAATGTAAAAGAGTTGTAGACTCAAATCCTACAGAAATTAGGCAGGAGACCTAAATGAGTGAAGTGGGTGGGTATAAAACAGAGGTGGTGGCAGGAACCCATGTTGAATTGAATAGTGGGTGTTTTGTTTAAAGGGGCACCAGTAGTAATTTTTCCTCTGTTGGAATATGATCCTAGGGCTGCCAGCTCTTCTACTTTTTCAAGAGAAGCCAGAAATCTGGATTTCATGCAAAATTTCTTGTTTTTCTTTTTATTAAAGACATGGTATGGACCAAAAAAAGATGTCTCTAGGCTAGATCTCTGCAACCTCTCATCTATACTCTATTTGCATTTTTAAAGACTATATGCAAATGTTATTTAGCAGAGCTACCTAGTTTTTTTGTGTGATGATAGCATGTGAAAGAGCTATGATACATCTTGGAAATGTCAACTTTGAAATATACAGTGACTGTGTTGGTCACTACAGAATGATCTCTGCAGAAACTTCAGTTACATTTTCTCTAAATGACACCTTTGCTTTGACAACACATTTTCAAAAAGAAAAATAGCAAACTACCCTTCCTCCAGGGCCTTAGCCACAGTAGCTCCTGCCAGCATAACACAATGCTGCACCTTACTGAGGGATCAGGAAATGTGGTTTGATTTATAATTATGGCTTCATGGGTAGAATGGTGGCCAATGTCCACATGAGCCACACTCAGTGGCTAAGATCCAGAGGGCATTTAATTTAGGTAGCCAGTGTTACAGACATAGTTTAGATTTTTGCAGCCTTGACCAATCTTAATAGATCTGTCTGTTCTTTAGAGTTACCTTTTTTTCCTGCCTCCTAGCTACCTACACCTTTTAATGCTAAATGTAGTTAGCTAGTGAATGCTGTTATTTGAATCTTAAAATTTCAGGTTGGGACAGAACCTTAAAATTCATGTATTTCAACCACCCTTTGTATGAGGCAGGAATCTTGGTTATGACAGGTGACAGAAAATTCAAACTAGCTTAATTCAGAAGGGAATTTATTGCCTTTATAAAACCAAAAAGTCCAAGGGTAGCTGCCTTCAGGTATTGTCTGATCCAGGGGTTTGTTATGTTTCCAGGACATGGTTTCCTTTATTCCATCTCTGCTTATGTATTGGCTCCCTTCTCAGATGGAAGAGACTCCCCTCATCAAGGTGAGATGGCTATGGAAGCTCTACTCACATTTCCTCTAGGTTCAAGTCCATGTAGAGAAGAGCACCTCTTTCTCTTGTTATATCTCACAGGCTCTAAATTAGCTACTAGGGCCAGTGAAAAAGCAATGTGCTGATTGACCACCCTTATCTACTCTTGGAGTTCCGGATGGAATTAACACTACCTGAATTATGTGGACCAAGAGTGGGAAAGGAATAGTTCTCCAGAAGGATATTTGGTATTGTTATTAAAATAAGGTTAATTGAATACTCACTGAACCATCTAATGCTTGAATTCCCTTCATAGCACGCCATTGGTGACTGTCCAATCTTCAGTTACTAACATGCTACCCCCAAAATGGTGTGTTTGTGCAGCTCTAATAATGACAGGGTTTCTCCTAATACTGAGATGATATTGGCATCTCCATAGTTCCAGACATTATTTCTGGTCCCAACCATAATCAACCTGTTTTGACACGGGTGAACATGTAAGGGAAGGGATTGCTCATTGTGGTCACAGAAGTAACCTACCCAATAGAAGCACACCAACTTGAAGCATGCTTCCATGATCACTGAGGGAGGAAAATGATTGGCAAGTCTCGTATTGGTCCTTGAAGCGCTCCCTATAAACACTTGTCACTGCCAAGCGTGTATCACTGGCCAAAGCAAGTCACATTGTGATATGATTAGACTTTGTGTCCCCACCCAAATCTCATCTTGAATTGTAATCCCCATAATCCCCATGTGTCTAGGGAGAGAACTGGTGGGAGGTGAATGGATCATAGGGGCAGTTTCTCCCATGCTGTTCTCATGATACTGAGTGAGTTCTCACAAGAGCTGATGGTTTTATAAGGGGCTCCTCCCCCTTCACTCCTCACTCTTCTCTCTCCCGTAGCCATGTGAGAAGGTCCAAGCTTGCTTCCCCTTCGCCTTCTGTCATAATTGTAAGTTTCCTGAGGCCTCCCCAACCATGCGGAACTGTGAGTCATTTAAATCTCTTTCCTCTAGAAATTACCCAGTCTCGGGTAGTATCAAGATAGCAGTGTGAGAACCGACTAATACGCATGGCCATGCCTAACTTCAAAGCGGCTGGGCAAGTATCATATTGCTGTGTACTTGGGAGGAGGGGAGAATCAGAATATTTGATCTGGCGACCACCACACAACTGAACTTCTCTATTTCTGTGTTCTTCTTGTTAACCATCTAGTTTCTGTTTCCTCTTGTGACACATATATTAATTAATTTTTCAATACCCAAACACAAGCCTCTAATATTTATCTTTGTTTAGTTACTTCCTAATAAACTAAGATATCTCTACATCCTGATCCTAAAATTCAAAGGCTCCACGTATACCATGGTGACTAGTTAATTCCAATATATTGCATAGTTGAAAATTGCCAAGAGAGTAGATTTTAAGTGTTCTCACTACGAAAAAATGCATATGTTAAATAGCTTGATTTAGCCATTTCACTATGTATACATGTAGGAAAACATCATGTTGTACACTACAGATGTATACAATTTTTACTTGTCAATTATAAACAACAACAACAAAACTGCAAAGTCTCCTTAGACCCACCCAATCACATGTTGTCTGCTCATTTAATGAGTAAATGCTATATAGGTTCATTCTGGACCTGGGTAAAATGATTTACGGACTGGGACCAAGTGGGAGGACCCTATTTCAATTCATTAGGTAAGGTCTTCCAGGTCAATATTTGACCATTGATTGGCACATCTGGGGTATAGTTATTTAACTGCCTTCTAGTTTACCTCAATATGACCCCTCAGTGGAGGGAAAATGGAGCACAATGACTAGAAGAATGTTGAGAGATGAGGAAAGAGAGAATGGGATGGAAAGAACATAAAATAGGAAAGCATTGACATTGTCACTTCTTGGCTATTTCTTCCTGTAAAATTTTGCCTGGAGTGCCCTACAATGGGGTCCCCATCCTCTGCCCTGATAACATCTTAGTGGATCACTCCTCTCTCCCTTTTCATTCTGCAGGACTTGCCCATTGGGGCTCTTTCAGACCTGACTGGTCATTGGGTATCTGTGGCCATGATAATCACTCTCTTCCTGGACGTGACCCTCCTCTCGTTAACCAGGATGCCTGTGTTCTTAAGGTTGGCCGTTTCCAAGGACAGAGAGCTTGCATCCCATTTCTAGGGGACTGGGGATCCAAGGACTCCATTCTTGACATTGTCTTGTCAGCCTTGAAGTGCCGAAACCCAGCATCCCTGTCTGAGGTCATCCTGTCTCTCTTCCAAACATGAGGACTTCTTAAATTTTTTAAAAAAAGTTTTTACTTGTATAAATTGAGAAGGCACAAGTGCAATTTTGTTACATGGATATGTTATTTAGTGGTAGAATCTGTGCTTTTGGTATGTCCATCACCCAGATAGGGTACCCTGTACTCATTAAGTGATTTCTTATCCTTCACTCCCCCACCCAACCCTTCCAAGAAGGATGACTATTACTCAACAGTCATTCAGTAGCCATTGGAGAATGACTATTATTCCATACTCTGTGTCTATGTGTATTATATAGTTCCCATTTATAACTAAGAATATGCATTATTTGACTTTCTCTTTCTGAGTTTTTTTTTTTTAAGATAATGGCTTTGGGTTCCATCCTGTTGCTGCAAAAGACATGATTTCAGACTGGGCATGGTGGCTCATGCCTGTCATATTAGCACACTGGGAGGCTGACGAAGGAAGATCACTTGAGCCCAGGAGTTTGAAACCAGCCTGAGCAACTTGGTGAGACTCCGGCTCTATAAAAATTAAATTAGCCAGGCATCGTGTTGTGTACCTGTGGTCCCAGTTTCTTGAGAGGCTGAGGCAGGAGGATCTCTTGAGCCCAGGAGTTCAAGGCTGCAGTGAGCTATGATCACACAACTGCCCCCCAGCCTGGGTGACAGAGTGAGACCCTGTTTTAGTCAGGACTTCAAGACCAGCCTTGCCAACATGGTGAAGCCCCATCTCTGCAAAAATACAAAAATTAGCTGGGCATGATGGCGGGTGCCTGTAGTCCCAGCTACTCAGGAGGCCGAGGTGGAAGAATCACTTGAACCCGGGAGGTGGAGGTTGCAGTGAGCCGAGATTGCCCCACTGCACTCCAGCCTGGGCGACAGAGTGAGACTGTTTCAAAAAAAATAAATAATAAATAAATAAATAAAAATAAAATCAAAGGTCTTACTCTTTTTTATGGCTGAGTAGTATTCTATTGTGTGTATGTATATATAGATATACATACATATACCACACACATACGTGTATATATGTATATATATGGTGGTATGTGTGTCTATATACACACAATGATATGTATATTAATATATATGTATATATAAATATATATACATTTTCTTTATCCAGTCATCCATTGATTGATGCTTAAGTTGATTCCATATCTTTGCTATTGTACTGTGATAAACGTATGAGTGCAGGCATCTTTTATATAATAATTTCTTCTTTGGATAGCTGCCCAAAATTCAGGTAAAAGATCTCAGTCTACAAGGCAGCTCCCAAGCTTCAAAAAATTGTCCTGCCAGATTTTTAAAAGCAAGTTTTCTCAAAAGCTTCGATGTATACATTGGTCGATTTATTTATCCATTAAAGTATTTATTGAATACTTCTTACTGCGTATGGTGGTGGTGGTGCTGAGGTGTCTCACAGTGAACACAACAGGCGTAGCCTCTGCTATTACCAAAATTATTGTCTGGTAAAGAATGCAGATGGCTAACCAGGCAGGTGCCTGTACGGTGAGATATGTGCTGTGATGGCTGTAAGCGCATGGTGTGAGCGTAGAGTTGGGTGCTTAATTGAAGGCATCAGGAAGGCTTCCAGGACTAAATGATATCAAAGTCCCACCTTAAGGATGACAGGTTTAACTAAGTAAAGGAGGATGTGGAAAGAAGGGGGAGAGTGCTCCAGGCAGAGGAAATAGTATATACAAAAGCACAAGAGGATTGAAGAACCAAAATCACTTTGGCATGGCTGGAATGAAGGGCATGTTTGTGTATTTTCAGGGTAGGGGATGTGTTTAGGGACAAGCTCAGAGAAAAGGAAGTAAGGAACCCTGTCATAAAGGGCTCATCTGTCCTATGAAAGAGTGTGTACATTTTATTCTGAGAGTACAGAGCCTTTTCTTTTTTCTAAGCATTACATGATTAGATTTGTCTTTTAGAAACCACTCTGGCTGCCGTTAAAAATGAATTTCACAGTGACAAGGCTGGAGGAAGGATCTTGGGTTAGGAGGCGGTGGTAGTAATCTAGGCAGGACTTGAGGACGCCTGAGTGGTGGTGAGGAAGGAGAGAGGTGGATGGAAGATTCAAGAGATATTTAGGGGGTGTTATTGAGAGAACTTAGTGATTGATTTGGCGTGGGAGGAATGAGAAAGTCAGGGATGGCTCCCTGGTTTCTGGCTTGGGTACTAGGTGCGCTGGTGGTGCTTTTGACAGAGATAGAACCATGGGAGGAGGAACATGTTTTGAGGGAAGGCTGTCTCCCTTTTAGACACCTAGTTGGTGTCCAAATGGCACAGACCAGTTGGCGTGTGGATATCTTGGGGCTTAGGGCGTGGATCTGGGCTCAGGGTGGAGATCTGAGCCTTAGCTGCACATCAGTAGTCATTGCAGTCATGGAGTGTGCTGGGGTTTTGCCAAGAGCTCATGTAGATTCAGGCGAGAAGAGAGGAGGGGCCCAGGCTGGGAATACTGGCTTTGGAAATACTCTTGAAATATATAGAAATGAAAGAATGTATAGGGCTGTTTCCACAGACGTTTATTTTTTATTTTTATTTTTTTGAGATGGTGTTTCACTCTTGTTGCCCAGGCTGGAGTGCAATGGCATGATCTCAGCTCACTGCAACCTCCACCTCCCAGGTTCAAGCAATTCTCCTGCCTCAGCCTACTGAGTAGCTGGGATTATAGATGCCCACGACCATGCCCGGCTAATTTTTTTGTATTTTTAGTAGAGACACGGTTTCACCATGTTGGCCAGGCTGGTCTCGAACTCCTGACCTCAGGTGATCCACCCACCTTGGCCTCCCAAAGTGCTGGGATTACAGGCATGAGCCACCGCGCCCGGCCCACAGACATTTACTGAGCAAGAGCTTGTGCAAGGCACTCTGGTATGCATGCAGTCGGGGACCCTCTGATGAATGGAACTCAGGCCTTGTATAAGGAAGTGACCTCCATCAGAGGGTGGAGACGCTGTCAGTGAACATCCATCACAGACAAGTGACTGAGCTAGGAGCTGGGGTAAGGTAGAAAGAGGAGGACAGTGGGCGATATGAGCTGGGAAATGCACCTCTGTTGGGGGACTGGGGAGGGCTTCCTGGAGGAGGTGATTTTGGTATCTAGTGGTTTTGTTTTGTTTTGTTTGTTTTTTTTGTTTTGAGATGGGGCCTTGCTCTTGTTGCCCAGGCTGGAGTGCAATGGCATGATCTCGGCTCACTGCAACCTCCGCCTCCCAGGTTCAAGCGATTCTCCTGCCTCAGCCTCCCAAGTAGCTAGGATTACAGGCGCCCACAACCATACCTGGCTAATTTTTGTATTTTTAGTAGAGACGGGGTTTTGCCATGTTGGCCAGGCTGTTCCCGACCTCCTGACCTCGTGATCCGCCCGCCTCGGCATCCCAAAGTGTTGGGATTACAGGCGTGAGCCACTGCGCCAGGCCTGTATCCAGTGTTTAAGGAGATGTTTTGTCAGATAAAGCTGGAGTTTTGTAATGGAGTTTTGGAGATGGGGAAGGGCAGACTGGCTTAAGAGGGTGCTGCATAAGAGATGGCTCAGAGGAGAGAAAGTGTACGATGTTTTCAGGACAAATTAGTCCTTCACCATGGCAGGAATCTAGGCGGCCGAAGGACATTTGTGGGAAATTGTAGCAGAAAATACGAGGAGGACTTTGATGCCAGGCCACAGAGTTTGCAGTCCTTTTTGGAGACTCAGGGGAGTTATTGAACAATTAGAAACTAAAGGCTGATGTGACCTCCACAGGATACTGGCTAAACGCATGAACTCTTGAACCAGATGGACCTGGATTTAAGTCTGGATTCTGCCATTTCCTTGCTGTGTGGTCTTAGGCAGATTATTAACCTCTCTGAGCCTCAGTTTTCTCATCTGTCAAATAGGAGTGAAATACCTCATAGAGGGTTGTGAAGAGTGAAGTAAACTAATGTGGAGAAGGCATTCTGCAGTGTCTGGAATTCAGCGACCCCTCAGTACATGTTAACACACTAATACTTTCTACGTAATCATACCTGTAACAACACAGAGACGATGGTATTATCTTTACAGCTTGTTCGCTTCTGTATCCTGAGCATCTAGGACAGTGCCTGGCATGTAATGGATGCTGGAGAAATATTTCTTGGGCAAGAAATGAATTGCACCAGTTTCTTTTTGTAAGGGATCTATTTTTTTCTTGTCTGGAAAAATACTTTGATAAAACCTTAGGGAAAAGATGAAATTCCCTTTCTTCTGGAGCCTAGATTTCAAAGAGGAGAGGTTGAGTGCTCTGCAAAGTAGAAGGAGAAGATTTTGGGCAGTGAGGAGGAGAGAATTGATGAGATGGTGGGGCACAGCGTACTATGAAATGTGACTCTTCCCCCGGGACCCCCGAAAAAATCTTCTGTAACATTTTATATGTGTAAGACATCTCTCTACCATCTGCTATGGTCGAAATGGGATTTGTAGAGAGCTCATGTGATTCTCAAACCTCCTAGTAACTCTGCTTACATGGAGAGACAGCTGTCTCCAAGCCAGCTGTTGTCTTTTGGAAAGCTTTAATCTGGGGGAAGATAACACCTTGAGAAAAGATGTCAGGATTGGAGGCAGATGTTGACGGAGCCAGTTTCTAATGCCCCAAGGCAGCCACACTTTGTATGGATTGTATGGATGGGCAGGTGCACAAGGTGAGTTATTTTTTTCCCTACCCAGAAATTTATGGAAGCCTGGCATGGTGGCTCACCCCTATAATCCCAGCACTTTGGGAGGCCAAGGTGGGCAGATCACTTGAGCCCAGGAGTTCGAAACCAGCCTGGGCAACATGGTGAAACCCTATCTCTACTAAAAATACAAAAATTAGCCTGGTATGGGGGTATGCACCTGTAGTCTCAGCTACTCAGGAGGCTGAGGTGGGAGAACTACTTGGACCCAGGAGGTCGAGGCTTCAGTGAACCATGTTCATGCCACCACACTTCAGCCTGGGTGAGAGAGTGAGAACCTGTCTAAAAAAAAATATGAAGTTGCTCTTTTGAAGAGCATTCTAATGACTTATCTGGAGATTCTAGGAAAGAAATTAAATTCAGCTTTCAATGTCTGTCTTTCTAGATTTCTTCCTTCTAACGTTATTGTTGTTATGTCCTCAAACAAAAACATTTAGTACTTATTATGAGCTTCATAGGGTTGTTGTGGATTAATACATGTAAAGCTCTTAGTGCAATACACGACACATAGATAACATTTAATTTTATTATCGTTACTGTTGGGTAGCACTCAGTTCATGAAATTCCCACACACAGTCAAGTGGTAAATGCTATTACTTTGTAAATATCATCGATGAGGAACCTGAAGCTCACAGAGGTTGATGACTTGCCTAGGATCGCTCAGAAAGCAGGCAGCAGAGCTGATTGCCATGGTAACCATTTCCAAGCTTCAGTGCCCAGAGATGGACCCAGTCTGGCATGGGCTTATCCCCTGGAGCACTGTGAGTGTCTTGACAGATAAGTAAAGGAAGTCTTTAATTTCTGAAAAATGCCCAGCTGTGATTGGCATTGTTAGGGGTCAGTGAAGACACGCTCAAAGACCTTACTGTCCAGCTTTTTTATCTTTCACCTTTAATGCCGCTGTTAGCCCCAGGAGCTAACCAAAGGGGAGTTTTCTTTATCAGTTCCAAGAGGGATGCCATGGTTGTCCCAAGATTCTGGAGCTAAAGGTGGGACCAGGACCAGAATTCAGTTTCTGTGTTTCCAAATTCAGTTCTATTCTCCTCTCAGTAGACCAGGAGGCCTCCAGACAAGACAGATGGCAGACAGCTACAGTAGTTTAAAATAGCCTGAGCTCACTTCTGAGGTAGACATGTGCGTGGAGTGAGCTGGAAGACAGGGACCCCTGTGTGGGAAAGATTTTGGCAAAGAGAAGCCCAGTGGGGAGTTCTGATGCTAGGCTGAGTGTCATCAGGTTGGGGTGAGGGTGTGAGAAGAGACCTGAGCAGGTGCCAACCTGAGGCTGAGTGGGGAGGAGAGAAGCGAGAGGACAGGTGCCAGGCAAGATGCGGCACTGCCAATCAGTAGAAGCTTCCTCCCTCCTTTCCAGCTGTGCTACCGAGACGGGGAGGTCAGGTGGTCGTTCTGGGAGGGCTGGTGCCTTTTACTTCCCGGCCTTCTGGCCTGCTGGGTCTTGGAGTCCAGTGCAAAATAATGAAGTTCCTATAAAGACAGTTTGTATAGATCCTTTTAGGATGACTTGAAAGCCTATGCATTTCCTTAACAATGATCAATTCTTGGCTAATCCTCTTTCATCCATATCCGCACCCAATGCTTTTCACTCCATTTCCATACTGGATGTTTTGAAATAAATCCCAGACACCATATAATTTCAGTAATTATCAATCTCAATATCACAGAAAGTCAAATAGACATTATATATCTTCTAATATGATGCAAATAGAAGTGGCCAATGCTATCTATGCAATATTATTACTAAAGATCTAACCAAATTTACAGGAAATACAGAGAATATGTAGGAAATTCTACATAGAAATAACTTGATTTCTTCACGAAACCAATGGCATGGAAGTGTGAAAAAAATAGAATTAAAAGATATAGCAATCTAAGATAGTGTGTGGACCTCATTTGGAAATAAATTCAAACAAATCATCCATAAAGAAAACATTGTGAGATAATCAAGGAGAAGGAAACATTAACTGAAATATAAAATGATAATAAAGAATTGTTATTGCTTTTACTGGGTGGGATAATGGAATTGTGGTTGCTTTTTTGTTGTTCTTATCTGTGGAGATATGCTGAAGAATTTATGGGTAAAATAAAACTAAGCGATGCTAGGTGGGGAGGAACCTATGCATTTCCTATTTTTTGGCAAAAAGGCCCCAAGGTGTAGTCCCTAGCACCTATGTTCGAACAATGTGACCCAGCATTCCTGCTGATCCCTGACTGAACCAGGTATGGCTCCACTTGATCCTCTCTCTGGGGACTGGGAGTTAGCATTCAGAAATGCCAGCTAGCCTCCATCAACAGCAGACTGGAAGGATCAGGCATCTCAGGAATCATGCAATGTGCATCAAAAAATAGAGAAAGCTTATCTTCAGAGAGACAGACAAGTGAAGCTGGCTCAGAGGTCATGTGGACCAGAGGGATGGGGGAAGCAGTTGCCTTGGTTCCTGACAATCCTGCATTGAAGTCAAACTGCTGTTCCTTTCCCTGGTTTCTGTTTCCTTGTAACAGACTTATTCCTTTGCTTGAACTGGGGGCTTTTAGTGGGGTTCTGTTGCTTGCAAATCTTAAGTACTCTGAGAAACAGCTAAGGAGATGAAGATGGAAAACTTTGTCATGAAGGGAATGGGTTACTGGAATCTTTCTGGAGGGAGAATTTCAGAATTACGAGGATGCAGTTCTGATTGAAGGGGGTCTTGTGGGTATCTGGGATTTGGAAGTGAGAATGAATGCTGTAGCAGATGCTATTAGCTACCCATCCAATGGCGATTCCTTCTTTGTTTCTAGTTTTGTTCGGTGGCAATGTGCCCAGGGGACAGTGCATGCATGACCCATGATTATTTCCCTTTCAGTGATTGGTCTGGAAGTGGGCACTGGACCCAGTTTGGGTCATGTAGGAAAGACTCTTTCTTTTCATCCTTTCTTCCTGCTCTGGAGGCTGTTAGGTGAGGACATAATTGTTGGAGCTATGGCAGCCACATTATGACTATGAACAGGTGCCTAGATTTGTAGCAACACTGACTGAGAGCACTGTCATTCTTGAGACACTCATACCTCCTTCTTTCAGACTTTATTATTTTGGGGATGATATTTATTGATGAGCCCCTTTTGGTTAAGTTGCATATGGTTGGCTCTTCTGTTAATTCAAGCCAGAAGATTCTTAATTGATACAGTTAGGCTTCATAATTTGGAGGTTTGGGAGGAAAATGAGGTGAAAGAGCATGCATTGTTGGGGAAGATAATATTTTAAATCAGAAAATTAACATTTTCTACCAGAAGACCTTCAATTATTATATTATAGACTGGTTTGCAGAGCCTTTTGAGAGTGGTGTGAACTGATATCCATCCATCCATCCATCCATCCATCCATCCATCCATCCATCCATCATCTTCTGTTTGTTGATTTTCTATCCATCCATCCATTCATCCATCCATCTATCCATCCATCCATTCGTCCATCCATCTATCCATCTATCCACTCCATCCATCCATCCATCCATCCATCCATCCATCCATCCACCCATCCATCCATCTTCTGTTTGTCGATTTTCTATTCATCCATCCATCCATCCATCCATCCATCCATCCATCATCTTGTTTGTCAATTTTCTACCCATCCATCCATCCATCCTTCCATTCATCCATCCATCCATCCATCCATCCACCTACCTCATCCATCCATCCATCCATCCATCCATCCATCATCTTCTGTTTGTTGATTTTCTACCCACTCATCCATCCATCCATCCATCCATCCATCCATCCACCCATTTGACTTTCTTTTTACGAAACTTTCCCTTTGATCAATGGAGGATTTCCTTCCTGGACTTGCTTGGTTCTGTCTATTATCAGCTGGGTATAAAATGCTTTTCCTTCTTCAGTTAGGTCACGTGTAGAGAATTGATATTAGATAGCTATGGTGAGGAGTGAATGGGATTCTGCCTGGCCTCTCTCTAGGGACACTTTGCCTTCTGCAGTGTCTGGCATTTCTAAGAAACGTTGATTTTTAGGCATTGAGGAAAAAAGCTGTTTTTTTTTTTTTTTTTTGACATTAAAAGCTCTAGTTTTCCCTTATTTTATTCCCTGGAGCTTCTTTCAACATATTCAAGCACTGTTGGCTTCAGGCGTGGCTTTGTGGGCTGGAAAGGGCCAGGGTATGTTTTCAGAGGAATCCTGTGGGATTGAATTAGGAATGCTGCCTTCAGGGGATAAGTATTATTTTAATAGGAAGATATTCTTTATTTTTTGATTCTTAGGAATTGCTGTTTCTCATGTAGATGTACTTACCTTTGTTACATTAATAAGTTCCATAAAATATTTTCAGCGTATAGAATTTTTATATATCTAGACCATTGTCTGTTTCAGGTTAGGAATTGTCAGTGTTTATACGTGCGCCTAATCCCTTGTAGTCTGTTCGTTACTGGGATGGTGGTGATGGGGGCACTAGAGGGTGGAATTTGCGCACATGGAGAGAGGAGATGGTGCATGTCAGTGTGTTTTCCAGTTGAGGCCCTTGGGGTTGTGGGTGGGGAGGAAAGAGGAGGAGGAGGAAGCCAGTGTGGTAGGAGTGTGATCCACATTCTCAGGAAGAACCATATTTGATTTCATTTAGAAAACGGAATTCTTACTTCTTGAACAAAGTTGGCTTTTCTTCTCTGAACGTGGCCTTTGCAAATGCTTGAGTCTTTGAGTATGGTGATGACTGAGTGAGAGGAGGGATTTGCTTGGGGCAGCAGGCACATCTGGAACCATTGACCACAAACCTGGCTGAGCACAGAGCCACCCGGATGATGGGCTTAATAGGTACAAACTGGGAACTTCCCCTCAGGCATGCCAACTCAGGAGGTTGTCACCAGTGGCTGCAGCTTGGAGTGATCTGGGGATCTTTTAAATGCCCCAATGCCCTGCCTCTACCTCTGTCAGTGAAAGCAGGCTGTCTGGGAGTAGAATCAGAGCAGCAGTATTCATTAAAGGCTCTCCAGGTGACTGTCATCAGCATCCAGGTTTGAGAGCCACTGTGGGGAAATAATCTGTACTTTCTATAAAGCCAGAAGCAGTCAGTTTTCTGAACATCACTGATTAGACCGTAGCCATTTTCCAGTATGGACAAAGTAGGTTCTCTCCTGCCATCCCCCAGCTGCAGCAAACTTCTCACTAATGGGCATGCTTTGAGAAACACCAAACTGCAGGGACCCAAAGGAGCATACAATTAACGTTAAATCACACCAGCTTTGGGCATATATATCCCTCCTCCACCCCAAAATCTCTTTTAAAATAGTGTTTTAAATGTATTTTTTGTAGTATGTTCACAGGACTCAAAAAAAAATACAAAATGCTGCACTATTCACAATAACAAAGATATGGAATCAACCCAGGTGCCCATCAGTGGCAGAATACTATGCAGTCATAAAAGAGAATGAAATCATATCCTTTGCAGCAACATGGATGGAGCTGGAGGCCATTATTTTAAGCAAATTAGAGCAAGAACAGAAAATCAAATACTGCATATTCTCACTGATAAGGGAGAGCTAAGCATTGAGCACACATAGACATAAATATGAAACTAGACACTGGACTACTGGAAGTTAGAGGGAGGGGTGGGTTTAAAAACTACCTGTCGAGCACTGTGCTCACTGCCAGGGTGACGGGATCTGTACACCAAACCTCAGCATCTTGCATTATTCCCGTGTAACAAATCTGCACATGTACCTACTGTATCTAAAATGAAAGTTGAAATTTAAAAAATGTTTAAAATCCACACAGTTTTAAAGTCTCTTATTCTCTTCTGTTCTCCATCCACCCATTTCCCACCCCCTTCTCTGGATATCTTTTCAGAAATCTTTTCCTTCACCCCCTTTGTTGTCACACAAAAGATGACATACTGCAACCCCTATTCTCCACCTTGTTTTTTTTTTTTCCTGCTAATATTTGGCTAGTAAGCACCAGCATGGTGTAATGACTGGCATTTGTTCTGATTTGTTGAGCATCCTCAGTGACTGGCAGAAGCTCACATGGTGCTGCCAGTCTTTAGATATTTGAATTACTTCCCCTGTCCACCCCACGTCTAGAAGATCTCTCTAAGCAATGCAAAGACAGCTTCCTTATACTACTTTTTAAAATAGATGTAGAGTATATATATATTTGAGACAGGGTCTCGCTCTCACCCAGGTTGCAGTACATTGGTGCGATCTTGGCTTACTACAACCTCTGCCTCCCAGGCTTGAGTGATCCTCCCACCTCAGCTTCCTGCGTAGGTGAGGTCACAGGTGTGCACCACCACACCCAACTAATTTTTTTTTTTTTTTTTTTTTTTTTGCATTTTTGGTAGAGACAGAGTTTCACCATGTTGCTCAGGCTGGTCTCGAACTCAAGCGATCCACCTGCCTTGGCCTCCCAAAATGCTGGGATTACAGATGTGAGCCTGGCCCAAGTATTCATTTTTTAATAGATGTAAAGTATGGATAATTCATAATTTATTAAACAAGTCCTGTAGGGATGGACTTTAGGTGATTTCCAATTTGGGGCCATTACAAACAATGCCATTAAGAATAGTGTGGCCAATGCATCACTTCAGATGTGTAGAAATCCATCTGTAGAGTTCCCATAAGTGCTATTTCTTGGTCAAGGGGCATGTGTAGAGTATCTTTAGCGACGGGAAATTTCACGAAGGCATCACATTTTCCAGTTTGCTGTAGCAGGCAGCTCTGCTTCTGAAATTGTAGTAGGTACAGGGTTTTCTTTTCTTTTTTTCCATTGGTGGCTTTGAGGAACTTTCAGATGGGATAGTTGAAAAATGTACATCTAATGGTTTTAGAGGAGATGCTTCTGGAGCTGCAGTTCTCCTAGGGCCTTTCTTGAATGACCTGCAGGCACCATCTGGTGTTTGTTAAAAATGTGGACCCTGAGCCCTATTAGACTCTTTGAGGCAAGGCCCAATAAATTTTTAACACAAGCTTCCCAAGCGATGCTTCTGTGCACTGAAGTTTCAGAACCACTGTTCTAAGGGATTTGTTGTAGAACAATGCCGTGAGAGGACATCTTTTCATATGATTAGCACAGTGGAACCACACTGGTTTACTCGGGACAAAGTCTGCGACTGCCATGAACATTGCAAGCTCAATAATGCCAAGCAAAGACTGAGTCTTGGCATCGGGTTGAAAATAACATTTGGCTATCAACCTCTGATGCAGCATTTACAAGTTTGCCCTCAAATGCCCATAGAATAGGAGGAACAGGGTCAACAACACTGAAAATAGTCAGATAACCAGTTGCTGGAATCTCAGTGAAATATCCATTAACTCAAAGGCAGATGGCACTGGATTGGATCTACCCTTCACAGTCAACACCTCCAACAAGATGGAACAAGACCAACTGGAAACAGCTTTGTCTATCTTCCACTGTCCTATTCCTAGACTAAGAGACTCAGCTTCGTACCAAGTGGGAAGTCACTCTCTTCTGCTCAAAATTAAGTTTTTGAAATGACCACAGGCCTCTTACGATGGCTAATTTTCCTACATTCATTCAGAGAAGCCAGCAAGGGAAGGGGAGGCAGTTAACTTGTGCAGTGGTTTGTGTAGGGAACTGCTGGTGGTGAATTGAACGTTCAGTTGTGTGGCTGCCATACGTTAGGTGCATAGAAGAGACCGAAGGAACTAGGGTGTGAGTGCATTGTGGAATCAGAGAATCAGATTGTGGAGGTGGGAGAAGAGTCTGAGGCAGTTCAAGAGAGCTGCAGTGGATGAGTGCTTGCTAAAATCCCAGTGCTATATGTGTAGTTCTGCCCTCCAACCATGGCTTGAGAAGAGGACTGGACCATTACTAGCGAAAACATCACTAGGAAGGGCAGCCTATACAACCAATCTTCTGGCAGACACAGGGCCTGGATATATCTTTCCAAAGAATAACCCAGTACTTAAGACAATGCAGCTGCGTTTACAGAGTTTTGAAGGGAAATGTTATCATCTACATATTTGATTCTCAGTCAAACTGTCACTTATGTGTGAAGGCAACAGAAAGACAGTTTTCAGATATAAAAAGGCACTGCAAATCTACCACCACTGAAAAAGTTAATTGAAGATGTACTCTGATTGAGAGCAGATCCAAAATTAGGAA
Source organism: Homo sapiens (assembly GCF_000001405.40). Lineage (NCBI taxonomy): Eukaryota > Metazoa > Chordata > Mammalia > Primates > Hominidae > Homo > Homo sapiens. The sequence goes on from NC_000016.10 coordinate 23,938,402, forward strand.
CTTAAGAATGAAGAAGTCATGGTATGGAGGAACTGGGATGAGCACTTCCAGTAATTAAACATAATATTGAGTCCAAATAATTGTTATAAGTCTCCAATTAAGTGTCAGACAACAATAATTATTTGTGAATGAGTAGCTATATGGTGTAAAATTAGCTTCATGATCTATTTGAGTGCAAAATCCTAGCATATAAATGAAGACTGGGAAGTAGATAACATAGGAGCAAGGATATGAAAACTTTACTTAATCTATCATCTTTTATTGGTTTTACTTAATTTTTCATCTTTCATTGTGGAAGACAGTCAGAAAACATGCTGTTAACTTTCTTTAATCACAATGAAGTAAAACTAGAAGTTAATAACAAAGGTTATAAAAAATCAATGACTTAAATATAAAATACTTTCCTTAATGACCCTGGGACGTGTTCAACATAGTGCTGTATGTTCCTGTTGGTCCTTACCATTGCAATACGGCAAAAAAGAAAGAAAGAAAGAAAGCATACAAAGAAAGAAATAAAACTGTATTTATTTGCAAACGACATGCGTATCTGTGCAGAAAATACCAAGGAATCTATAAAACAAACCAATCAACCATAAACAAGCCATCCTACAACACATAAGTGAATTCAGCAAGGTTGCCAGATACAGGGGAAACATACAAAAAACAATTGTATTTCTATAAACTAGCAATGAATACGGGAAGACTGAAATTGAAAATATAATACTATTGACAATTGATTGCTCAAAGGAAAAAAATAATTAGCTGTAAATCCAACAAAACATTTGCAGGACTTATGTACTGAAAACTGTAAAATGTTGATGAAAGAAATAAAGAATATCTACATAAATGAAGACATACTGTGTTCATGAATTGAAAGACTCAATATAGTAAAGGTAGCAGCTATCCCCAAATTGATATACAGGTTTAATGTGATTCTTATAAAAATCCCAACAAAATTACTTTGTAGATATAAATAAGATTATTCTATAATTTATATGAGAAGGCAAAGGAACTAGCATAGCTAAAACAGTTTTGAAGAAGTAGAATAAAATGGGAGGAATCAGTCTACCGTAGTCAAGACTATGTGATATTGGTGGAGGGACAGACACATAAATCAATAGAACAGAATAGATAACCCAGAAATACACCCACACAAGTATGCTCAATTGATTTTTGACAAAGGCACAAAAGGAGTTCAATGGAGAAATGAATTTTCAACACATAGTGCTAGAACAATTGGATATTTATTGGCCAAAAAATGAACCTCAGCCCAAGTCTTGCACTTTATACAAAAATTAACTCAAAATTGATCATGCTATTAAATGTAAAATATAAAACTATACAACTTTTAGAAGAAAACATAGGAGAAAATTTTTGGAATCTAGGGTCAGGGAAAATTTCTTAGACTTTACACCAAAATCATGATCCATAAAAGGAAAAATTGAATAGTCGGACTTCATCGAAACTAAACGCTATTGTTCTGCAAAACGCTGTTGAGAGAATGAAAAGGCAAACTACAATCTGGACCAAATATTTGCAAATCACTTATCTGACAAAGGACTATTATCTAGGATACATAAAGAGCCCTCAAGTTTCAGCTGTAAGAAACAAACAATCCAATTAAAAAAGGGCAAAAGCTATCAACAGACATTTCACCAAAGAGGGAACACAGATGACAAATAAACACATGAAAAGATGTTCTACATCATTGGCTTTTAGGAAAATGCAAATTAAAAGCACAATGAGATATCACTACAGATCAAAATGTCAAAAATGAAAAATAATGGTAATGCCAAATTCTAGCAAGGGAGGCTGAGGAACAACTAGATCACCCACACATGGTTGCTGAGAATGGGAACTGCAGTAGCCACTCTGGAAAACTGGCAGTTTTTTAAAACATGCCAACTGCCCTATGACCCAGCAGTTGCACTCTTGGGCATCTATCCTAGATAAATCAAAGCTTAAAGGCTCATACAAAAACCTCTGTGTGAATATTTATAGCAAGCAAGGAAAAAAAAACCCACAAGAGAAACCTAAGGTGAACTGGAGTAAGAATATAGATGAGAATATATAATATTTTATATTCTGATGAAATATAGTGTTAGGATATATAAAAAGGATTGTGTTGATACCTCTAAGAGTTAGTCCTGGAAAACAGAACAAAGCAAAGCAAACAAAAGAGCCAATAAAACATCTACTTCTAATTATATATTTAATCATATATATAGATCATATATATATCACGCATATATTTATGTAACATATACAATGAATATATATAGCAAATATATATATGAACAACATGCAAGTTAGAAGTGAGAAAGGACTTATAAATCCAGAGATAGAAAAATTATAAGACGAGATGTGCTATTACAATGGTGTTCAGACTGGTACTCTCGGATTTATGTCGTAGCTTTTCCACTACTGTTTTCTGACCTTGGGTGATTATTTACTCTCTCAGTCTCAATCTCCTCCACTATAAAACAGGGATAATAACGCAGTAGTTGTATGGATTTGGTTAAATAATGCATGCAAATAGCTCAACCCAGTGTTGGATGCCTCATAGAACTAGGATGATAGCTGTTTTTCAATTTTTGGTATTAAGTTTGAAAGTCCAAGAAGACAGAAAT